>NC_000013.11:103752979-104377979 GCF_000001405.40 Homo sapiens
AAGGGGCACTTTTAGTTTTAGATTTAGGTAATCTGAGTTTCTAATTTAACAACAGAATTGGAAAGGGAATAAAGCAAGTACATTTTTATGTGTTTAAAGTGAGAAGTCTAGATTAGATTACTTGGGTTAGAATTATAAATATACATAGGACTTAACTTTCAGGGACATGTGTGTCTGAATGTTCATAAACAGAAAAAATGACTTGGGAATAGTAGATGACTGTTAGTATCTTCACAATGCTGAGCCCATTTGCTGCTCTCTACTAGGGAGAGAGAGTACAGCCAACTTGGAAGCAGAGCTAATAGTTGGAAAATATTTTTGCCGTTGGAGAACATGCAGGATCACCAGTGCAGGGAAAAAACATGAGCCCTGGTCCTCTGATGTAATAGGAAGGTCTTCTTTGAATTTCTTTCTAGGTAGTCCAGCAGTAGGTATTTACTTGGGCAGTAATATTTCAGTTGTATGTCACTGAAATTTTGCTCATGCACCTACTTCACTTCCATTAAATATCCCAGGAGATTATTAAGCCCCCTCCTTGATCACACTTCAGTAACAGGAAGTAAGGTGATCTTTTGACCCATGGAAAGGCAAAATTGGAATGTCTGGGAAAACCAAGCCCAGCATATGTGTGGTGAACTCTTCACTCGTTACACAGAGTTAATTATTTTTATAGACCCTAGTTCAGCAAATGCCTACATTCCTTACAGCCTCTTCTGTCTCATCTTGATTGTCTCCTTCTTAAATCCCACAAATGGTAGATAACGACCTCCAAATTGGGATGCAAGTAACTCAGTCAGTATTCAAGAAAATACAAGTCATTGTGGGAAAACCATTTGAACATTTATTTACTCTTTTAAAATTTATATTTTGGTATATCTTTTATAATGTCCAAATATATTTAGATTGCATACCAATGAATGTATAATATTAATAGATGCATGCTTATTTATTTGTTTTGTGTATTTGTGTGATCATAGTTGAGATTAACTGGGATACTCGAAGTTCAGGTTTTTCAAAAAACAAAATTAGATTTAAACATCTGTTGAAATGCTAGGTGGAGAAAGAGATACAAAGGGAGTCCATAAATAGAATTTTATTGCTACATTGCCTAGTATTTCCTCTCACTCTCAGTATTCTACTTTTTATAGCAACTCTCTTCATCCTTGTTTGGCAAGGATAATACTGGTAGATACTGTACAGATATGATTTGATGATACAGATTTCCCTACATATTTTCTAATTTTGTCAAAGTAGATAAATTTAAAGATATATTTTAGAAAAGACAGGAAATAAATACTTATTTTCTTCTACTGGTGTTTTTCTCAATTGCCTTTTAAATGCTTCTTCCAAGCTGACATATTTCTAGGAAAAGATCTATTTCAAAAATTCCATGTTTACCTTAGGGAAGACAGGCCTATGAATTTTATGAATTTACCCCTTGCAATTCTGGCAAGATCTTAGTTCTCAGGATGTGGTACTTTCAAATGGGATATTATCATCATCTCTGCATCACCATTTATTCACCAATTGTGGGTGAGGGGCGGGGGGAGGGAACACCTTATAAGTGAGAACATGCGATATTTGATTGTCTGTTCTTGTGTTAGTTCACTTAGGATTTTGATGTCTTTTTAGATATTATCTCAACACTTACAGTATGAGAATTTAAGTCTGTCATTACTTGATAAATACAGTAAAAATAATCTTTTATTGCATTCTCCAGATTTAAGTGTCTTTTCTGCCACTGTGCAGGTCCAGCTGCGACTTGGCCCTCCCCAGACATATTTTGCATGGATAATGCATTTGCATTTTAAGATTCATCTGTTATTTTGATTCTCTCTTCCACAGCAGTTTATTTGATTTCTTGTCTAGTGAAATCATCCTCATCAGAGTTCTTTTTATTCTAGTTTCTGCATTATTTTACTAGCAATGAAAATTTGCTTATTGAGACATCTTGTCACCCTTAGGACAGAAAAAAGGCTGTAGATTTTTAGGCAGCAGCAGATCAATCATTCTTCCATTTACCAGCATGGAAACCAATTTGGCAGAGATGTAATGTGAGAATATGCCCTGGCTTTATGAGTTATTACGACATAATGCCATGTGTAACTGATGCTATTTTCTACATAAAATTATTTTATGCAGTTTTACAATTCACATAAGATAGCATGGCGTTAACTTAGAAAAAATAAATTTTAAGTATCTTACCAAGTATAAAAAGAGGAAAGAGTAGCAAAGAGAGTGAGATATAGGAAGAACAAAAAAGAAAATAGAAAACATTTATAAAGGAATAATAAAATTGTTGCATTACAAAATTTATGATTGGCAGCATTGCCATCATTCTTTTGAGTCAAGACAGTATGTTAATGAGCCTATTCATGCAACCAGGTATGAATGTAGAAGTATGCATAAAGTTATAACTCTTATTTGTATAAAGTTATATTGCAGATTAGAAGTTCGTGAAAAACATAATGCATGTTAAAGTATCAAATTTTCTCTACTGATGCCAGCACATGCTCTCCATTCTAGTACTATATCTAGTTTTAATAATCTGCACTTTGACAAAAAATATTTAAAAGGCAAACTTCAATGTTTCTATTTCCAGATATATATATGACAATTGTATTTTCAAAAACTTATATCTAAAAGCTTGGTTTTCCAAATTAAATATGTTTTGTTGTAGTTTAATAGGATACTATGAAGCATAAAGGGCTGGTTTCCAACAGCCTCTACCTCAATTATGACTGACCTGGTGATGATCTTTTTCCCTGTTACTCAGCTTCCACCTTGTAATAAGCAATATAGAATATTGGGGAAAATGAAAATTCAAGTATTATAAGCAGAACATTTAAGGTTGTGGAGTGGTACTGGTCTTGGGTTTATGCAATGAAATTTAAAATACTACTACTAATAATAATTAATGAATCCTTACTATATGTTTGGCACTTCACATGAGTGTAAACGCTTCATATAAACACAAACCATACATGGCACTACTTGCAGTGTAGAGAAAGGTAAACAAATGTGAAGATATAATATTAAATCATAACTACATACAATTAAATGTAGTACATACTATACAACTGTAATTATTTCTTAGCCACCTCCTGTTGCTAATGCGGTGAGCTCAAGTGTTGCAAGTATGTTCTTAAAATGTCTTATGACACTAGTTGTCTCTGTGTGAGCAGTTCATCTCTCCAGTAAATTGGATAACCCAGTAAAAAGTGATCACTCACCATCCTTGTGTGTTTTCAATTGTGTTTAATGCAATACCATAAACCTTGAATAACACCATGGAACCCATACAAACTGCCACTAGTGATGCTGGAGGTGCTCCCAAGAAGCAGAGAATAGTCATGACATTATAATAAAAAGTTGTTATGATATGTACCATAGATTAAGATCTGTAGCTGTAGCTGCCCATCATTTCAAGATAAATGAATTCAGCACAAAGACAAACGTTAAAATAGAAAAGGAAATTTGTGAAGCCATCACTGAAGTTATACCAGCAGGATCAAAAACCTTACACTTCTTGCGAAATGCCTTTCTATCTTGTACTGAAAATGCACCTTCTACACAGGTGCAGAATTGCTATGAAAAGACATATTTACAGATTCTAATGTGATTCTAGAAAAAGTGAAATCATTGTATGACAACTTAATGCTAAAGGAAGGTGGAGGATCCAAATCTGGATAATTTAATGCCAGCAAAGGATGGCTTGATATTTTTAAAAAGAGGCCTGGCTTCAAACATGTAAAGATAACAAGAGGAAGCAAACAAATCCCCAGAAGCCATTAAGAAAGTCATTGAGGACAAAGGATATCTTCCTGAATCGGTTTTTTGTTTTGTTTTTTTTAATTTTAATGAAGACAAAAGTGCCACAAAGGGCATCTGTTGCTAAGGAAGAGAAGCAAGCACCAGGATTTAAGGCAGGAAGGAATAGGCCAGCTCTACTGTTTTGTGCAAATGCTGTCAGACTGCCCTTATCTATAAAGCTGCTAACCTCTGAGTCTTCTAGGGGAGAGATAAATACCAGCTGCCAGTCTTTAGTTGCACAACAAGAAGGCCTGGACAATGAGAACCCTTTTACTGAACTGATTCCGTCAATGCTTTGTCCTTAAAGTTGGGAAGTGCCTTGCCTTTTAAAATTTGATATTGACAATGTTTCTGGGCACCCAGAACCCCATGATTCAACATGGGAAGGTGTCAAGGTTGTCTACTTATCCCCAAACACAATGTCCCTACTTCAGCCTCTATATCGGGGGTCATAAGAACCTTTAAGTTTCATTCTACATGGTACTCTATGGAAAGGATTCCCAATGCTAAGGAAGAGAGCTCCAATAGAGAGAACAATATAAAAATCTGGAAGCATTATGCCATTGAAGATGTCATCATTTTTATAGAAAATGCCATGAAAGCTATCAAGCCTGAAGCAGTAAGTTCCTGCTGGATAAAAAAGGGCATCTATATGGTATGCATGACTTCACAGGATTTATGACAGAGTTGATCAAGGCAATCATGAAAGAGATTGTGGATGTGGCAAAAAAAAGGGAAGTGAGGGGTTTCAAGACAGATCTTGGAGAAATTCAAGAACTAATAGACACCACACCAGAGGAGTTAACTGAAGATGACTTGATGGAGATGACTGCTTCCAAACCAGCACCAGACAATGAGGAAAAAGACTTAGAAGAGGCCAAAAACAGAGTGACATCAGACAACCTAACTGAAAGGTTTCAATTTCAAGACTGCTTTTGACTTCTTTTATAACATGGGCCCTTCTGTCATATGGACACTGAAACTGAAGCAATTGGTGAAAGAAGAATTGGTACCATATAGAAGCATTTAGAAAAATGGAAATAAAAAGAGAGAAATTATAAAGTGTTTCTATAAAGTTATACCAAGTGTGCCTGCCCCTCCTGCCTCCTCCTCCACCTCTGGACCCCTGAGACACCAAGATCAGCCCTCCTCTGCCTCCTCCTCTTCAGCCTACTCAAGATGAGGGTGATGACATTTATGAGGAACCCCTTCCACCTAATGAATAATAAATACATTTTTCTTCCTTATGATTTTGTTTTCTCTAACTTACTTTATTATACAAATACAATTTGCAATGCATAAAACTTACAAAATGGGTGTTAATCAACTTCATTTTGTTGATAAGGCTTCTGATCAACAGTTGGTAATTAGTAGTTAAAATTTGGAGAAGTGAAAAGTTATATGCTTAATTTTGACTTTGCAGGGGGCGGAGTTTCAAGCTTCCTAATCCTATCATTGCTCAAGGGTCAACTGTATTTGTTGAAAGAAAAGTAGCCATTCATTTATTTATTCATTCAAACTGGATTTATTGAGTGTTGACTGTGTGTCAATAAATATATCTAAAAATTTCCTTATTCTTTTTATTTATGTTTGTTTCCATTTTTTCTCTTTTACAGATATTGCTGACATTAGTATTTTTGCACCAAACCAATTGGCTGTGTTACAGCAGAAATACTGAATTAAAGTGTAGGTACTTTATAAAGTATTTTGAAACTATTGTCAAATTTCCTTCCAGATATGTACAAATTATAGGACCGTGAATAGTGTAAAGATGTAGTTGTATCTTGTCTTTTTATCCTTTCCATTTTTGATTATTAGATCAAGTAGATCAACTATTTTAGCTGTTATTTTTCTAATTTTAAAATAATCTTTTTTGAGGCATTTATGTTCTTTATAATTTTTCTCTAAACAGTAAGTTAATTCTCTTGTTGATGGAAATTTTAATGGTTTCTGATTTTTCTCTAAAACTGGTTATGAATCACGTCATGTTTCAAAACATTTGACTTGTCTTCAGCAAAATGATAGCCGTTTATAGCAAACTGGAAGTTGTACAGCAAATGCTTTGGTTTCTAAAACCAGGCTTTTTGAGTTGTAGATTCTCAGAACTCAGTTTTACATTTCAAAAGCTCTGTCTGATAGTCCAGGGTTTTCATAAAGTATCACAGAGTCATTCCAGAGCAGTAGTAAGGCAAGTACATGCTGTATTATGAAAAATGAAAATTCCTTTCTGTCACTACTGTCCAGGGATGAGAGGAGAGTGGGAAAAAGGTGGGAGAGAGAAAGAAAATAGTGAGAAAATGAAAGAGAGGGAAAGAACCAGAGTGTTTGATTTTGCAAATGTTAATCTCTCTTAACCACAGGCAATGGAGGCTCCAAATTCCCTTACTCTGCAATCCAAGGCAATATGTTAAGCCTCCTGGAAATGTAGATCACATCCTGGGAGAAGGGCAAGGAAAGGAGAAGAAGAAAGTAACCATAAAACAATCCTATTATTGAAGCGAGTACATTGTTTGCCTTAAGAGTTGATTGAAGAGCAGTTGAGTTCAGTTATAGAAAATACTTCACATCGTCCCATCTGATTTGTAGAATGTAAATATTCCCCCTTTCTACACACAGTCTTCAAAGTTTCGTGAGAACAAATCTTGTCATGCGTGGACCTCATATGTTGTCACATTACAGTGAAATATGAGGAGATCTGGTAAACTTGGAGGAAGTAATTGCTATGGCTAAATTGCCGCAGATATTAGAAAAATGTAATTTGGAGTGAAACTGCTTTTGGGACTTGTTCTGCTTCTGCCAATTTCTATTTGTGTGACTTGGACACATTGTTTAACCTCTCTGCGCATGATTTTCTCGCCAGTGGAGCGTCCAGCTGTTGTGATAATTTGTATGGGGACAAGGTGCACACTTCAGGAGAGCCCATTGCTGTGTCCTCTCCAATCCGGTCCTTGGCCCTTGGTTCTTACTCGGAGGGTTTCCTGTCTGTGAGAGGCGATCTCACAGGGCTTCTCTCTCTGCTGACATTCCTTTTCTATTACAGTCTCTAGGGAAAGAAAAGCTTACCAAATACATTCTGTATATTTATGTTTCATTCTTAAACCTGTGGCTTTCTTAAATCTTGGTTTTGGTTTATTTGAGGTCTGGAAAAGGATAAAATGGAACTTGGGATACTGGTGAGAATGCAGATGGGGAGAAAAAAATTATAATTCACACAGCTATATCCTTTAATATACAACCTTGCCACCTGTGTTCTGAATGTCTATATGTTTAGAGCATTTAGTACAAACTCTGGAAAAATAAAGACCTTCAAAATAAAAGTGTATTGTTTTGGAGTTGTTATCATTGGTGGTTGAGTCCAAGTGAATTTCAGCAGGAAATGACAAGCATGTATGCATTTTGGAAAGGAAGTGAAAACTGGTGGAAAAGATAAAATCCTATGGGAAAGTAGAGGCGTGATACAATTAAAGATAAAATTAGAGTCTAACTAGTCTGATAGTTAGGAAATGCACAGAGAGTCATATACTGAAAACATGATTCCCTCAAGTTCGTGGTCAACTAGTGGGAAGTCTGGAAATAAGACTTGGTGATGAAGTGAGCCCCAGCTCCAAGTTGATGTATTAAGTTGAGTAGACCAGGTGCCTAGCCATGGAAGAAAAGTATAAAAGATGCAAGGAAGCCTCTGGAAAACTTTGTACAAATCAGATAACCTGGTGATATGTTTTGGATTTGTGTCCCCGCCCAAATCTCATGTCAAATTGTAATCCTCAGTGTTGGAGGAGGGGCATGGTGGGAGGTGATGGGATCATGGGAAAGATTTTCCCCTTGGTGTTCTCATGATATTGTCTATGGCCACGTTGATGCTACAGCTTCAGAGTTGAGTAGTTGCAACAGAGACCTTGTAGCCTGCAAAGACTAAAGTACTACCTGACACTTTATAGAGGAAAATTTCTGGTGCTTTACACTAAATCTTAATCCTTAGAGTAAAAGTTTTAAGACATCTTGTGTTTTTTCCGTATACCCAAGTAATTGGCTTCACAGTATTGGAAAAGCACAGGTGTTCATGAAAAAGTAAAATTAGTTAGTGATATGGTTTGGCTGTGTCCCCACCCAAATCTCATCTTGAATTGTAGCTCCCATAATTCTTACCTCTTGTAGGAGGGACCCTGTGGGAGATAATTCAATCATGGGGGCAGTTTCTCTCATACTGTTCTCGTGGTAGTGAATAGTTCTCACGAGATCTGGTGATTTTATAAGGGGTTTCCGCTTTCACTTGGCTGTCATTCTTTCTCTTGCCTGCCATCATGAAAGATATGCTTTTTGCCTTCTGCAATGATTGTGAGGCCTCCCCAGACAGATGAAACTGTGAGTCCATTAAACCTATTTTTATTTATAAATTACCCGGTTTTGAGCATGTCACTATCAGCAACATAAAAACAGACTAATACAGAGTTTCACCCATTAGAAGAGTCATAGAACAGGGAAAGAAATGAAAACTCCACACTGAGCCATGATTGATTAACCATCACATTCTTTTAGATATGGCATTGATCTGTTCTCTAGCAGCTTGAATCTCTGTGTATGGTATTTCTAAGTAGATTGTGTGATCCTTCAGGGAAAGTCAGATATTACTGATTGTTTTAACTTCATAGTTCTCATGACAGAGCAGATATTGTAGAAGATATGCTATTAGAATAAATTGAATAAGTGTTAAAATAGGTACATAATGAGATATTAATTTTATTTCAACATAAATGTTGAACCTTATCATTAATCTTACATAATAGTATTTGCACTGGAAGATCACAATGCTGTTTATTATGAGTTTTTGAATTGCTGTACTGCATTATATTGAATTTTAAAATATTTCAATAAAACAGAAGTACCTATTCAAATACCATGTCTCTTTTCTATACTTTATATTAAGAGGAACATTTAGCTATCACAGTAATGACATAGTAAGTTATCCTCTAAGGTGGTACTTAGCCAATTGGAAATTGTCAAAGAAGACATTCAGAATACCAAGTTAATGTTATTGAATTACAGGTATAATCAGTATATTTAAATATATTGGTTTACTTAATGAAATTAATACTATATTGTGGAGCCTCAATAAATATTAAACTATGGACTGCATTGATACTCTTGTTGGGAACTGCTGATGCAGTTAGCTGAAACAGTTGTTTTTACTCTTAGTGTATGGTCTAAGGGAAAGTTTAAACTACTTTTCTTTAAATTTTATTTTTCATTTCATATAATTCCTCTATAATAAATGCAAAAAGCATTCTAGAGTCTGAAATGATAAAAATAAGTTAAAAAAGCATATTGGACTTAAAAATAATTTCTTTGACCATAAGAGTCATTATGCTATAATAGTATTCTGTAAGTACTAGAAGTGACAGCAATGTGGAAATGGCCACATTTACTATAGAAAAGATGCTAGAATGCATTTCATATAGAAAATATATTTCCATTATAACTATACTGTATTCTTGAAAAATTCTAAGAAAGTTGGTGTTAAGCATTCTCGCCACAAAAACAATAACTCTGTGAGGTAACGCATATGTGAATTAGCTAGACTTAACCATTTCACAATGTATATATACTTCAAAACATCATTTACACAATACATATGTACAATTTTATCTCACAATTAAAAAATAAAATTAAAAAAATAAAATTTCAAGTCTTCCATTTGTTAAGAAAAGAGTTAAGCTGCTGTTCAATTATGTCAAATAAATAAATTAACCATTACATTTCAAAAATAAGAAGATATATTTCTTTTGTCTAAATCACACAATCTATGTTCAGTGAAGTATTTCTCACATTTTTACAATAATGTACCTTTCGAAAATTGCTTTAGAATGGAGTGCATGAGGAGTCATTTCTCCGAGTTGATGTCAGCTTTATTCCTGGTGGGTGATATGGCCAGCAGGGCGGCAGTACACCTAGAACTGTTTATTATATTAGAACAACCCTGCTTCATACAGTTGTTAATTGAACATCAGGGCCATTGACCATGGTTTCACAGTCCAGTCCTGAGCATTAGAGTTCTAGGAATGGTATTTAGCCAGCTAATTCAAGGAAGGATTATATTGAAGTAATCAATTAAGTTACATCTAATATAAATATACTAATTGATAAAATAAATGCTAAAGTATTTACTAACCAATGGAGATCTTAACTTTTAACATACCCAATAATGCTCATTTACATGGTGCAGCCATTTTAAAGGAGCAAAGTTACTTAGGATAAAACTACAGATCAAAATGTATTTGGAGAATTCATAATTGGAGCAAAGCATGTACAGCCACTTTATAAAGACAGACTTATCTAGTCTAGAGATATATTTTTGTTTATATAAAGGCTATAGCTCACTAGAAGTAGGATTTCGTTGAGCTGGCATACAGATTCTTACTCTTTGTTCTTTTTCCGAAACCTGTCTTCTACAATTTATACAATGTTTCCATTATTTTTGCAAAATTAATATGATTTTGATTAAAACATTTTGACATTAATTCAATTTTATCCTATCTGATGAATATATATTGATATTAATCAAAGATCTAAAAATTGTGAATGACAAATTTTAAAATTATGACTGAAAGTAACATAAAAACTGTATCCTTATATGAAACGTGTATCCAGCCATGCAGGAAATAAACATAACTGTTGATAAAATTATTCTTTTTCTCTCATCTTCTTTCCTAGTCCCTCCCTTGACTACTTCTTTCTCTCTTTATTTAATTTAAACTAAAAGGTACAGATTTAGATTTTTAAGAAAATATGTTTAAGAACCTGCCATGTGTCAAATATTGCTCCTATCTGCGATACAGAAATAAGGAAGATTCTAGCTGCCAAATAAATATAATTATTTTAGCTAGTGCAATTAAATTTTACTTAGGAGATTTCATTCAGAATTTTGAAATGACTAGCTTAATAATATTCATCATGAGACCTGATTTTTTAAATGATTTTTTAGAAGTTTGGTGATTTGCAGAGTTTTAAAAAATATATTTACTTGCTATAGGACTCTAAAACTAATGTTATCTATGATTTTGTGTTGTGTTTAATTTGTGAACAATCTTATTGCTAATATACAAATGGAAGGGAAATTAATTCCTCCTACCTGTATTAGGAAGTTGCATTTGCGTTAATATCACCAAGAGAGTATAGCCACAAAACACAAGTAAATGCCTCTTTTTTACATTAAAAATTCCTTTTAATGCCAGTTTACCATTAAGTTATATAACTTCATTCACTTGTTCTAGCAAGCAAGATTTTTCATTTGTGAAAATAGTATTTCAGATGTTGCTTATTTTCTAATCTCGATATATTAAAATGGAACAAAATGTTCTCTCCAGAGTATCCTAAATGCTCTCTTTCTCTTCTCCTGCCCCAATAGCACTTAATGCAAGAGTCCTTTTTATTCCCAGTGAATTTAATAAATTAAAATTGCATTTGAGAATTCCACATATTATTATTATTATTGTCTGCACCAGAAATATTCTTTGGCCTAACCAATCCTGGTTAGACATGTTTTTGGCTTACAGAGATGATGTCATAAGAAGGAAAGACACTTACAATAACGACAAAGATGATATGGAGGAAATTTAAGCTAATGTTATGGGATATACATTAGGAGAGACACCCACGCACCCCACCCCCCAGCCACACACACAGACACACGCACACACACACACACTCAAATAATTTAGGCCTGATTAATATAAACATATTTGTAAGAAAATTAAGATCAACCAAAAAAAAAACCACTGAATCTTAATTTTTATTGTTTTCATTGGAAATCCTTGTGCTCTACTGAGAACTCAGTGATTCAGATGGGAGAATTGCTGGAGGTAGAGCCTTTATATCATACATAGCCACCCTCCTTTGAGAGTTGAAGAGACACTTACCTGGCCTGACTGAAGGTCAGGGACACATTGTCAAGGTTATTGTGCAGTGCCATTGCTACACAGGGGAAGCTTCATCATATTCTCATTTGATTCCTATGGAATCACAGGCAACGGTGATCATTTGTTTGAAACCCATGAGCTTTGAAGCCCAACACACCTGAATATCCAACATTCCTCTTTCACTCATTAGCTAAACTACCTTTAACAAGTTACTAAAGTCACATATAACTCAATTTTCTTTATATAAAAATTATATTAGTCCCTGCTTCATGCAATTGTTAATTGAACATCTACTATAAAACTGCCTGTTAATATTATTCTTTATAATACAGTAAATCTTGACTCCAATTATGATTTTGCCTTTTGATTTTGACATTATAGATGAATTGTCTTGCCTCAAATCAAACAAATCTCATTTCTCATTTTATTTTAATGCTCCTAATTATCTATGTCTTAAATAAAACGCATTGGTTCTGTTTGGTCGTTATCTTACATGTCTTTTCAAAAGAATTTAATTGGCTCCTTTCACTTCCTTTTGTATATCACTTTTCAGTTTCCTAGTGGAGGTTTAGGCTCTGTTGCAGGCATACATGTGCATGTGTGTTTGTGAATACTTGTGTATGTACATCTGTGCATGTGTACTTGTGTGTGTTTATGTCTATTTTAGGCCTCAAACTTAGACAAATTTAAAGTTGTTAGAGGAAAATTGTACTGGGGCCAAACCTCCTTTGATCACTCTGCAAACAAGCAGTCCTACAATGTGAGCTGAATTTATCCTGTACTCACAAGTCCTGCCCCTTTTCTGCCATCCTTTCTGGCTACTCTTTGTATTTTTTGTTGACTATTCTGCAGATTTTCACCACTGAATAATGAGTTTTTCAATACTCCACTATAAGCTTTCTTTTACTTCTCAATTAATATTGTTTTCTTGAATGATTGCATTCATCCTTAAAGTTTCAATTGCTCTCAAAGTGTATCCTTAACACAAATCTCTCGAAAGATCTTCCTGCATACATGTTTAAATATTCATTTGATAGCTATATTTCTCTGACTCTTAGGCGTATCAAAAAGCCAACATTGAAATCATAATCTTTCTCCTAATCATGTCTCTGGCACAGTGCTTACATAAAATGTGTTTGTTTTGCCTAGAGTATCATAATTTTTACATAATTCCATGCTTTTATACAGCTTACTGGACTCAGCCTATGGCTGTTCAAGAAATATAGTAGCAGCATTTATAAATAATATAAAAACTGTGCTATAATAACTAATCTATGGTAAAAAAAGTAATTTATTTTAGTAACAATTAGCTATTAGTTTCTGCAGTTTGTGTAATTCATTTTTATATTTTGAACTCACTTAGTGAACCACATTGTACATTCAATATCATTCAGGCAAAGAACAGATATACCACAACAGCAAATAGGTTTTTTTTTTTTTTTTTTTTTTTTTTTTTTTGGAGATTGGGTCTTGCTCTTGTCACCCAGACAGGAGTGTAGTGGTGCGATCTCAGCTCATTGCAACCTCCACCTCCCAAGTTCAAGCAATTCTTCTGCCTCAGCCTCCTGAGTAGTTGGGATTACAGGCATTTTTAATAGAGATGGGCTTTCATCATGTTGGCCAGGCTGGTCTTGAACTCCTAACCTCAAATGACCCACCGGCCTCAGCCTCCCAAAGTGCTGGGATTACAGGCATGAGCCACTGCGTCCAGCTGCAAATGCTTTAATTGATGTCTATCTAATTAGTTACCCACTTGGACAATGTCTATATATGCAGATCAGATACAGTGTGTATTAAGCAGGGTTCTCATACAGGGATGGAACTAATAGGATATATATATATATATACACACACACACATATAAAATCATAAATTATACTATTTATATATAATTATGAATTATACTATTATATATAGTATATATAAAATATATACTATTAGGATATATGTATCCTGTTATAAATACAAATAGTATAATTATAAATTATAAATAGTATAAATATAGGTACTATTAGGACATATATATATCCTATTAGTTCTGTCTATATATATCCTATATATATATATAAAAGGATATATATATGTATATACATACTATGTTGATATATATGTTGATAGTGTTGATAGATATAGATATAGATATATATAAGGTAGTTTATTATGTATTAACTTACACAATCACAAGGTCCCACAACAGGCTGTCTGCAAGCTGAGGAGCAAGGAAGCCAGTCTGAGTCCCAAAACTGAAGAACTTGGAGTTCAATGTTTGAGGGCAGGAAACATCCAGCACGGGAGAAAGAGGTAGGATGAGAGTCTAGGCCAACGTCTCCTTTTCACGTTTTTCTGCCTGCTTTATATTCGCTGGAAGCTGATAGGTTGTGCCCACCAGATTAAGGGTGGATCTGCCTTACTCAGCCCACTGACTCAAATGTTAATCTCTTTTGGCAACACCCACACAGATGCACACAGGATTAATCCATTGTATCCTTCAATCCAATCAAGTTGACATTCAGTATTAACTATCACAAAGTGGAAAACTGATTCAATTTTATACATTAACAGAGTAAAAGTATGTGCTCTAATTACATGATTAACACACCTTTGTCTGGTGTAATCTGTAAAGAATGGGGTCCACACGAATAGGGATTTTTGACATATTGAGTATATACTTCATGTATTAGTCTGTCCTCACGCTGCTAAAAAAGACATACCCAAGATTGGGTAATTTACAAAGGAAGGAGGTTTAATTGACTCACAGTTCAGCATGGCTGGGGAGGCCTCAGGAAACTTACCAATCATGGCAAAAGGGGAAGCAAACAAGTCCTTCTTCACACAACAGCAGCAAGAAGTACGGCACGAGGAGGGGGGAAAGTCCCTTATAAAACAATCAGATCTTGTTCGAGAACTCACTCACTATCCTGAGAACAGCATGGAGGTAACTGCCCCCATGATTCAATTACCTCTCTCTGGGTCCCTCCCACAGCATGTGGGGATTATGGGAACTACAGTTCAAGATGCGATTTGGGTGGGGACAGAGCTAAACCATATCATTCCACCCCGACCCCTCCCAAATCTCATGTCCTCACATTTCAAAACACAATCATGCCTTCCAAACAGTTCCCCAAAGTTTTAACTCATTCCAGCATTAACCAAAATGTCCAAGTTAAAGTCTCATCTGAGACAAGGCAATTCTTTTCTGTCTATGAGCTGGTAAAATCAAAATCAAGTTAGTTACTTCCTAGATACAATGCAGGTACAGGCATTGGGTAAATACACCTGTTCCAAATGGGAGAAATTGGCCAAAACCAATTGGCTAATGGCCCCATGCAAGTCCAAAATCCAGTAGGGCATTCATTAAACCTTAATGTTCCAAAATGATCTCCTTTGACTCCATGTCTCACATTCAGGTGACACTGATGCAAGAGGTGGGCTCCAGTGACTTTGGACAGCTCCACTCCTGTGCCTTTGCAGGGTACAAGCCCCCGCCCAACTGCTTTCATAGGCTGGTGTGGAGTGTCTGCAGCTTTTCCAGACACACAGTGCAACCTGTCCGTGGATCTACCATTCTGGAGACTGTCGCCCTCTTCTCACAGCTCAACTAGGCAGTACACCATTGGGTACTCTGTGTGGGGTCTGTGACCCCACATTTCCCTTCTGAACTGCCCTGGCAGAGGTTCTCTGTGAGAACTCCACTACTGCACCAAACTTCTGCCTGGATATACAGGCATTTCCATAAATCCTCCAAAATCAAGTCAGAGATTCCCAGACCACAATTCTTGTCTTCTGTGGACCTGAGGCCCAACAGCACGTGAAAGCTGCCAAAGCTTGGGGCTTGCACCCTCTGAAGCCATGGCCTGAGCCATACCTTGGCCACTTTTAGTTATGATTGTATCAGCTGGGACTCAGGGCACCAAGTCCTGAGACTCACAGAGCCAGGTAGCCCTGGACCCAGCTCAGGAAACCATTTTTTCCTCCTAGGCCTCTGGGATTGTGATTGGAGGGGCTGCCATGAAGGTCTCTGACATGCCCTGGAGATATTTTCCCTATTTTCTTGGTGATTAACATTTGCCTCCTCATTATTTATACAAATGTCTGCATCCTGCTTGAATTTCTCCCCAGGAAACTGGGTTTTCTTTTTTATTGCATAGGCAGGCTGCAAATGTTTTGAACTTTTATGCCTTGCTTCCTTTTGAATACACTGCCACTTAGAAATGTCTTCCACCAGATACCCTAAATCATCTCTCTCAAGTTCAAAGTTCCATAGATCTCTAGGGTAGAGGCAAAATGCTTCCAGTCTCTTTGCATAGCAAGAGTGATCTTTACTCCTTGGAACTTTACTCCAGTTCCCAACAAGTTTCTCATCTCTATCTGAGACCACCTCAGCCTGTACTTAATTGTCCATGTCACCATCAGCATCTTGGTCAAAGCCATTCAACGAGTCTCTAGGAAGTTCCAAACTTTCCCACATCTTCCTGTCTTCTGAGCCCTCCAAGTCTCTGGGAAGTTCCAAACTTTCCCACATTTTCCTGTCTTTTTCTGAGCCCTCCAAGCGTTCTAACCTGTGCCTGTTACCCAGTTCCGAACTCACTTCCACATCTAGGGGTATCTTTATGGCAGCACCCCACTCTACTGGTACCAATTTACTATATTAGTTTGTTCTCACACTGCTGATAAAGATGCATGGGAAACTGGGTAATTTATAAAGGTTTAATTGACTCACAGTTCAGTATGGCTGCAGAGGCATCAGGAAACTTACAATCATGGCAAAAGGGAAAGCAAACACATGGCAGCAGCAAGGAGAAGTGCAGAACAAAGAGAGGGAACGGCCCCTTATAAAACCATCAGATCTTGTGAGAACTCACTCACTATCACGAGAATAACATGGAAGTAACCACCCCCATGATTCAATTATTTTTCATGGGGTCCCTCCCATGACACATGGGGATTATGGGAACTACAGTTCAAGAAGAGATTTGGGTGGGGACACAGCCAAGCCATATCACTTCACAAGTGTATTATACTGAAGTCTATACGTGGTAGATCACAGTGCTTATGCTTTGCCTAACTTTGTGGTATAATCAACTTCCACTCTGAGATTACAAAGAGTCAGAAATTTAAAAAAGTAAATGTGCTTAGTTCCACCCAGTCAAATAATTTTAATTACAAATTTACTTTTTAAATAAGGCACCCCTGGTGTATGGTCCTGATGAATTTTGGCACTAACTCATGTTCTGTTTGGCAATCCTTAACCTGTATTATGTAGAAACCTGAGTTTTGGGACTATGTATTGAGCAGCTTCCTGGATTAATTCAACCTAAATAGATCGGTTTTCCATTTCGGTCTCTAAGCTGCTAAGCCCTGCCATGGAAAATGGCAAATGTGTATTAGAGACCTTGCCGCAGAAGTATGACTTCCTGTGATGCTCAACAATACATCTCTTGCTAGACTCAGCCTCTTCTTCTCACTCAACAAGTATCTGTTCTTTGCTTTAGCATTTTCTTCCAGTGGATTTGTGATAGCAGCTAGCCATTCCCAAATCAGATTCTTTCAGAGCCTCCAAATGGTTGAGGCAGTTTCTATCTTGGCCAAAGTCACTTATCTCCTTTTTGCTTCATTTTCTTCACCTGTTAAATGGGATAAAAGTAGTATTCATATCATAGTGTTGCTTTGGATGAAGATTAAATGATTTATTTAATAATATACTGCATATAACATTATGTGGCACATGGTAAGTACTATACAGAAAGTACAACCTGTTGTTCCTCTTCTTATCACTGTCATCATCATCAGTAATAATAGTAACATTGGTATTAGGATTGATGACCCTAAACCTTAAACTGAGAACATTTACCTTACATTACTTGGAATTTGTTTCTTTGTATGACAAAGTTCAGATGTATGCTCTTATTTCTAATTGCACAATAAAATCTCCCAACATCATTACCAAAAATGGAGTTAGAGACAGCTGCAAAGATTCCATGTGCTCTAGGGAGAGAAACATGACCCCTCAAAACTTTAAAAATAGTTCAGACTCTTTGCCCAAGTCCCTGAATAACTTAGGTGTAATATAAAGATAACTGCCTTCCAAAAGCAAACACAGAATTTTACTCTCTTGGCTACAGGAAAGATACTGGGCAATTCTGAGGTCCTTTCCCAATTGACATAGGCAAAAGTCCCTTGTGAAATGTCCTAGGGCCACAGACCAGGAACATTCAGGTTACATATAATCGGTATGTTTTTATTATTATTAACAGGTTGTTGCAAAGGACAGTTAACATGTGAGATCTTTAACTTTCTGTTATAATTAAACCTAGTAAAATTTGAGGATAGAAGACCAAAGTTATCAAAGACTGAATGGGAATGTGATACCACAAATGGTAATTCTCAAAGGAAGGGATGGGGTGAACAAAGCTATATCTTACTGGATGGATAGTCCAGTTTATGTAGATTATGTAGACAGTCCAGATTATGCAGAAGATGATAGAAAATAAACAGAAGATGTATTTATCTTCTCTAACAAATACAAGCTTTAAAAGGTATCTCCCTAAGGGAGAGTCAATTGCATTTAATGGCAAAGCACCTACCTTGCAATCTGAAACTGCTTCTTGCACTGTTGCTTCTTGCACTGTTGCTTCTTCTGATGGGAATATTGTGTAAGAAAATACCTTTCCATTTTATTATTTATCATTCTGTATTTTAAGAAATGTTATAGTAGCATGTATCGATTTATAATTAAATACATTAATAATATTAATTTTAAAATAATATATTCAATAAAATATTTAAAACCTGAAATCAAGGTTTTAAAATGTTGAATGTTAGAATTTGATTAACTCTCTTACTTTCGTTTTCTTTTTACACTTCACTATCCAAAAAATGTTCTCAATTTGCACATATAACTCTCCCTCTCTCTTTGTCTTTCTATTGCTGTCTCTGTCTAGGTAGATACACACATATGCACACACACACACACGCACACACACATGATTCTTAATTATGTTAAAATGTTATCAAGAACCTGTACAGTTTGCAGAAAAGGTATTCTATGTCCTAGCTTTCATTTTTAAATACAAAGTGTCTACATACAATGTTGCCTGTATATACATATTTCTAAATAACAAATATGATAGTATGTTTTCCATACTTCCTGTCATGTTTGATCATGGAAACAATACCACTTACCTAATGAGATTCTCTAGGTTTTGATTTCACACACGTCCTGGGCCCACTCAGTACAAATGAGAGTGTGTGTGAATGAAGACAAGGCTGAGCTGCTGTCACAAACACGATTCCAAACGCAGTGCTTCAAACAAAATCTAAGGTCATTTCTTCCTAGAGTAACAATCTAGGCTGGGTGGGGGTCTATGCACGGATGTATTACAGGAAACTGGGCGAAGAGGCAGCTCCATATTCTTCAACATGTAGCTTCTGAGATGACTCCAGGCATCACTATTCACATTCCAGTGGTGAGAACATAGAGAACATAGAGTGCCATCCAAATCTAAAGGCAAAGGAGGCTGAGAAATGCCATTTCTACCTGGGCATCCAGCTGTTTATAAGGAAGGCAAGAATGAGTTTGGGGAACAGCTTTCGGTCTCCAAAACACACCATGATTAAGTCTTGCAGATGTTTTGGTTTACACGTCATGCAAATATAGCTGTGTTTATGGCAGGTCCTAGAGCATCATGCTTTGTCCGGGATGAGGGTTTAGAGAAAAGCTGAAAAATAGGCAAAATAAAAAGGGCATGATCTCAGAAATGTTGCTGTGTAAACAAAGCAAAACAACAAACAGAAACAGGGAGATGAAATATATCTTTTATCTGCTTGATAATCTTATAGCATGTATTACCTATGTTTGTAATGATTATGTAGAAGATGCTAGAAAATAAATAGAAGATGTATTTATCTCCTCTAACAAATACGGTGGTCATATTTTGAGAAAACAGTGAAAGAAGTAGGACTGGAATAACTAACATCAATATAGGCGGCATCAGTAGTTTCTCAAACGATTGTTGATGTCCATCTCAAGTTTGACGGTGGAAATAATAGCAGGTTAAGTCCACCAGGTGGTGGTAGAACTGAAGATGGTAGGAGAAAGCGGAAGTCAGGGCACGTCTGTGACCCCGCCACAGTGTTTTATGAATCAATGAATAGTGTCGGGACATTTGTTCACCTGATCAGTTTTTCAAAAGACAAAGACTGAATTTTTTTATTGCTGTTTTATTTTTGTTCCTTGGATATTATTGTCTGTTTTTTAATATATTTTTTTGGTATTATTCTCTGTCTCTTATTCTTGCAGCCTGGAAGGAGAGGGATAAGAGGTTTTGCACTCACATATTTTTGAGTATTCAAAAGGAAGAAACAGCATGAAAATTCACCATAGAAAACTGTTGGAATTCTAAGCATTAAGTCCTCTCTAGAGTGAGATAAACTTTCAAGAACTTTCCCATCAGAGATAGAAAACTCTTCATTGAGATGATGAACTAAGCGCTTCCTGCAAGAGGATAGATAAGAGGGTCTCCAAGTACAAATTCCATTTTGGAATCTAAAATTCACAGTCAGATTCCAAAAAAAATTATGAGCTAGTAGTGATCACAGGCACGGGATGAGAAGGTGACAATTTTTCAAAGCTGGTTCATTAGCGCTGTGGGAAAGGCCATTCACACACTGTGTTCTCCCGATGCTGGAGCATAGTAGCATTTCTGCTTTTAATGGACCGCATGTCTTTTCTGTGTTCCCTGAGAGAACACTTTCCTTACTGGCTCAATTAATTTTTACTTTTTGTTGTTCTGTAGCTCTATGCCTTTACCTCGGATATTAGAAAGTTTACAATTATTTCACAATTTCCATTTTCTAGTGTGTCAACATCGACATTGACATGTTCCGCGCCCCCACCCCCCAACAAACCCCTGCCCCATTCTTTGCTCTGGAAAGACAAACCCATGCTGTGGAAAGACTAACCCCTTCCCCAACACAGTCAATTATGAAGAAAGTGCTTGATGTTAAATGTCTCTAGCCCCAACTGAAACAGGCAAGAGCCATAAGCACTTCCACCTCCAGGCAGATGCTATTTGGGCCTTTGGGCTTTGTTTTGGGCCTTGAAGCACAAGGGTGTACAAGCTTTCTAAAATGTCTTAAACATCAACTTCTGATGCCATGATTTTTTTTAAGTATCAAAGGCACAGCTGCATCACATCGTTTTGCTTAAAGCATTCTGGGACGTTTCAGTTTTCAATCTGGAATTTCAAGCAAGAGGGACCTGACCATAACTCCTCAAGGAGTATGCAGTGTGACCTCTTCATTCCAACGTATTAACACGTGGAATTGATTTAAGAATTAAAATGACATGTGAACAGGAAACATTGAAATATATATAAAAAAAACAGGATTCTGCATGATTATGTTGAATGACAAGATTGATTATAAAGCCCCTGATTCTCCCTTTTGAGCCCAGGATTCTAGTTGTATATCATAGTTGTGTATCTAGTTGTGTATCATAAAGGGGAATGTCCTGTGTTTTGATATTCTCCTCATTAACTAGAACTTTAATAATAACAATAAGTTTGTTTCCCTCTCTACTAGAAGTTACAACTTACTTCAGTTCAATTCACTACCAGGAAGAGTACCTGGCACATATATGTAGCACGATCCATATTTGTTCAATGAATACACGAATTTGTGGACTCAAGGAATGGTTATGGGCGTTACAGAATGCACACAAGAATAGAGTAACTGCTGCTCTCAAATTTCTCCTGTTCTCTATGGGAAAGGCAGGTATTTGCGCAATAAGTTGGACAAGGACAAATGCCACGATCAAGTACAAATTGTTGTAAGAGAATGTAGGAACCAGTAACTAATTGTAAGTGGAGTGAAGGTGTTTCATTGAAGTCTCCTATGGAAGGTAACATTGGATTTAGACCTAACTGATGGAGGTTTCTGCAAAGATACAAAAGGGGGTAGAAAAAGTTGATGAAGAAAAGGTAGTATCAACTTTAAAAGAAATTAGTTTTGAGAAGGTAGCTGTTGAGGATATGAGAATGCTCGGGACTTTCTATTTGCTTTGTATAGATTATGGAACATAGTAAGGAACAAAGCCATAAGGTGTTGAGTATTGCAGCTTTGCTCATTCAAAGGGATGGGACTTTTCTCTCTCATAGGTAAGTTCTCACTTGTCTGTGAGACAAGCAAGCTGAAGAGGTCTGACTAGGGGATTTGCTGAACAGCTGATAGATCCTGACAGTCTGGTTAAGTGTAAGGTCCCTGAGAGAAGGTCAGTAAGGACTCAGAAGTCTGCAGTTGGACCAGATGTCCGGGTACAGCCACAGAGTTCAAAAGAGTAGTGCTGAAAGGAAGGAGAGAGGTCTTGTAGATTTCTCACTAGGTAAGCCAAGCTGAAGCCTGAGTTGCTGTACATGTGACCTGTATACATCCCTGGAGAATCATTTTATTATGCTGTTTTCTCTGCGACTTTTTCCCTAGATATGTGCATACCATGTGTCTCACCTGCTGAGTTGGACCGTCTGTTTTCTCTTCTCCCTCAGGTATTTAAAAATGTATTCCATTTCATTAGGGTTATTTAACCTGTCTTTTTCTTCCATCAAACCACACATCTTTGAGAGCATTTGCCATGCTTTATTCATCATTGCCTTAAGTCACACGAAGTTTACAAACAGAAAGCAACTAATGGATTCTTAGGAAATGTCTAAATGACAGATTGGAAGAATTCAAGCAGATCCTGGAGCCAGTCTCTAGAATGACTTTGATTTGTGAACCACACTAAGGTCAACATTTAGCTAGACCTGAGGCCATGTTTGAGGTCAATTAGGACCTAAGTGGAGGAGAGGAATGCAGGAGAATGCTGTTGGGTATTCCCTGACTGTGTCTGTGTCAAATGCTGTAAAACACACTTGTAGTATATTGAAACCAGGTTTACAATATTAATTATTGAAGCAATGCTAATACATTGTTTAAGTAAATTACAGAGAATTTTAGCCTAGCTAGCAATAGTTTAAATTTTGCAATAAGCACTTCCTAGGGTTAGTGTCAATACCAATATAATATTAATTCATATGACATTTCATAAACACTGTCATTTTTCAATGTAGCTAAACTTAAATGTTTAAATTCAGAGAAAAGTTTTTAATTCCATCTTAACTAGGTTTTACAAATAATCACTATGAATTGAAATGCTGATAACCATTGAAACACTAAAATCTAAAATAGAATAAAATATCACATAAACATTACCGAAATTGTTGATTAATTTCTTAAAATTTGTTTTCAAGTTTGTATTTTACATTAAAATTGACTATATTATAGCAAACATCTCACTTTAATTTATGCTTTTTCTATTTGAATAAAGGCATACATTAGTACTTTCCAAAAGACATATTTTTAAGAAAGAATATCTATTTTATTTGGGAAAAACTATATTTATGTGTTTTTTAAGTATAGCATCTAGAAAAGTGTAGAACCAGGATAGAAGATTAACATGGAAACTGTGCTTTGCATACATTGGGAACTTATTATTTTTTTATTGAGGTAAAATTTGTAAAACATAAAATTAACCATTTTAAAATTTAAACTCAGTGGCATCAAATATGCTAAGAATATTATGTATCAATTATCTCTATCTAGCTCCAAGGCATTTTTGTCACCCTGAAATAAAACCTCGTACCCATTAAGCGGTCACTCCCCATTTCCCTTTCCCAGCCACCGACAACCACTAGTCAGCTTTCTGTCTTACGGATTGGCCTGTTCTGGAATAATAGAATCATTCAGTGTGTATCCCTTGTGTCTGGCTTCTTTCACTTAGCATGATGCCTTCTAGGTTCCTCCAGATAGTAGCATGTATCACAACTTCATTTCTTTTTTGGCTAGACTATATTCCGTTGTATGGATATACCACTCTTTATCCATTCATCCATTGAAGGACATTTGGTTTGTTTTTACCTTTTGGCTAGTGTGAATTAGTTTGGCTACATTTATTTGTGTACAAATGTTTGTTGGAATACCTGGTTTTAATTATTTTGGGTATGCTCCTATGAGTGGAATTGCTGCATCATGTGACATTTCTATGTTTTGCTTCTCAATGAAATTGCAAAACTGCTTTCTGTAAAGGCTGTACCATCTTACATTTCACTAACCATATGGGGGTTCTTATTTCTCCACATCATCACCAGTACTTGCTCTTTTATGCTTTTTGCTGTTCTTGTTGTTTAATAAATCACCTTAGTTGGTTCAATTGTTATCTTATTATGGCTTCGATTTGCATTTCCCTAATGACTAATAATGTTGAGTATCTTTTCTTATATTTGTTGGCAATCTGTATATCCTCTTCAGAGAAAGGTCTATTCAAGGCCTTTGCCCATTTTTAACTTAGGTTGTTTAATTTTTGTTTTTGAGGTGAAAGACTTATTTATATGTATTCTAGATACTAAATTTTATCAGATAATATGATTTGAAAACATTTCATCTCATTCTGTAGGCTGTCTTTTCACTGTCTTAATAGTTTCCCTGGTTGTAAAAAAGTTTTTATTTAATTGTAATGAGTCCAATTTATCTATTTTTAAAGTGTTTTTCTTATGGTTTTGTGATTTTGTTTTGCTTTATCCGAGAGTTCATTACCAAATCCAAGGTTATACACCTTTGATTTCTTTGAAGTTGTTATATATTTTTAGCTCTTTCGTTTAGATCTGTGATCCATTTTAAGTTGATTTATGTACATACTGTCCATTGGGGTCCAACTTCATTCGCATTATTCCAGCACCAGCTGTAGAAGAGATTATTCTTTCCCCCATCAAATGGTCTTGGCACCCTTGTCAAAAATCAACTGACTGTAGCTGTATGGGTTTATTTCCAGACTCTTTGGCATTTTCTTTACAAAAACACTTGAGAAATCCCATGAACAGCCGGGAAATATTAAACAATATAATTTTAGAAATACAAATTTTTTGAATTGAAGGTAATTATACAGCACTTTATCCAAGATCAATTCATTGCCTACAATAACATCTTTGACCCATAGTCATAGAGTCTCACCACAAATACCTCTGATAAATGGCAGCCCACCCATTCATTATAAGACACCTAATTACATTAATTCACAACTCTAATTTTTAGATAGTTTTATATATGTATATAACTTCATATAAATATAAAACTATCTAAAAATCACATCTAATTCTAAATTATGTATGTATATAAAGTTATATCTACATATGTAGCATTTTAAAAATTGTGTCTAATTCCATATTAAATTACATTCTAATTAGAAAACTCAAGTCTAGGGTTAAAGTCATATCACCCTAGAAAGACAAGATAATCTATTTAGAGATATAAACACTGCCTTCAGTAAGAGAGGTAGCTACTGAAAGGCATATTCTCTCCTTTTATACTGTACGCAAATTACTGTAGATTCAGTTTCAGATCCACACAATAAAGTCAATATTGCAATAAAGTGAGTCACACTTTTGTTTCCTAGTGTATATTACAGTTATGTTAACACCATACTGTAGTCTATTAAGTATGAAACAGCATTATATCTAAAAATATGCATATTTTAATTTAAAAATAAATTATGGCTAAAAAATGCTAACAATCATCTGCTCCTTCAATGAGTCATAATCTTTTTTCTGGGGAGGGTCTTACCTGGATGTTCATGGGTGCTAAATGATCAGGGTGTTGGTTACTGAAAGTTGGGATGACTGTGGACATTCTTAAAATAAGAAAAAGATGAAGTTTTCTCCATCAATTGACTCTTTCATGAAAGATTTCTCTGTAGCATGTGATGCTGTTTGATAGCATTTTGCTTACAGTAGGACTTCTTTCAAAATTGGAAACAAGTCCTATTTCCAGCCTCGCCACTGCTTTATCAACTAAGTTTACGGAATATTCCAAATCCTTTGTTATCATTTCAATAACGTCCACAGCCTCTTCACCAGATAAGTAGATTCCATCTCAAGAAACCACTTCATATTTTTACATCCATACAAAGCAATTTCTCATTCATTAAAGCTTTATCATGAAATTGCAGCAATTCAGTAACATTTTCAGGATTCACTTCTAATTCTAGTTCTTATATTCATCCCACCTGCAGTTAATTCCCATAGTGAAGTCTCGTCAAAGTCATACAGGAGAGTTGGAATCAACTTCTTCCAAACTCCTGCTGATGATATTTTGACCTTCCTCCTTGAATTACGAATGTTCTTAATGGTTTCTAGAATGGTGAGTTATTTCCAGAGGGTTTTTTATTTGCTTTGCTCAGATCAATCAGAGGAATCATTATCTATGGCAGCTATAGCCTTATGAAATGTTTTTCTTATACAATAAGACTTGAAAGTCAAAATTACTTTTTGATCCATGAGCTGCAGAGTGAGTATTAGGTTAGCAGGCATAGAGATAACACTAATTTTCCTTTACAGCTCCATCAGATTTCTTGGTTGACTAAGTGCATTGTCATTTAGCAGATATTTTGAAAGGAATCTTTTTTTTTCTGAGCAGTAGGTCTTAACAGTGGACTTAAAATATTTATGAACCAACCTCTGATAGCTTCAAACTTTCTTTTTGGAACCTCCTCACCTCTCTCTGCTTTCATAGGATGCAAGAGAGTTAAGATCTTGATCTAGATTGCACTTTGGCTTAAGGGAATGTTGTGGCTGGTTTGATATTCTATCCAAACCACAAAAATTTGTATCAGCAATAAGACTGTTTTGCTCATCACTTAAGCGTAATCATACCGAACTTTTGTTTTAAAGTGAGTGATATTAGACTCTTCCTTTTACTTAAACACTTAGAAGCCACTGTAGGTTATTAATTGGCCTAATTTCAATATTGTTGTATCTCAGGGAATAGGGAGGTCTGGGGAGAGGGAGAAAGACTGAGGGCAATGGCTGGTTCAAAGAGTAGCCATGGAGTAGAATACATGTATCATTTATTGATTGAGTTTACTGTCTTATATGAGCATGGTTCATGGCACCAAAACAATTACAATAGGATCACTGATCACAGACCACCATAACATCAAGGACCACTGATCACAGACCACCAAAACAGGTATAATAATAAGGAAAAAGTTAGAAATATTGTGAGAATTAGTAAAATGTAACAGAGAGACATGAAATGAGCACGTGCTATTGGAAAAATGGTGCCAGTAGACTTGCTCAATGCAGGGTTACCATAAATCTCCATTTTTAAAAAGCATAATATTTGCCAAGCACGAAAAAGCAAAACAGGATAAAATGAGATATGCCTATATGTGTTGTGGCATACATTTTAAAATTCTTCTTTCTATAGCACATAAGAGTCTTTTCCTAAACACTGGTAGTATCTCTGTATGGTATTTATTAAACTCAATTTGACTAATACTAAATAAAGTATTCATTATAGTTCTAAAATCATGTAAGTTGTATTATGGTTATTTTATATACATTATTCAACTTTTACTGAGATTATGTCAATGCCAAAGCATTCATTGATTGGGTGCTAGTATTGTCATACATATTTTCTTGAATTTTATACATATATATTCTTCTGTTAGTATTACTCTTTGGTATAAATGAGTGAGTATTGTAACTTGATTTAAAAAGTCACCCTAAATGTGGAAACTGAGCTAAGAGTTTAGCACAAAAGTCATCATCGGTACAGTCATTAGAAAGTGTGCATTTCTGCCCCATGTGTGCACCTTATTTCCAATCTAAAACCAAATTTATTTTTTTTTCTTCATATCTATTTAAACTCCTTTGGTCTGCTTCTCAGTTAATTTAACTATCACCAACATACTCACCCAAGATATTATTCTCTATAGTATCATCTTGTTATTCTCACCTATTCCCTCTTCTAAATTTTTATGCTTTCAAATATGTCCTCATATGATCACCATATGGTCACCAGTGACCAAATCATTTCTTCTATACTTTTTATATTTGCTTCTTCATCTCTTTGTCTACTATTTATTGCCTCGGTTCTAATCTGTTTCTACTACTGATGGCCTATTTCAGGTCTGTATCAACTTATTCTTTGAAAAATTTTGAAATAACTGTTTATACTGAATAAATTGCCTATGAGGATGGTAGTGCAGATGAATAAATAAGAAGAGAGTTTGTAGGCAGAAGATGCAAACAGGACATATAATCTATGCTCCAGAAATGGTTGTTTTATCCTCCATTTATACTTCAAATTTCAAGAACAGCTATGAATGTGTTCTGCAATGGTTTAATATAGAAGACATAAACATTATATTTGTTAAGCAACAAGGTCATGGAAGATTTACCTAGTTTGAATTAAATCAATATTGTTTGTTATTCTTTATCCTAATCCCAAAAGACCATACAAAATCAATAAGATATTGATGTAACTAAATCTTCTTCAGTAAGATTTATGAGACACTGATATGAGAATGGAGGTTGGCTAAGCAGTAACCAGAGATATGAAATCTTCATTTGAGTTTTCAAAGCAGCATTATTTCTATGTGTTTTCTTTATTAAACTCAAACACTTGCACCAAAACTATATAGTATTATTTAGCATTATATAGTAAATCATAAATATCTGTATAAAATAAAATTTGCAGTAATTACATGTATATCATATATTTGATACTATAGGTAACATTTTGTCTTTCACACTAAGCTAAAGTTAATTTTATAGGTAAATAAAAATGCATATATGTAAGATGACTGAGTATACATAAAGCAAAAATGTGAAATTGCATTATTGGAGAATCAATAAAGACAATAAATGGACTAAGGGAGACATTTAGTTGATGAGTGTTATTAAAGTTTTACCATCATAATTTATGTTTGGTCTGTGAAAAAGTACTTCTTTGAACTATAAGGTATACATTCAATATGTGTTTTAATGAAGTTTTATATATAATACCATAACGATTTGTTTAGAATTATGTATTATTTTGTTAGCTGAATTTCGTTTTACTTTCTTTTTCAGTTTACTTTAATCATTTAATGAACATTGGAGTTGCAGAATAAAAATGGAAATTATTATTCATTTTAAGGATGTTTAAAGCAATGTTTTAGTATTATCTTTTGTTAATCAAAGTGCATTTTGTTGTTGTTATTATTGTTCCAAGACTTTACCATTTGCTTACAATTAGCAGGAACTGGCCCTATTATTTGATGTTTGTTTACGTTAGTATTTATTTATTTTGAACAAGATTAGGGAGTCCTATAATTACCATCTCATCAATCATGAGTTGACTATCCTTTGGAAACTCTTGTGGTAAACATTAGGCAGGAGCCCCAAATTTGATGCAGGTGAGTAATTATACTGTAATCGTCACTAAACACACTGCAGGCAAAAGGCTAAGTGACAAAGAAAGACATGATCGTTGCCTAACAGTCCATGTTTTTGGGTAATTTTATTAAATGCAAATTCAGTGATTTGCACACATCTCTTCCAGTAGTTATGCCATTAATTAGTTTTAAGTTTCAGCTTGAGCCAAAAAGCACTTTATATTTTAACCATAACCCTGTTGTATTGGTTATAAGAAGAATGAACACATAATTTAACTTCAAACAGGGACATTTGTGAAAGTGAAAATAGTTGATAATAGTAAATTGGTGGAACCTGTAATTCTAAACCAGGACTTTCCCAAGCTAACCAGAACATACGATCATTCTAGTTATAAGATGTACTTCAGAAAAGAAGCAAAATTGTTGATAACTCTGCTAGTCTCCTTCAGGGTTCTATTATTTTTTTATCCACATTTTTCTTTTTGTAAGATGTGTTACAAAATCTTTTTTCTAGATTTGATCTCCCTATCAGTACAGAATGTTTTAGTTATCCAAAAAAGATAAATAATCACGTGCTCCTCTGGCTCCTTTTAATTTCTAGTTTTGCAAAAACAGCTCCAACATGTTGCAAAATGATTCAAACATTTTGGACATCTTGTAAGATATCTTCTTATCTTTATTTGGCTGTAGAATGCATTACTATTTTCCTTCTTTGCAGAAAATAATAATAGATAATAAGTTATTATCCCTAGATAGAAATCAAACATGTAGAGCTTCAAGCTACTTTCATACTTCAAAGACATGATTCAAGGACGGTTTAAATTAAACCAGTCATATTCTAATTTATGTCTACTAGAAACTAACAATATATTTAGTATTATTTAAATATATAAACTATGTTCTATATTGGTTCAGGTGAAAATTTATACACTAATATTATGAATACTTATAACATCCTAGAGTATTCAGTAAGTAATTGTTGAATAAATAATTAAATAATTGAATTGGCAAGATATATTTATATAACTTAAACTCCTAAGTTTAAACATTATTTGAATCTAAAAGTAACACTAAGTTATTATTTTATTATTACCCATGAGCTAAAACATAATTTGTTGCAACACCAAAATTCTGAGATGGGTTCTTGCTGAGCTACAGATAGATGCTTGTATATTAAAAAGAAATGCTGCCTTTAAAAATGTCAGTTGTGACATTTTTACAAATAAGAATATATTACTCAGACATAATTTATATAATAACATTTATAGATTTGTAGTTATCCATTTTCATGCTGCTGATAAAGACATATCTGAGATTGGGCAATTTACAAAAGAAAGAGGTTTAATTGGACTTATAGTTCCATGTGGTTGGGGAAGCCTCACAATCATGGTGAAAGGCAAGGAGGAGCAAGTCATGTCTTACATGGATGGCAGCAGGCAAAAGAGAGAGCTTGTACAGGAAAACTCCTTTTTATTTTAATCATCAGATCTCATGAGACTTATTCACTCTCATGAGAATACCATGAGAAAGACCTGCCCCCATGATTCAATTACCTCCCACTGGGTCCCTTCCACAACATGTGGGAATTGTGAGAGATACAATTCAGGTTGAGATTTGGCTGAGGACACAGCCAAACCATATCAAGATCTTTTTTATATTTATTGTAAATATCCATATATATCTCATAATCAAGGAAAAAATATAGAAGTTTAAATTTTAATCTGCATTGAATATGATACAAAAGAGGTTTTATCAAAAGAACACAAAATTTTGTTTCTTCACAAGTGGAAATATGATGTGAAAACAATCTAAAAATTAGAAAATAAAACCATTAACAAATATTTAAATACATTTTTGGAAATGGATCTTAGAACAATGGTTAAATCAATTTAAAAATATATGTGTAAGAGATAAAACCCTATCTCTTGAGAAAAAAATCCAGATAAATGCATATATATGTATACACACATATAAATATATATTTTTCAAAGATATAATGCTTCCATAATTTTATACTTTGTAATCTATTGGTCAATAACTTTTATACGCAAAGATATTCATTGCAGCATTATTTATGTAAGGTTGTGGTCATAAACATAAATGTAAAACATTAGATACCTGGTTAAATAAGATATTATAGGTCATTATTTATTTGAATATATGTATATTTATACCATCCAAAATCAACCTATTACATTATCATCATCAATAATACTGTAGGGAATGGCATTTTTCAAATAGCTATGATGATTTCTTCTGAGAATGAGGCCTAAAACAAATATTCTTTGATAATGAAAAATCATGCTCTATGACAGTTCTGCAAGATCACAGTACTGCATTAACAGAGTGGGAATAAATCAACACAGAGGGCGACTAGAAAACAGTTCAGGCTTACTATTTATCTCAGAGTTTTATTTATTTGAAGAAATCCCTGTAGTTCTGCTTCATACATTTTGCCAGGGAAAGTTACCAAAGGGAGAATACAGATCTTTCCCCCACCCACTGTGGTTCCATTCCCTATGGTACACTCACTCCTTTGGTGATTTTACCTACTCTCTTAGCTTTACACATCACTGATATGCTGATGACTCCCACATTTATAACTTCAGCTTAGAATCACTATTAAACTATGCACTCACATAGCAATTATATGAAAATATATTTTGGATGTCTAAGTAAGGACCTAAAGCTCAAATGCCCAGAATGAATTCAACATCCTTCCCCTAATATCATATCCACCAGCAACATTGACATCCAGTGAAAGCATTTTATTCCAATTATTGAGAAGTTAAACCTTGGATTAACTCTCAGGCTAGATAATTTGTTGCGCTCAGTGTACAGTGAAAATGCAGAAATGGGCCCTTGTTCACAAATTATTAACAATTCCAAGATGGTGATAACAGAACATTGAGCCACACACTGGACCCTTCTGCACACAGGGCAGCTTGTGAAGGCACAGGTCACACACCCCAGATACAGGAAAGATTAATCCTTGGCTTTTTTGCCCCTTATATAGATTATATACAAAGCTACTTGGAGACAAACAAACAAACAATAACCAAAAAACCCACACACACAAAACAACAGTGTGATGTCTCTGTGTGAATATTGATCCAGAACTTCCCACTTACCACAGCGGTCACAGAAGACATCTGGTGCTAATCATCATCAGCTCTCATCTGGGTTAAGACTTTGGCTTCCTAAGTGGTCTTTGGGTTTTGGCCCTTTCCTGGGTGACCGTTTGGAATTAGATCTCATCACTTCACTCTGCTCAAAGTCTTCCAATATCTTTCTAGTTCTTTTGGAGAAACAGCTGAAGACCTGCACAGACCGTCCTGTCATGATCTTCTCTCTCTGCTCTCCCTTGCCTCATAACTCAAGAGACTTCATCTTCCACCACTGTCTCCTGCTCCTCCCACCATGCTGACTGCAGGCCTCTTAAATCGGCACATGGGACTCACTCCTGGCTCCTAGGATTTGGTTGGCTGCACTCTCTACTCGCCATGTTCTGCCTTAATGTCCCCATGGTCACCCTCTGTATTAGTCCATTCTCACACTGCTGTGAAGAAACACCCAAGACTGGATAATTTATAAAGAAAAGAGGTTTAATTAACTCATAGATCCACATGGCTGGGAAAGCCTCAGATATTTACAATCATGGTGGAAAGCATCTTTTCACAGGGTGACAGGAGAGAGAAAAATGAGAGCTGAGTGAAGGGGGAAGCCCCATATAAAACCATCGGATCTCATGAGAACTTATTCACTATCACAAGAATAGCATGGGGAAAACCGTCCCCATGATTCAATTACCTCCAACCAGGTCCCTCTCACCACACATGAGGTTTATAGGAACTACAGTTCAAAATGAGATTTGGGTGGGGAAACAGCCAAGCCATATCATTCTGCCCCCCACCCCCCAATATCATATCCTTACATACATTTCAAAACACAATTATGCCTTCCCAACGGTCCCACAAAGTCTTAGCTCATTTCAGCCTTATCCCAAAAATTCAAGTCCAAAGTCTCATCTGAGACAAGGTAAGTTCTTTCTGCCTGTGAGCCTGTAAAATGAAAAGAAAGTTAGTTACTTCCTAGATACAATGAAGGTACAGACATTGTGTAAATACACTCATTCCAAGTGGGAGAAATTGGCCAAAACAAAGGGGCTACAGGCCCCACGCAAGTACAAAATCCAATGAGAAAGTAATTAAATCTTAAAGCTCCGAAATAATCTCCTTTGACTCCATGTTTCACATTGAGGTCATGCTGATCCAAACAGTGAGCTCCCATGGCCTTGGGCAGCTCTGTCCCTGTGGCTTTGCAGGGTACAGCCTCTGACTTTTCTAGGCTCATAGGTGCAAGCTGTTGGTGGATCTGCCATTCTGGGGTCTGGATGATGGTGACCCTCTTTTCACAGCTCCATTAGGCAGTGCCCCAGTGTGGACTCTGTGTGGGTGCTCCGAGCCCACATTTCCCTTCTGCACTGCCCTAACAGAGTTTCCCCATGAGGGTTATACTTCTGCAGCAAATTTCTGCCTGGACATCCAGCCATTTCCATACATCCTCTGAAATCTAGGCAAGGGTTTCCAAACCTCAATTCTTGACTTCTGTGCACCTGCAGGCTCAACACCATGTGGAAGCTGCCAAGGCCATGGCATGAAGCCATGCTGCGAACTGTACCATGGCTCATTTTAGCCATAGCTAGAGGGGCTGGGATGCAGAGCACCAAGTCCCTAGGCTGCACACAACAGGGGAGCCCTGGAAACCACTTTTTACTCCTAGGCCTCTAGGCCTGTGGTGGGAGGAGCTTCTGTGAAGGTCTCTGACATGCCTTGGAGACATTTTCAATTCTTGTCTTCTGTGCACCAATAGGCCCAGCACCACATGTATTCCCCCAAGGTTTGGGGCTTGCACCCTCTGAAGCAACAGCCTGAGCTCTATGTTGGTCCTGTTTAGCCATGCCTGGAATGGCTGAAATGCAAGGCACCAACTTCCAAGGCTGCACAAAGCAGCAAGGCCCTGAGCCTGACCCATGAAACTATTTTTTCCTCCTAGGCCTCCCAGCTTGTGATGGGAGGGTCGGCTGTGAAGACCTCTGATATGCCCTGGAGACATTTTCCCCATTGTCATGGTGATTAACATTTACCTCCTTGTTACTTATGCAAATTTCTGTAGCATGCTTTAACGTCTCCCAAGAAAATGGGTTTTTCTTTTCTATTGCATCATCAGGATGCAAATTTTCCAAACTTTTATGCATTCCTCCTGAATGCTTTGCTGTTTAGAAATTTCTTCCCCATGATACCCTAAATCATCTCCCTCAAGTTCAAAGTTCCACAGATATCCAGGGCAGGGGCAAAATGCCGCTGTTCTCTTTGCTAAAGCATAACAAGGGTCATCTTTGCTCCAGTTCCCAACAAGTTCCTCACCTCCATCTGAGACCACCTCAGCTTGGACTTCATTGTCCATATCACTATTGGCACTTTGGTCAAAGCCATTCAGCAAGTTTCTAATACATTGCAAACTTTCCCACATCTTTCTGTCTTCTGAGCCCTCCAAACTGTTGCATTCTCTGTCTGTTACTAAGTTCCAAAGTTGCTTCCACATTTTCAGATATCCTTATAATAGCACTCCACCCTACCAGTACCAATTTTCTGTATTAGTCAGTTCTCATGATGCTACGAAGAAATACCCAGGACTGGGTAATTTATAAAGAAAAGAGGCTTAATTGACTCACAGTTCCACGTGGCTGGGGAGGCCTCAGGAAACTTACAATCATGGCGGAAGGCAGTACTTCACAGGGCAGCAGGAGAGGGAAGAATTAGAGCCAAGAGAAGGGAGAAGCCTCTTATAAAATCATTACATTTCATGAGAACTCAAATCACGAGAATAGCATGGGGGAACCACACCCATGATTCAATTTCTTCCTACCAGGCCTCTTCCAAGACATGTGGGGATTATGGGAACTGCAATTCAAGATGAAATTTGGGTGCGGACAAAGCCAAACCATATCATCCCCTCATCTCCAAGTTCAAAGGCAGTGTTTTACTTCCTAATGAACTCATCCCAAAACCCTTTTTAATATTTGAATCACCCTCCTCACCCTTTTTGTGGCTTTATCTCATTCTGGCTTTTCTTCTCCTGAGAACTGGCCTGTGTTTGTGGATCAGTCCTTCTGTGTCCCCTGAGCAAGGTGCCTCAGACTCAGCACTGACAGCTTTGCAAAGCTTCAATGTCAAACTGGCAGGCTGCTTCATGACCCACTACTCCACAGCCCCACCAGGTGGCCTCTGGGGCTTCTTCATGGAAATTGTGAATAAAATTATTTACTTCATCTGGCAAATATTTTGGCTATTCCAAAGTAGAGGATTTACTGTGGCTTACATAACTTGTGTCCTATTTCATGCTCTTCTGTCAAACACACAGATAAGTCACTCTTCCCAGTTGCAGTGTAGCAACCTCAGGCTGATTGTTGAAAACTGTGGAGGACGCCCCCTAATGAGATGGCCGAGATACATAATCTAAATTGCCTGGGTCTTTGAGTCTCTACACCTAAAGGCTGATGTCTTGGAGAATATCCAAATCCACAGCTGATTTTTCATGATCAAGGATGTGAGCTTGTTGTGATAAGCCACTGAGATATTTGTGTTTCTCACCTCAGCATAGCTTAGCCTTTTCTGCCTAATATAGTGATGTATACAGTGATACATAGTTAACATTTTACATGATATTCTGATCAATAATTAACATGAATGTTATGTAATTTGATTATATATAATTATATATGACATATCATAATCTGTATCTTATCTGTCTATGTATATGTCTCTGTCTGTATTTATCTACTTTAGTGTAGCTAGGTTCCTTTAGCACTTTAGTTTTAAAAAATAGAGATATAAAGATAAAAGTTGCTAAGTAAAAATAGAATTGCCATTATTGTTTCAGTGGACATTTTGAGACTTTTAAGTGACCATTTTCCACATAATTTTTAAGTTTTAATTTTAAATACAGTGAATATTAAAATAATACCATTTTTATTTAAACTCAAATATGTTCAAAAGCAGTTATAATTTTTTACATTTATTTTTGCAGACATTTAAAAAATTTTATTTCTCTATTGAAGCACCTTCTAAAATGTTTGTCTTAATATTTGTGGTATAAGAAAGCATTTTCTATTTCTCTCACTTTTCTCTCTCTGTCACTTTGTTCCTTTCTCTGTTACATATTCACTTTTTCCAAACTAAAAACAACTGAGCGTGAAAGTTTTTGTTAACATCCATTTAGGGTTTAATTGAAAAGATTGAGAAGAATGAGGGCTGTTCAGGTGGTTAGAAGAGGCAGAATAAAGTCAATTTTCTTGTGAAGTGATGGAAAAGGACAAGAGAAAAGGAGGGAGAGGGTGAGAAGGGTGAAACCCTGCAGTGCCTGTCCTTGGGTCATCCACCGAACACCAGGCAAGGGTAAGAGGAGAAGACTTCATGAAGCAGACAGCCACGATTCCATTTGTTGCAGAAGGCAGCCAGCCCTCTACAAAAATAAGACTCTCTACTTAGCAGAGCATCACGGGTTCTATTCCCAAAAAGTATCATACAGTGATGAGCATGGTGATGCCTGAGGTGTAGATTTTAGTTTTGATTTTTATTGCTTCAGTATTGTAAAATTATTTTTATTAATGAAACACCTTAGCATTAGTCCTTTTAAACTTTATTCTGGATTTTTTATAATGTAAAGCTCCAATATTTTTGTAGATGGCAATTGTATAGGCCTTTTGTGGTTCCTCTATGAATTATGGTTAATTCACAATATCTCAGAGAGGAATCAAAACACATTCATCAACATAATTATGTGTCAATAAATATAGACCTGGAGGGACTAAATAATCTACCCAAAGTCACCCAGCAGCTATCGATGTCAGAGGCTGGAGGCCACCTAAGAAGACTGATACCAGATAGTTGTTAGTTTCCCTGCTGTGTGACCCGTCCACCTCTTTATTCTTAGCTAATTTGAGAAATACTGTTGATCACACTAAATATTTTATCTGGTAAGAAGCAGCATGACATATCAAGCTCATCCTATTTCCTCTTGAAGATATTTATTTCTCTATTATCTTCCTCCCCCTTGTTCAGTCCATCAGAAAACAACCTATTTTATTTCTCTCATTTTTAATAATCTGACAACTTTTCACTTGAGTGTACTCTATGCTATTTCTCAGCCTAGGACCAGGTTTTGATCAGACTTTAATAAAGTTATATTTAGCATGAACTCAAGAGATTTTAAGTTAATGCAATGTTTCAATCAATAAGAAAAAATAATAGGGTTCTAAGTAATATGTAGCCCACATTTCCCACTCTGGGAAATTTACAATAATACTCATTCAGAAGTCCACCTTATACAAGTCTAAATCAGTTTACGGAATCAGCAAGAGTCTAGTGAGAGTCCCCAGGGTAAACATTTTGTACAGAATCTCAGGGGAGTGCAGGTGGCCCACAGGGTGACCCAACATGGAGCGGCTGTGGTCCAGATTGCATGTTTATAGATGATGTGTAGATTGTTGATTAGAATTCTCAGCATTCAGAATGGAGAAATTCAGTAATTCAACTTCATAGAAGATGAGAGGGCTGAATAAAATCATTTCACACATTTTAGATGAATTTATATAGAATATAACAGTGATAATATAAAATTCCTATACCTAATTATGCAATTGTTCAGGAAAAAGTTTTCTTTTTGCCATCTGTGACTCTTATAGTATAAATTCCAAGGAAACATATATGTAATATTATGAAAATATAAATAAGTTATAATATTATGAAAACATAAATAGGCTATATTTTATATAAAATATCTCACAAATTTTTAGTTATTGAATTTACTATTTTGTATATTTGCAGAAATATCTCCTTTTACTATGATAAAGATAAGTCTACAAGAGCATATCAATATTATATGTAAAGCCTTCTACATTTTTGTAATAAAGCCAAATGCTTTAAAGTATTGATTTTAGATAAATAGATTAATATTTAATGTATCATTAAATTTTACATAGCTAGGGATCAAAGTTTCAGTGCAGGTTATCTAAGTTAACACTAACAGAAAGTTGTAAGGATGTTCATTAAGGTGACAAAAGTTTCAAAAAATGAATAAATCTTATATTTTTATGGAGGAAAATAAAATATCTTACTTTTCAAATGCACACATTTGTAATGTAAACGATTCAATCTGGACAGTTTTTGAGCCACAGAGATACCAAGAATGTATGTCACTGTGTAGCTGCTTGTTAGTGGTTGTGGTTATAGGATAGTGATTATTTCTAATTGAAAAAGAAGGTATAGGTGTATTAGTCTGTTTTCACACTACTGATAAATATATAACCAAGACTGGGAAAAAAAAAAGAGGTTTAATTGGACTTATAGTTCCACATGGCTGAGGAGGCCTCAGAATCATGGCAGGAAGCAAAAGGCACTTCTTACCTGGTGGCAGCAAGAGAAAATGAGAAAGTAGTAAAAGCAGAAACCCCTGATAAACCCATCAGATCTCATGAGAATTATTCAGTACCGCGAGAATAGGATGGGAAAGACCAGCCCCATGATTCAATTATCTCCCCATGGATCCCTCCCACAATACGTAGGAATTCTGAGAGCTACAATTCAAGTTGAGACTTGGGTGGGGACACAGCCAAACCTATCGTTCTGCCCCTGACCCCTCCAAGTCTCATGTACTCACATTTCAAAATCAATTATGCCTTCCCAACAGTTCCCCCAAAGTCTTAACTAATTTCAGAATTAACCCAAAAGTTTATAGACCAAAGTTTCATCTGAGACAAGGCAAGTCCCTTCTACCTATGAGCCTGTAAAATCAAAAACGAGTTAGTTACTTCCTAGATACAATGGGGTTACAGGTATTCCATAAATACAGCTGTTCCAAATAAGAAATTGGCCAAAACAAAGGGGCTACAGGGCCCATGCAGGTCCAAATCCAGTGGGGCAGTCAAATTTTAAAGCTCCAAAATGATCTCCTTTTATTCCAGGTCATGCTGATGTAAGAGATGGGTTCCCAAGGTCATGTAGGTACAAGAGATGGGTTCACATGGTCGTGGGCAGCTCCTCCCCTGGGGCTTTGCAGGGTATAGCCTCCCTCCCGGCTGCTTTCACAGATGGCGTTGAGTGTCTGTGCCTTTTCCAGGTGCACAGTGCAAGCTGTCAGTGGATCTACTATTCTGGGGTGGAGGATGGTGGCCCTCTTCTCACAGTTCCACTAGGCAGTATCCCAGTAGGCACTCTGTATGGGGTCTCCGACCCTACATTTCCCTTCTGCACTGCCCTAGCAGAGATTCTCCATGAGGGCCCTCCCCTGCAGAAAACTTTTGCCAAAGGCGTGCAGGTGTTTGCATACATCTTCTGAAATCTAGGCAGAGGTTCCCAAATCTCAGTTCTTGACTTCTGTGCACCCACAGGCTCAACATGTGGAAGTTACAAAGGCTTGAGTCGTCTAACCTCTGAAGTCACCGCCTGAGCTATATGTTGGCCTCTTTCAGCCACAGCTGGAGCAGCTAGGACACAGGGCACCAAGTCCCTAGGCTGCACACAGCATAGAGACCCTGGGCCTAGCCCACTAAACCACTTTTTTCTCCTGGGCCTCCAGGCCTGTGATTGGAGGGACAGCCATGAAGGTCTCTGACATGGCCTGGAGACATTTTCCCCACGGTCTTAGGGAATAACATTAGGCTTCTTGCTATTTATGCAGATTTCTAAAGCTGGGCTACAAATTTTCAAAACTTTAATGCTCTACTTCTCTTATAAAACTGAATGTCTTTGACAGTACCCAAATCACCTCTTGAATGCTTTGTAGCTTAGAAATTTCTTCCACCAGCTAACCTAAATAAACTGTCTCAAGTTCAAAGTTCTACAATCTCTATCACAATCATAAAATGCCACCAGTCTCTTTGCTAAAACGGCAAGAGTCACCTTTGCTCCAGTTTCCAACAAGTTCTACATCTCCATCTGAGACCACCTTAGCCTGGACCTTATTGTCCATATCACTATTAGCATTTTGGACAAAGCCATTCAGCAAGTCTTTAGAAGTTCCAAACTTTCCCACATCTTGCTGTCTTCTTCTGAGCCCTTCAAACTGTTCCAATCCCTGCATGTTACCCAGTTCCAAAGTTGCTTCCACATTTTCAGGTTTCTTTTCAGCAACGCCACACTCTACTGGTACCAATTTACTGTATTTGTCCATTTTCACACTGCTGATACGGACATATCCAAGACTGGGAAGAAAAAGAGGTTTAATTGGACTTACAGTTTCACATGGCTTGGGGAGGCCTCAGAATCATGGCAGGAGGTGAAAGGCACTTCTTAAATGGCAGCAGCAAGAAAAAAATGAAAACATGAAAGAAATGAGAAGATCCAAAGATAAATTTCAAAGATCACAAAAGTGTAAACCCCTGGTAAACCCATCAGATCTCGTGAGACTTTTTCACTATCATGAGAATAGGATAGGAAAGACCAGCCCCTTGATACAATTACCCACCCCTGGGTCCCTCCCACAACATGTGGGAATTCTGAGAGCTACAATTCCAGTTGAGCTTCAGGTGGGGACACAGCAAAACCATGCCAATAGGTTTTAGTGTTTACCTCCTACTGCTATTCTGCAGTTCCTACTTCCCTCCCCAGAAATGTGAAGGTCGAGGAGCAGTTGGTAATTATTTTATTATTTTACTTACACATGACTTTTCACTCAAGACAGCAAGACAAATAACATTTTTTACTATGTCAATGAGAAACAACGATGTGTTTGCTGAGGGCAGTCTGCCTCCAAGTCTCTTGCAAGGTGAACTGGGACAGGCAGCGTCTTGATCGAGCGCTGAGATTTAATTCAGGGCATCTGTTGACATTACGAACAACAAAAACACATTAAGAGTAGTGTATGGGCCAGAGGTAGTCATTGGGTTTGAATTACAACAACATCACTCTTATATTATAGAACGTGGTTTGTCAGTTTCAACACAGCTGAGTTGATTGTTACATGAAACCTTATCAATATGCTTTGAGAGTGTAAAACCATTCACCCTACAGAGTAGGAGATATTTATAGCACATGAAAGGCAATGGCAGGAAGGAAATGAGATGGAATGCATGTCTATACGATGGAGAGCCACTTTAACTATTTTTCTTAGTACAGCATAAGTTATCTTTAACCACACTGAAATCATGGCATTGTGGTGCATATAATGGGAGAAAAGACAATCGTGGGCTAAATTAACAACGATTGAGTTTGGCTACCACGAATGAGCGGGCATAGAATCAAGATCCTTGAAAAGCCGCTTTGAAAACTGCACCACACATCTTGTTGTTATCAACAAGATATTGATATGAATGAAGTGGACAAAAGACTTGGATTGCTGCAAGATTCAGTTCTCCCCATGCCTCGCTCCTGCCCTGCTCCATCTGTTAGAAGCAGGGATGTTCATTTGCTCACACGAATATTTCATCTCCTGAAAAAACACATGCCTCCGATGCATTTAGAAAAGATAGGAAGAGATGTGGCCCAAATAACTTTAGCTCATGCATAGTTAATACTAACACTCGATATCAAATGGGCTAAAGGTCATTTTTGTGTATCAGGATCACATCCACCAACAGTGAGAGAAACTCTGACTTGCAGTAGGTTAAACTACATGTGATTATTTTCATGCCTAGGCCTGAATGAAGCAGTCCAAGGAAGGTTTAGCTGATGAGGGATGGCATCCAGAAGCCAGAGTGCTGCCCTCTTCCTGTTCTTTGTGCTTCCTGACAAAATTCCAGGGTCATCTCTGAGTTGCTGACAGAGAGGGTTTGGATGGCTTGGAAGTCCTGCCCTCCACTGAACTTTCTATTTGGAAAGGGACACTCCTCCCAGAAAACTTCCATTAATAAATTCTTGGACAAAATGTTATCAAATGGCCCTCCCTGCCTAGAGAGTGGCTAGAAGTACCGTATATTTAGCTTTCTAGATTTTAAGTAGGGAAAGGTAAGAAATAATGCATTTGAGAACAGATACTGTGTAAGGGAAATTGCAGTATTTGCCACTCTGAATATGATTTTAAAGCCTAGACAAAATTAATAACTTCTTGAAAACTATTTTGGGATGCTATCCATTAATTCAGAATATAAGCCAAAGTGTAAAAAAATTTAACTATGAGATAAATAAATTCTGGAGAACAAATATACAGCATGATGACTATAGTTAAAATAATGTATTGTATACTTGAAATTTGTTAAGAGAGCAGATCTGTGTTCTTACCACACACAAGAACATGGTAGCTATGTGAGATGATGGATATGTTAATTAGTTTGATTATAATAATCACTTCACAATGTATACACACATCAAAAATATGTTGTACACCATAAATATATGCAATTATATGCATATATTTTTTTCAGAAGATATTATGGTAAAAATATACCAACGTATGTTAAAATCCTTGGTTTCAAAGTTATTTTTTGGATCTTTTGAAAGCAATACTTTTTTCACAACCGTCTTTCTATGTGACCTCTTTCCCAATAGAAGAGGTTATTTATATAGTTGGTCCATATAAATTAGAAAAAATGTTTGACATTGAAATAATAAATGAAAAAAATAATGGTGGATTTGGACTTGGAAAGCAAAAGTTGTAGTGCAGAGTAGCACAGAAATGATAAGAATAAAGAGTAACAATTTATATTCTTAAATGTGATTAGTTATAAAATGTAGCTGTTACCCAAACCCAAACTGATTAAAAGTCTTTAGGTTTTAGAACAAATATGCATTAAGAGTCTATTCAGCCAAGTAAATGCATAAATGTGATGTATCCATCATATACATTATATAGGTAATATAAAGAGAATTCATATCCATCTAGGTATCTAGGTATCTATCTGTCTGTAAATCTGTAATAGTGGTTCCATAAAAATGTTTCAATATGTTTGTTGTAAATTGCATTATTTATTAACACTAAGAGAATAAATAGAGCCTCACAGGTTTGCCATGACTGGCAAGATGGTCAGGTCCCTGCTCAGTGCTCTTTTTTCCCTTCAGTTGTTTATAGAGCTCACATAGAGATTAGAGACAGATGTTCCATCCAACTGTGATCTACAGAGGTTATCATTGCTTTTGGACTCTCTATGATCACAAGCTCAGATAAGGCAGACATACATGGGCAGTGCCAAGTCTTGGTCTGATGACCCAGCTCTTCTTAACAGAGTATAAGTCATGAACAATACATCAATATTCATCCATTTTATTAAAAAAAGATGTTTAGACTAAGATATTCGTCTGTTGGCTTGAAGGTATGTCATAGCTGGAATGCCCGCATCACCAGCTTAGAGTTACGGAGTAAAGTTCTGTTTCCTGATTATTCAATTTGATGCTATTTTCAGTTTTTTATGCCAAGATGGTACATTATTTCCTGGGCCTGTTAATGGATGTCTTTTTTAGGCATGTCCAAAGTCATCTAGAATTGCTTACAGATTCAAAAGATTAAAGCACACTATTAATATCAGATAATTTGTTAATCCAACACAAAGATTAATTTGTTAATCTTTTCTCCACTAAAGTAGAAAGCCATCCCTTAAGCCCAGGCAGTCTGGACAATTCCTGCTCTCTACTGATATTGCTAAACAGAGCATTACCTAAGGCTATTAAATGAAGGCATTTTCTACCATTGTGCATTCATCATGGACCCCCAAAACTTCCTGCTCTAACATTTGACTCCAAGCAGGAACATAGCCCTTTTCATTATCTACTCCAAAGCTTGACTGAGATATATTTTAGCACCGAAAAAAGAAAATACCTTTAATATCTGTCTATTCCATCCAAAAGCCTCAGTGAAAAACGCATGAGTCTAGGATAAATTTCTCTTTTTGAAATCATTTACCTTTCTTCAAAAACAAAACCAAGGCTGGGTGTGGTGGCTCACATCTGCAATCTCAGCAATTTGGAAGGCTGAGGACTCAAGGAGGATCCTTTGAGCCCAGGAATTTGAGACCAGCCTGGGCAACCTTGTGAGACCCCGTCTCTACAAAGAATACAAAAATAAAAAAACAAGCTGGGTGTGGTAGCCTGCGTGCTACTTGAGAGGCTGAGGTGGGAGTATTGCTTGAGCCCAGGAGATTGACACTGCAGTGAGCCATGTCAGAGCCACTGAACTCCAGCCTGGGCAACAAAGCCAGACCCTGCATCAAACAAACAAAACAAAAACAGAAACAAGTTAAATGCATATCACTTTCTATTACTAAACAGAACACTTAATATTTTTGTATGACTACCTCTTACTATATTCTTCAAAAACAGTGTGTACCTGCCTTATACTTAGATAAGAGCATGTCCTAATACATCCACACGCACACAGAGAGAGGCATACACAAATATAATTTACACTTCACTGATAAAAATTTTACTGTGAAAAAGAAGTACTGTATATGACCATTCACTGTGAAATACCCAAACATGGCTCTGTATACCAGCTGTTCTGCCCTCAGCACTGTGACCTCCCCTGTGAGTACTGTTCATTGCAGCCCCCTGCCATGCTGTGAACAGGCCAGACACACCCCAGTTAACGCCTTTGTAGGCCCCATCTCTGACTAGAACCTACTCCCCGAGATTCCTGTGTGGCTCCACTCCTCAGCTCCATGGCTTTGCTCATTGCCCCTATCTCCATAGACCACCTGGTGACCTTATTTAATACTGCAGCTCATGCCCTCTCATTGCACTCCTGAGGCCACCATCTTGACCTCCTCTAACTTTCCATAGCACTTATCATCTTATCAATGGATATATAATTGATTGATTTGGCTTATTATTTCTCATTTGCCTTTCATCTCACCTGAACATAAGCTGTTCTCTTTGTTTGTCCTCTGATGTAGCCACAGTGCCCTAAATAGTGACTGGACTATCATTAAGTCTTTATCAAATATTCGTAATGAATGAATGAATGAATGAAAAAAATTCCTCACAGTCCATTTTCACTGTTGCCTATTTCAGAAGTTTTCATCAAGATCATTCATTAGGAAATCAAGAAGCCTTGTATATTATAGATGTACATACTGAAAGAGCAACAGGGAGAGAGAGAAAAAGGTCATTTATGGACCAATGATGACAAAGGATTGTGCTTTATCTACTCTGTGTATTTAGGGTATAATAAAGGAAATAAAGATTATTAAAAAAAAAAAGCGAAAAACAAGAAGCCCATCATTGCATTGCATGTGTTTTAATCTGCTGATTCTGTGCCTGACGGTGATGAGGTTTATCTGATGTAAGTGATTCAGTGTAGGTCAGGTCCTAGAACGATTTGCCTGGTATTAGACCTATCCAAGGAAGGTTACTGGGCTCACCAACTTTCAAACTAGCCATGGAACAATGTGATAAAGCCAACCTATTCACCTTCCAAGCAATGCTCAGATCAACGAGCAGGCAGCAGTGGCCAGTGCAACGAAGGGACTCTCAGAGCAACTGGAACAAGTGAGTGGGATAGAGCATTTTTCAGGGAGCGCCATTCGCAGGGAATTCAACATTGTGCGGGACGCATCCTGCTCAACCACACCCACCTCCACCTCGGAGCCACACTTTGCCGCTTTCCAACCTTTGGGTCCTTGGGCAATAGTTACATCTTCTAAGCCTCAAATATCTTTCCTATAAAATGTATCACTCTTTTATAAGTCACTTTGAACATACTGTCAGCCTGGAACAAGTAAAATACTCAATGTAAATGCTAAGCATACTGATAATGTTTTTGCAACAGAAATGAAAGTAAGATTGTTACTTTTAAGAAAGCAATTCTGTACAGAAGTTGGAAAACGACTATTTTTCAGATAGAAAAAGGCCAAAGTTAGCTTTCATAATGTACTTCAGCATCTAAAATGGAATTCTTAAGTCAAAATGGGGGCTTAATTATTTCAGCACTCAGAATAATGCATTTCCTGGCCTGTCTGCAGTGTTGTTTTGTTTTAGAATCTAAAGTAATTTAGGAAACTATTATGCCGTTGTGAAATCATTTATTTTTCTTTTATCATCGTCAGATTAGGTTGAGTTGCTCTTTGTGAAGAAGACTGATTTATCATCATTAAATCCATCCAGTTGTTCACAGGTCGCAGATCATGTGAGGAGAGTGGAGGTGGAAGTGACTCTTTTATAAAAGGCACACTTTGGAGTCCTGTAGGTAAATGTCACAGTGACAGAGATGTTAGTTTGGCAAGACTGCAAGTCCTGTAACTGTGTGCACCTGTGCCAATTACAGTTCTCATATAGGAGACAAGAGAAAACACAAGGAGGCGTTGCAGTTGAATTTACAGCAGAAGAGGAAACGGCTTCTTATTGTATTGCACTTATGGTAAACAAATTCTCCTCATACATGACCTGACCTATATTGTGCTCTTATAAGATATAAGATAAAACGATCACAGAAATCATTCGAGGAAGGTAAACCAAATTTTAAAAATTCATACTGAATTAATTTTAGCTGTATACTTTTAAAGTTTTATTGTACAAATTATTTCAAACACATGGAAAAGCAGAAAGAATATTGTAACAGATGCCTATACAGTTTTAACTCAGATAAAAATAAAGGTAAAACTGTGTGGCAATTACCTCAGCTTTTTAAATGCAATTAAATCTTTGTAAGTTCATTTTTTTTCTACTTCCTTCCCTTCTTTTTTAGAGGTAGCTTCTATTCTTAAGTTGATTTTTATCTTTGTCTTTATTGGTTGTTGATATCTAGAAAAATGTGTAGTATTTTTACCTTTTTAAATATAAATGCTGTTGTAATATCAGTATCTTCTTGCAGCTTGCTTCTGTAATAAATCTTGTTTTCAAAATTTATTTGTTTGGGTACATAAAGATCAAGTTCACTCATTTTAGCTGCTTTTCTTTGTTACAATTTTTGGCAAATCATTTATTCACTCTCCTAATTTCCACGTTGGCATTAATGCAAATTATACCCTAAGAATAACACTTAGATACACTTCTCTTTCTGCATATGTAGGATTACTTTTATGGCATGTAATTCTAAAAGTGGAATTGTTGAATCTGCAACTTTTCCAAATATTGCCAAATTTCTCTCCAAAATGGCTTCAGCAAATTATACTTGCACTAGCAACATATGAATTTCCATATCTCTGCAACTCCATCCAGTCTTGAAATTATCACACTTAATATTCTACCTATTAGCTGGTGTCTCAATGTTGTTTTAATTCACACTTCTCTGATCATAAGTGAGGTTGGCATCATATTTTACATCTGTATTTCTTAGCCCCATACTTTGTGGAAAAATACAATTGTGTGTATATCTTGCATACAAAGGTATTGAGAGCTTTAAAACTCCAATGTGTATTACCTTGATTAGGAAGTCATCTTACATGTGGATAACCATATGTATACATTGCAATATACTTGGAAATAAAATATATTTCATAGTGCTAAGCAAGTCAAAGTGCCCATTATATTACCACACTAAATATTATTTAGATAGGTTAATGTATTTTTATCCTTATATGCATTGCTATGTTGAGGCTATATTATTTTTATTTTTCATTTATGTATTATAGGCATTATAATGTTATTTATGGTTCTTAAGCACTATATAATGGGTATGTAAGATTCCATTAAGACGATATGAGGTAATTCTCAACCATTCATCTATTGTTGAAAGAGGGTGAATCCAGGTTTGATATTAAGGGCTTTTTTTGACAGGTAAAATTATGATTATTTTTACCTTACATTTTTTAAAGGGAGAAACAAAACAAAAAAGAACAGAAAAGAAATACAGAGGGTAATTTTTATTTCAAAATTAAGTTTTGGCTACTTATTTTACCACGTGGGGGTGTGTGTGTGTGTGTGTGTGTGTTGCAGGGCGGGGTTAGTCTGTATTTTTCATAATTCCTAAATAATAAGAATCAGCAGCAATGTTTTTGGTTTTTCTCTGCTTAGTTATTACTAATAATAAAAACGCTAGCCTGGTTGATTGCCCTGTTTCATAAAATGGAAGCATTAAATGTATGCTTTTATTTTCATCATTGAGGCCAAGGTAGAAAAATAGATAATAGTAACATGTGATACATATTAATCCCCATAATTTACATTAGTTCAAATTTGAGGAACTATGAAGTCTCAAAGTCTTTATTGCTTAGACTAAGGTCCTCCACATAAGGAGAGGAGAGAAAACAGCCGAAGAGAAGAAGCAAGGTTACATCAAGTCTTACTAAATGATGGCTACCAGTTTTTCCTTTCTCTGTAAGGATAAGTAAGAGAAGTCAGAGAGTCTCAGAGTGGTTGTGAAATTCTATTCTGCTTGGAGAATGGCGTGAACCTGGGAGGCGGAGCTTGCAGTGAGCCGAGATCGCGCCACTGCACTCCAGCCTGGGCGACAGAGCAAGACTCTGTCTCAAAAAAAAAAAAAAAAAAAAAAAGGAAAAAAGGAAATTCTATTCTGCTTACATGGGGCTGCATTAACTAACCTCTCACTGCTGCACTGTGGCGACTCTCAATTATTGACAATGTCATTTCTGTCTGAAGATCCTTTTGTCATTTCAGGCACCTCTGTAGTCAGTGTGTTGGTTGAGAACTGGGCTTCTTTCCAGAACAAAATGAACATTAGGCATTTTATCTTTTTTTTTTTTTTTCGTGGCGACTTTTAATGGCATGTAAAGGGCATATTACCAGTACAAATAAAAATATCTGGCCTATAGCTTTGCTTATAAAATGTATGTTCCATTTTTAGCATAGAAAGAAACATTATAAAATATCTTGTCTTCTCTAAAGATATTTCTGTTTTTGCTTATGATTGAGACACTAAAGGTATCCTTTTTGGTGGGATCCATAACGTGGAGAAATCTGTCTGATTATGATTTGGATTAGAATGTTTGAAGTCTTATCTAGACTGTACTACTTGGTCATCATTTTTCTTGATAGTTTTTATTTTTTAATTTATGAACAATGCAAAAGAATGGATGTAATAGTTTACATACACATAAAGAAAGATGGAACACTCACGGTTTAAGATCAAGCCCACTAACAAAGGGCATCAAATTGTGGGGCCTGAGGGAACTACAGATAAATAGTCTAGGCCCAGGGCCCCACCAGACTGAAAAGAATGGGTTTTTTCTGCAGTTTAAGTCCAAGGTGATGAACTCCAGTGGTACCTTTTGCCTGTAGAGAGATGTCCTCTTGAGACAACCAGCCCAAACGCAGCTGATTGCTAGTTCTAACTGAGAGACAAATAAATGTTTTCATAGCAAGTGATTCTGCCTACAAACTGAAAATAGTCTTCAGCATTTGGTCCTCCAAGAGGGAATGCTGGTCTCTTTAAACAATTCTACTTGTCAATTCTGCCCCTACAACCACGTTGAAAACTATTCTGCAAGCTCAATATAGCTCTGGCAAGAGAGCCCTATAAAAAGCCTTTTATCTCCTTAAAACAAGGAGAAACAACTGTTTTACGTACTCATATTCTACGTCCCCTTGCATCTTGATTTTAGATTGCATCCATTATCACTTCCAGTGTTTACACAGGTGAGGGCTGCCAATGTTACTAAGAGATTATCTCTTCATATTTTATAAACTTAAGTAAGAAGTGCTTACAAACAATACATGGCTGAGGTTTGAGAGCAATAGTCACACTACACAATGTTCACTTATTTTTTATGCCCTTCACACCCAAGGAAGCAGCAAACAATGTTATTATAAATTGCTTTTGCATGGGTCAATAATGTATTTGACTCTGCATTGGGCTGCTAAATCCTCTCTTCTTATGAGTATCTTAAAGTGCTTTAAGTTTGGTTTGGACATTTTCTATTTGTATTTTGTTCCCAGGTTCTGAAATACCATTTTTCAATCTGTGGGTCCTGTCCTTTGCGGGGTGGTGATATGAATTTGATAGGTAGTGATTAGCTTTCCTTCAAAGTGAGAAACCAGGACAAAAAAAAAAAAAACAACAACTGGAGTGCCTACCACATGGGAAAATCAATATTATTTCAAGAAACTTTTGTTTAACGGATGTATATAGATTTCTGTACTGATGTCCTAGGTCTTGTTGCAAAATGTATATTTGTTATGAATAAGAAGAAGAAAAAGTTTGTAATCCACTGCTCTAGGGCATTTTATCTTCTATATTTAAATAAATAACTTTTATTCACATAAACACATTTATTTTTAGCTGAACTCTAATAACATGGTACATTTTGTTTGACAGCTTGATATTCCTTTGTGTTCTCCCCATGGATATTTTTCACAATTCAAAAAAAATTCAATAGCAATTACTCAACATCAAAATGTCATTATCACTGCTCATCCTTCTAATTTTGTTTGAAGAGTCCTCTCTTTCATAGTATTTGCATTCCATTGGCTCTTTCTTCCATTTCCCTGCATTTCCTTTTCTAAGTGTCATTTCTGCCTACCGTTTAAGAATGGGTCAACTTTGGAATGAAGGGAGTTTATTTAGGATTCATTCTAATTGACAATAAGTAGCCTGGGGATTTAGCTGCCACAGCTGTCCCTTATTAGATCATAGTTCAGGTCATCAAATTAAAATAAGCTGTCCTAAATTCTGCACTGTACAAGGGAAGAAAGAGAAAGCATTAAGCCCTCTGCAAAAGCCCTTTAGAGTGAATTATGTTGATGGTTTGTGTAGAGAATGGGCCAGATGACAGCTAAGTTAGAGCAGCCTGTCACTGCAGCTAATACTCACGTGTCATGTGTTACACTGGGGCACCACTGAGGCTTGCAGTTGACTGGCTGTCAGCTTTGGTTCAGAAGGTCAAGGTGCACAGGGTGAAGCCCTCTCCATGCTTTCAGAATGCTGCTCTGAGCCTTCAGTTCCCAAAGTCTAGGATTTGTAAATTATGGAATGTTATGGGTCTGTGTGTAGAGTTTTAAATCACTGTCTGGTTTGGAAGCTGTTTTATTTTTACCCACATTTTTATAGATGACTTACCTGGGAGAAAGATACACCTAAAAATAATTGATATTGAGAAATGCTGCTGGGCAATGGCATATAAGGTTGCATGCTAACGGGGAACACCAATTTCTTGCTGCCATGTTCCCTAATAATTTTACATTTGTTTATAAAAATATAAAAGCACTGCAGATTGACACTATTGGTATAGGCATTTTACATCAACTAAATATGCTCCCCTTCTTCTGTTTCCAATCCCAACTGAAAACTAAAGGCGTGAACAAGATCTTAAAGAAATAGACTATGGTGGGATGAGGCAGTGGGGGAGGCAAGCCTAAAAGCGTGCTATATATTTTTTTTCTTTAGTCTGACAAAAAATAAATGATAACAGATAAAAGAAGATCATTGAGATTTACTCAAGCAACTCTTAAAGTTCATCAAAACAGTTCTCTCCAGCACATTTACCACTGCCTCTGATGCGCTGGGTGCAGGTTAGAATACTCAGATGATCTGGAACCAATTGAAGTTATGCACTGAGAAAGGCTGAGTGTTCTCCTGACCATTCCCCAACTTTCTCATGAAATGTAGCACATTAGAAAATATCCTTCTCTTTTGGAAGACCTAACTATAGCCTAATACAATAAATGAGATAGAATATCATCACCTCATAACCTGAAAATGGCTTATAATGCAAAAGCTTATCATGCAAAACTAATCTTTCTTTGCTCAATAAGAGATTGGCCATTATTAATGAAGAACTATAGGGCCATGTGAAATATCAACATTTCCATTGGTATGAACCTTCCATTTTCTCAGATATTTAGAAAATCACAGATAAAACTATCATTTTCCAGCATAGAAGGTGAAAAGAAAATAATCTTTGTAGACTACATACTATGTATGGCCATTTTGATTACTAAATGAAAATGCGCTCTTTCGTTTGACTCAGAAAAATAATCGTACTTAGTAAATTTCAAATGTTTTAATACAGTGCTCAAAGTTACACTCTTGAAAAACGTGGACATAAGAATCTTTTTTTTCTCTGTTTACTCAATACAACAGTGGTCATGAGATACATGTGTATAAATTAAGTTTATTGAGCTTTACCAAGTTTTAAATCCAGTTTCTGAAATATTTGTAAGGCTAATTGTCTTCTATCCTTAAATATTTCTTTCCATACAAAATCCACTTAATGTAAGAGAACAACAACAGGGAAAAAACATTTCCAGTTTGGCAAAAGATGCTTCTAGAGATATTAAAATACATCTTTATCTCCTTACCTGGTAACTTAAGCACATTATCCCTTTAGTAATCTTTACTTGAAATGTAGATTTAGACAGATATGTTGCTTAGAGATCACAAAAAATAAAGGCATAGCATCAACGTGAAATATAAATAGTAGCAACAGACACGTTCTATGGGCCATAATTATCAATTATTTTTACTTAACATAAAAGATAAAATTAACACTAAAGGAATCAGTTTTACAAAACAGTTATTTTTGAGTAAATTACATCTATGCCTATTGGATCAACTCATGAGAACAAATCAAAAATGTAATTTCATACTGAATCATTCCTATTATTTTCTAAGACCACCAAATATAATGCAAAATCAAAGCATATCAATTATTAATCGACCATGTTTTAAGGTGATTTATATCCATTGGATTTGAGTTCAGGAATGTAACTTGATTATCAATTTGCTTTAAGCTTTATGAAATTCTGAAGAGAATTTCCATTTGTATAATAGAGACAAGGCATGGATTGGCATATTACAAACAATAAAGCCATGAGCATGGTGCTGTATCAAAGAATTTCAGGAAGTATAATTGACATAATTATATTTGAACCAATTTGACTGAATTTATTATAGCCTTCATATTTCCTGAAATGTTACACTTAATCTTTCAAATAATTGTTACACACACAATATTTTTAGTCTCTATTTCACAAGCACTGATTCCCCCGCCCTCAAAAATATAAAAGACCTTCTCTTTACCCTTACTTTTAATCAAGGAAGTGGGTGGGGTGGGCTGGCCTGAGTTTGAACTCTAAATAATCCCCTTCCTCCACATTTCCATGAGGTGCCACTAACATGTGGTAGACGTAGACTTCAGCTTTATCTCCACTTGTGAAAATACTTGCTAGTCTGCAGCAAAGTACCGCTAAAAGTACAGAGCAAGGCATATTAATCTAAGGATCTAAAAAGCTTCTGTCTCAGAAAGTGGCTACTGACTTTTTATCTGATACAAAACTGTCATCCATTTAAAGGGCACCTGATCGTAGAGAAAAGCTATTGTAAGAATTTTAAAGAGTGAGAACAAATGCTTCATTATTTACATAGTGAAAAGTCCATGCCCCTTTAATTCACAAACCTAAGATGACCAAACAGCAGACCCCAAACAATTTCAAGGTCTATACTTGTCACTTTTATTCTATTGTATTTTCATATAATCAATAACCATTCCTCATAATCCTGGTGTATTTTAAATTACTGAAATGTTTGCAGTAGCAGGGGTTATTTTTAATTGCTGTGATTATAAATGTGTCTCCCCTCTACCACTTTTTATCATAAGCAGGGAGTAGAGAACTTAGTCTCACCGGAATGTAATGGTAAGACATTTGGGTGCTGATCCCATGTGTGGGCACAGAGCTACCTCTGCAATATTATTTCTAAGATTTTTTTATACTTTAAGTCTCAGTGGTGAAATTATTTTCTCCCGAAAAGCCTGAGTGCAAAAAAACAGAATAAAATTGTTATAAAAATCATATAGTTCAGCAGCAGTTATGATATCTTGATTTGAGGCTGATAGTTCCACCAAGTGTTTTGTAATAATGAATTAAATTTATATCTACTCAGAAAAGTATTGGCATCCAATTTTACATGTCAAAATAAAAGAATAGCAACCATCAATGTCTATAGTTTCATCTGAAGGGGAAAAACAATAATAATGCTTAATAATAGATTTTATTTACTACTCACTTCAGAAGTATGCATTTTAGATAGTTTATTTCATTTAGTTTGTGCAAAGACCTTAAGACATGGATAGTCTCACACTAATTTTAAAATTGAAAAAACTGATCCTTAAAATGTTTTAACTTTAATTAAATTAATTGCCCAATTCAAAGAGATAAGAAGTGTCAGAAACGGATCTGGAATGGAGATTGGTCTAAATAAAAAGCTCATGTTAATTATGATGCAATGACCCTCTAGAATATTAGCTCAATTTCAGATTGAAACATAGATAATGCTGCAGTATTTAATATTTAATGAAGTACTTTGGCTATAAAGAATCAGACATGTTTGAATAATCATATGGGGAAAGTACTGTTCTTTTTTTCAAATAATAATTTAGTTGATGATATGGTTTGGCTATGTCTCCACCCAAATCACATCTTGAATTGTAGTTCTTATAATCCCCACCCGTCTTGGGTGGCACCTGATGGGAGGTAATTAAATCACGGGGGCGGTTACCCCCATGCTGCAGTTCTCATGATAATGAGTGAGTTCTCCTGAGATATCGCGGGCTTCCCCCTTCACTGGGCACTCATTCTGTTTCTTTCCGCCCTGTAAAGAGGTGCCTTTGCCACGATTGTAAATTTCCTGAGGCCTCCTCAGCCTTGCAAAACTGTGAGTCAATTAAACCTGTTTTCTTTATAAATTACCCAGACGCGGGCAGTTCTTTCTGGCAGTGTCAGAACGGACTAATACAGTAAATTGGTACTGCAGAGTGGGATGCTGTTACATAGATACCCGAAAATGTGGAAACAAATTTGGAACTGGGTAATAGACAGAGGTTGGGTCAGTGTGGAGGACTCAAAAGAAGATAGTAAACTGTGGGAATGTTTGGAACTTCCTAGAGACTTGGAGGGCTCAGAAAACAGGAAGATGTGGGAAGGTTTGGAACTCCCTGGAGAATTGTTGAATGGCTTTGACCAAAATGCTGGTAGTTACATGGGCAATCACCATGAAGTCCAGACTGAGGTGGTCTCATATGGAGATGAGGAACTTGGGGACTGAAGTAAAGGTCACTCTTGCTATGCAAAGAGACTGGTGACATTTTACCCCGCCCTAGAGGTCTGTGGAACTTTGAACTTGAGAGAGATGATTCAGGGTATCTGGTGGAAAAAATTTCTTTTCTTTTTTTCTTCGGAGATGGAGTTTCGTTTTCGTCACCCTGGCTGGAGTGCAATGGTGTGATCTCAGCTCACTGCAACCTCTGCCTCCTGGGTTCAAGCGATTCTCCTGCCTCAGCCTTCCGAGTACCTGGGGTTATGGGCACATGCCACCACACCTGGCTAATTTTTGCATTTTTAGTAGAGATGGGGTTTCACGGTGTTGGCCAGGTGGTGGAAGAAATTTCTAAGCAGCAAAGCATTTTGGGGAAGCAGAGCATAAAAATTTGGAAAATTGACAGGGTGCCAACACAGTAGAAAAGAAAACTCCATTTTCTGGGGAGAAATTCCAGCCAGCTGCAGAAATTTGCATAAGTAACCAGGAGTCAAATGTTAATGGCCAAGAAAATGGGGACAATGTCCCCAGGGAATATCAGAAATCTTCACAGCAGACCCTCCCATCACACCTTGGGAGGTCTAGGAGGAAAAAATGGTTTCGTTGGTCAGTCTCATGGCCTTGCTGCTTTGTGCAGCCTTGGAAGTTGGTGCCCTGCATCTCAGCCATTCCAGGCATGGCTAAAAGGCGCCAAGGTGGAGCTCAGGCTGTTGCTTCAGAGGGTGCAAGCCCCAGCCTTTGGCGGATTACATGTGGTACTGGGCCTATTGGTACACAGAAGACAAGAATTGAGGTTTGGGAACCTCCACCTAGATTTCAGAGGATGTATGGAAATGCCAGATATCCGGGCAGAGGTGTGCTGCAGGGGTGTAGCACTCATGGAGAACCTCTGCTAGGGCAGTGCAGAAGGAAAATGTGTGGTGTGAGTTCCCACACAGATTGTCTACTGGGGCACTGCCTAGTGGAGCTGTGAGAAGAGGGCCACAGAACTCCAGACCCCAGAATGGTAGATCAACCTACAGCTTGCACTGCGTGCCTAGAAAATCTGCAGACACTCAACCCCAGCCCATGAAAGCAGCAAAAACATCAAAAAAAGCTTAAAATCAAGATAAACCTTGCAAACTCTTGGTATCCCATATGAGAGAGCAGGGCTTTTATCTCTATTTTGTGAAGCGTTCTTATAAATCAAAAGGAAAAAAACAACTATCAGAGAAACCCGAAAGGTTATGAACATACAATACATAAAACAAACAACAGTCCAGGTTTCTCATCTATATTCCCAAATAAGAATCTATAAATACCTAAATAAAAGAGATGTTTACTTGCAATTAGCAATATTTTTAAAGAAGAGGCTAGACTGGGTTGCTTTATAATTTTTATTAAAAATAATATTTGGTGCCTTTAATAGTACATCAATGAATTAACACAATAATATTTTGTTTTGCTGTTACATATGAAAACATTATCATTATAATTGATTTTTATTAATTTTCACAAATATTCTAAAGGTTCTTACTGTAGAAAAAACAGTAGGTCACAATATTGATGAGAATAAATAAACCACAGGACCTTCCTGCCAAGAACTTAAAACTTACTAGAGGTTGCTCTCATATTTACATAACTGTAACGGAAGTTTCATTTGGGTGTTGTAAATGCCCATCAGTGGAAGGTGAGGGAATATAAGGATGAATATGTTAAATTATGGTATAAAAAAAAAAAAACTGTGACCACACCATGGAATTCTATACCATATAAAGATGAAACAGAATTGGATATTTTTCTTTGTGAACTCTCTGAAGCTGAGTAACAATGTATACAAAATTAATGTATACATTAATCTCATGTAAAAAGAACAGCATCCTTTGTAAAAGTTTTCCCATTTATTTACTTTATACAAAAGATTTTCCAATCCGTGTTATAAAAATATTCTTTATAATTCTAATATCTCTATTAGAATAAAGGCTAATTTGGATTGGGAGATTTGGAAATGCATCAAAGAGGAAACACATCCTCCCAGGGATGGGCAAGACTTTGGAAGGCTGACTTTGAGAGTGGAAGGCAATTTGTAACAGAGTCCCAACAGCCATATACTCAAAAGTTAAAATTCTTTTATTAAGATTCTGCATCACTCAGGGTTTGCTCAGGAAAACAGAAACAACTCTGGTTTTTTCAGGTGGAACTACACTTATTTCTCAAAATTATGTGTTTACAAGAACTGCTGGAAGGAGCGAACCTCAGAGAAGGCCATGGGAAACTCATTTTTACCACTGTCTCTAAGAGAATTTGGAAACTGCTCTGTAATCACTCCTGCTTGCTGTGTCAAGGTGAGAGTCTCACAGGAAAATGCCCAGAGGCTGCTGCAAAACCTCAGGTCAGCTGGGGACCATGTGTTTTACCACAACAGAGACAGATGCAGAGACCAAGTGGAGAGACAGGAAGGAATTTCTGAATCCCACATCCATTTGTTCTGGAGGCCTTGTGCCCCTTGAAGTATTTTATGATTCAATAAATTCAGCCTTTTGCCGAAAGCAGCCCCGATTTAATGTGTGTTAAATGCAATCAGAAGAATCCTGATTAATGCAAGCCTCCTACCTCTCATGGCATTTTTGTTACTGTTGTTGTCAACACAAGCTTTTCCAGAAAAAGTTGTCCTATTTCTCAAATTTTTGCAGTTTTCTCCTCAATAGAGAGTGATAGGACTCTCTCTCCATCAGATATGGAGAGTCCTATCCATAGGACGAGGATATGGAGAAGGTAAGATTTTTTAATTCAGGTTCATTCTCAGATCTTGTGTTTCTTGGAGTTCCCACATTTCCCTAATTCGCTTCAGGGGCAGTGCTATTTGGTGATTAAGGCCAGAGACCCTGGAGTCAGCACCTCAGTCTTGCAGGCCATCTAGGGGGCAATGGGTAGGGTCGTTGACTACCCTAGCTAAGAGTCCTCGTGTTAAATGGAAGTGACTATACTTCTAATGTCTAGGCCTACTGGAAAGATAAGAAAATGGAAGTGACTGTACTTCTAATGTCTAGGCCTACTGGAAAGATAAGATGAAACCCTGGGTGTGAGGAGCAGGGCCTACTAAGTGCACGGAGGAAATGCACTTGATACATTTCACTACTTTGTCCAGATTCTTGGGGCAGAAGTTGGAAGGTGGGAACAGTTGAAGCCTTATTTCTGTGAGCACTGTGGATAGTACCAGGACATAGCCCTTCCTTACTTTAAAGTATTCCAGGGTGTACTCATTCTTTTTGTTTTACTGGTTGCATAATGTCTAAGCTGAGCTGCTATTATAGAAGGTTTGCCCTTTGAAGAGATAATAACAAGTTGAACTCAATTTACTGAGTAAATCTGGATCAAGCCTTTCATGCTATTTGATTGCTTCAATCTGCCATTATAAAATCATCCTATAAAAAAACGTGATGTAGATTACTAATAATGGTATTTTCATTTTTATCTAACTAACTGAGAAATAAAATGTTGGTTTCCACTTAAACTGTTATTTGAGGAAACCAGTGAGAGGAAAGTCATTCTGAGTATGTAACCTCTAATATCATAATATTTGGACTGTATTTTATTCTTACTATATGATTAACCCTTTGTCTTGCAGATACATTTCTCAAAATGAGTACACTCAGGATTGTGCAAAATTAGTTCACATGATTATACAAGACAAACAAAGACTCTTTTAGGATTATATAACCACATAGGATTATACAAGAGAGCCTTTGGTTCTTTTGTATAATCCTGTAAGCATACTTAATCAGGACACCATATTGTTTAATACAAGCTAAAAATAATGTTTCTGATCAAGATAATATATTATCATATATTTTTTAAAAAGCGTCTAACAGGCATTCAGATTTCCTTCCTTTACTGCGGTCTGTGTATTTCTAGGTTCTGAAATAGATTAATAAAATATAAATATAAACCTATGTTTGAACATAATTATACTTTAATTACATGTCTCTATATCTGTCCATCTATTGTTGCAGACCTTAAACATTATGAATTATGGATATTTATAATTTTCTTTAGTTCTTGTTATTGATCATTTTTTCAAAAGCTGAAAATGGGTATAAAACACAACGAAGACATCAGCTTGGCAACATAGAGAGACCTCATCTCTACAAGAACATTAAAAAATTAGCCAGACGTGGTGGTGCACACTGGTGGTCCCAGCTATGGGAGGCTGAGGCAAAGGCATCTCTTGAGCCCGGGAATTGGAGACTGCAGTGAGCTGTGATCTTGCCACTGCACTCCAGCCTGGGCAACAGTGTGAAACCCTGTCCCTACAAAAAAGAAAAAAAGAAGAGAGAGAGAAAAAGAAAGAAACATGGAGGAAAATGGGCAGAGTGGGCAACGGGAGTCACAGTACAGCATTCCTGGTTCATGTCACCTGCACTCTCTGAGGTGGGTTAACTCTGCAAGTCTTCACCATTTCCACGGATCTTTGATTTACCTTTCTTGGTACCTCAAGAGGTTCCTTGCCTCCCTTCCCAGGAAAGCCTGGATGCCAACGTGGAGATGTGGCAAGATCTAAAGTAATTAAAGCTTTCTCTGGCTACCTCTCTGTCCCTCACCTTTTTCCAAATAAATTAGTAACTCCCCCCCATGACTCATATTTTACATTACAATTTGTTTCCTGTAAAAACGTATTTTCTAGATTTTTTTTTAATATATGAACTGAAAAGTTGAAAAGCAGTCACAAAATAAGCCATTTTACAAAGTTGAGTAATGATAATTTTTTGGTCCAGTTACACAGGAAGCTTATTTTCTCCTTATTCTCATAAATCAGAGAATATGAATTCTGATATCGTTAAACCTCAATTAGCAAAATGGAAAGAAGGTCAGAGACTTAATTTGGATAATGAGGGCTTCAGATAAGGATGGGAAGTTCTTAACGTAAATGATGCATGTACAGAAACATGGCCTAATTCAGATAACGGAGCTTTTTAGATAAGAGGTTCACATAATCAACTTTTCTGAGAGTTGACTTAAAATGTAGACCAAAATGCTTTAAAAAACAGTTAAGGATAAATTAGTAAAATACATGTATAAGATATAGAGAGAGACTCAACTAGACACATCCGGCAGCATATATATTTCTTTTGTTGAACAAGTCTTTCATTCTCTTTACCTACTTACATTTTATTTGAAAAAGAAAGACCATGTGCTGTTATAATACGAGAGGTTTTCTCCTGGGCACAGCCATTAAGAAATACAAGCAACTTTGTATCAAAATACGTTCTTACAATAAATACTGAAACACATTCTTCCTTTCCGGTCCTTCGGGAGCTTAGTTAAGTTATTCTTGGTGCCCTTCCAAACCCTTTCCAATATCCTCCATTCCATTCAACACTATGTTTGTGTCCATTTGTTTCCAGAATTAGCTGTTCAGTTTAGTCAATTCAGTTTTTAAAAATCCATTCTGGAAAAAAAACAAAAAAATAGTAATTGAGTCAGCCGTTTCTTTATTATTTTTTGACCATATAATCATCTGTTTTTAAAGAGAATTAATGATTTTATAGATACATTGTATTTATTGAAGAAAAAAAGAGTTTAATCGTAAGAAAATAAGCATATCTTATAAATTCTCTGAATTGGGCCCTAAACATCACTTCCTATCTTTGTATTGGCAAATTACTCCGACCTATATTCCATTTGAAAATATATCAAACTAAATTTATTAAATAATTTTACAGCAACTGTGTTATTCTATAAAATATATGGCAGTCTCAAGAAAATGGATTTTACATAAATATTAGCTTTATCATCACACAAGTATGCATATATACATCTATATGTTTTTGTACTTTACTTTTATTGCAACCCTTACATATCTAAGTCTATCTATAATACATTGACTTTTTTTTTCTTTTAGGCTTGAATTTACACTAGCATGTGCTTTCCTAGGGATGGAAAGTTTAATTCCGATACAATCTCAAGTATATTGGCTTATGTTTACCTGTCTGTGGCCAGAGAATTATCTAACCAAATCAAAATAAAGTCTTGATGTCATGTTTCAAAACATAGGCCAGAGGATTGTTTTCTTTCATTCTCTCAGTAAAATTGTGATAAGAAACATAGAAAGCTTCTCCATAGTTTTCATTCTTACTTCCTTCTCTTTTAGGGTATATTCCTTACAATGACTGCCTAGACAAGAATTATTGTGTGAGTTATTATTTATTGAGAATGTGTTCTTTGGAGCAAGAATGAAAGAGTGAGGCACAGGAAAATATCTAAGCAAGAATGTGGTCTAAGGTGCAGTCTAGATCCAAGCCGATCCCACAGGAAAATGTGTAGTATGAACTGCATTCCCGAGGTGCCCTCCCATTAGGTTAAGGGGTCAGGTGGCTTATTGTACCCATCTATTGATCAGTCGTTGACTGAGGGCTCAGTGTCAGGTGGGGACGGAGTTCTGGGGAGATCTGTTGCATAATTCCTGATTCAGCACAGTGGTGAAAGGTGAAGTCAGCTGGGCTTCTGGGTTGAGTGGGGACTTGGAGAACTTTTCCGTCTAGCTAAAGGATTGTAAACGCACCAATCAGTGCTCTGTGTCTAGCTAAAGGTTTGTAAATGCACCAATCAGCACTCGGTAAAAATGCACCCATCAGTGCTCTGTGTCTAGCTAAAGGTTTGTAAAGGCACCAATCAGCACTCTCTAAAAACTGACCAATCAGCACTCTGTAAAACGGACCAATCAACACTCTGTAATATGGACCAATCAGCATGACATGGGCGGGGTCAAATAAGGGAATAAAAGCTGGCCACCCGAGCCAACAGTGGCAACCTGCGTGGGTCCTGTTCCTTAGCCTTGCGTGCTGTGGAAGCTGTTATTTTGCTCTTCACGGTAAATCTTGCTGTTGCTCACTCTTTGGGTCCGTGCCACCTTTAAGAGCTGTAACCCTTACTGTGAAGGTCTATGGCTTCACTCCTGAAATCAAGCGAGACCACGAATGCACTGGAGGGAAGAAATTCTGGATACATCTGAAGGATCAAACTCTGGACACACCATCTTTAAGAACTGTAACACTCACCACAAGGGTTCATGGCTTCATTCTTGAAGTCAGCAAGACCAAAAACCCACCGGAAGGAACCAATTCCAGACACGGTGGCTTTGGTTTACTGAAGGCACTTGTATAGTCAGTACTCACAGCAGCTGGTGAATTTACGGCCATGAGGTAAATTTGAAGACATATCATCAAAAGTGTTTCTACAACTTCTCTTCTGCTTTCCCTTAGACTAACTACATTTAGTTACCTTTGTTTACAGGTTCCTCTCTATGTCCTAACTGTATTCTAGAACAAGGGTCAGAAAACTTTTCCTGAAGAGGATAGATAGTAAATATTTTTGGCTTTGGGAACCACCTATGGTCTCTGTCACAGATTCTTTCATATTCTGGAATCTCCTAGAGTTGTAGAGCATTAAAAAAAGATACAACTTATTAACAATACTCAAACAAAAATTGTATTTATAAAGAAAATGATAAGATTATAGTCTTAAAATATGAGGTCTGTCAGACTTGAGAAGTTAAGCAGTGATGAGGAGATGGGATGGAAGAAGTCAGGGGGAATGTGATGCAAAGAACAGTCCAGATGTAGCCCATCAGAAACAAGGCCATGAAAGGTATTCTAGAAAAATCCAAAATCATCTTGCTGTTCTCTTAAGATTTTTCTTGGAGGGCGTGTGTGCTCTGAAGGGAGTAGACCTATTTACTTAATTACAAAACCCCAGACTGTAGCTAATGAGGACTGCAATACGCACCTAATACAGGAGAGTATATTGTACCCTCTTACTCCAACCACCACCCCACCACCGTGAGGCCCAAAGAGAAGCATCCCTTCCACGTGAGTTACAGAAGACGATTTGTGAAGTCAAGCCAAGCTGAGCTCAGAAGAGTCAGCCCTGACCAGAAATCATAATGTAACATCAGCAGGAAATAGAAGTTGTTCTCATAAACCACTGAAGCAATTTGGTTGGTTGTTACTGCTGTGAAAGCTGACTAATACAGAAAAGCTGACATACTCACTTCTGAATGAGTTTGCCTCATTAGCATTTTGGAATGAAGTAAGAAATAATGAGTTAGGAATTAATCATTCTATAAGAAAAATGGACATTTATGTATGCAGATACTTCTTAAAAATTTTAACACCAGTTAACTTGTTTAATTCTCATTAAAGAAGTCCTGAGTCACAGGTTGAATAGTTTGCTGAATTTTCAGTGGCAAAGCTGAGATTTGAATACAGAAATTCTCTCTCTAAAGAGTATATACAGGTAAGATTTACACTACCCAGATGCTATAGTGAAATGTGTGTGTTCATATAAACTCAGGATCTGGGAGTCTCATTTTTGTGGCTGTTTTTAGACAAAGCAAACTTTCAAACAAATAGAGAATTTCTGGCATTTTGAAGAAGATGAAGGGGAACAGAAATACAGAGACCTGTAAAATTGAGCAGCATTATGCCATGAAAAAGACAGATAATTCCAAATTCCTTTCCTCTTATCGAAGGCTTTGTATATTTCATTTTACTAGGAAATGTGGCATATCCATTTATTCTTATCATGGGTCCTACTTTTCACCTTAGTAAGGTTGAATTTCTCTCTGTTCTAGCAACCAAACGATGCCTAGCTAAGCCAAACAGCCCAACAGTGTTGGAAAGACATTTTATGTGGTGACAGATGTTGAAATGAACCATACTGGCTACACAATAAAAGCTTGAAGAGTGTTTTTTTTTAAAAACTGATTAATCAGAGGAATGAAAAATCAAGGGCAACTATGAATGAGAGCAAAGAGAGGTGACCAGATTTTATTTGAAGATTGAATTTTAGTAAGATGAATGGTTGGGGAAAACCCCGGGAGTCATGAAACAAATACATAAAGAATCAGGTGAAATTAATGATGAAGAATCAACTGAAAATTGCATACCTTTATTTTATTTATTTATTTGTTAAGACAGGGTCTTGATCTGCTGCCCAACTTGGTGTCTCGCTCTGCTGCCCAGCTTGGTCTCATACTCTGGGCCTCAAGTGATCCTCCCATCTCGGCCTCCCAAAGTGTTGTAATTATAAGCATGAGAAATTTCAGTGTCTTTAATTGTGTTTTTAAGAAATGTCAAAACAGCCTGAGAGAAATTAGTTGTAGCACTTAAAACAATCAATAGTCATTATTTGCAAGTAGCTCCTAGACAAATAAAAACAAATGTATTTTGACAAAGGATGTGAATAGACAATCTGTAGGAAAACATACAGATTGTCAATAAATGAGTGAAAATATACCCAACTTCATGGCTAATCAGGGGAATGCAACTTGTAACATTAAGATACTATTTCTTCCCTGTTGGAAGAGTTGACAAAATATATTACTGGTATAATTAAGAAAAAATAATATTATCATATAATACCAATTTTAATATAAAATGCTAGTTTTTCCAAGTAAGTGGACAGTATCTGTTCATGTTTGAAGTACACATAGCTGTGATCCAGAAATCCAAATTGTAAGCATCTGTCTTGAAGAATAAAAGTCAAAAGAGATGCTTTGAAATTGGAGATAGAATAAAATTAATAATATATAATAACGATTAATATTTTATACATAAAATAATAATACAATCTTTAGGTAATAATATATAATTATGAAACAGATGGATTTTCCCATCTCTTCTGGCTTCCAAATCTCAAGGAAGTGCTTTTATTTTTGGAATTTCATGTCTGGCCTAGGGGGCAGGGGCTTGGGAAATGCACTTTCCCAGAGTAAGTGTGATGAGGGAGAGACTGTGGAAAGGGGTAGCAATGATGCCACATCAACCACAGAGAACAGGACCCAGCACAGACAGTCTACTTCTTTGTCAACACATACACACACACACGCGCGCGCGCACACACACACACACACACTGTTTCAGTTAGTTCTTGCTAACTCCACGACTTGGCAATGAGTTATTATTTCTCAGGATTCTGTGGTTTGGTTGGATGGGTTCTCTGTTGGTTTCACCTGGGCTCACTGATGGAACTACATCCAAGTGGAAGGTACAGGTAGGCTCACTCACATTTCAGCAGTTAGTACCTGCAGGTGCCAGAGGACACTGAGTCCTCCACATGAGCTCATGTGTACAGAAGGCTTAGACTAACTTCCTTTCGGACCTGCAATCCAAAGAGTGAAACTGGAGACTACATGTTCTCTCAAGGCCTAGTCTCAGAAGTTATGGAGCAACAATCAGTTCCATTTTGTTAAGTCACTGAGCCAGCTGAGATTCAAGATTCCGTATATTACTTGGAGGAGAGGCAAAGTCCCGTTGAACAGAGGTATGCAATCTGGGATGGTAGAAACATGTGAAACTATTTGTAATCTTCCACACACTCTTACAGCTAAATATTCATACCCGAAAAAGAACATCATTGTCATCCAGAGTGATAAACCTATGCTTCATACAAGCCAAGATATGCTCCTCCCTACCCCAAAAGGGAGAGATGCAAAATGGGGATACACATACCCTATACTCCTTCAGTCCTTTTCTGGGTGATTACATCGTTGGGATAGTGTAGAGGAGAAATTAGATAGTAATTGTTATGTTTATGCTTATGCATGAAAGGGTGTATGCACAACTCTAATGTCTTAATTTCTGCAGCTGGTCAAGAGAACATAGTTAGTGTTTATAGTGTCTTGCTTCCATTCTTCACTCCATGTTACCTTTGCATTTAGTCAGCAGGAGTTTATTGAAGTCCTAGAGGCACTGAATTAACCAACTCTACGTAACTCTCTGCTTCATGATGTTATGCCAGTTTGGATCCAGCCATGACCTATATGGTTACTTAAACAGGAGAGGTTTAATATAAATAATTACTACAGTAAAAGAAAAAATAATGGTACCATATGCTACCCTACAGCTTAGGGAGCATATCCAAAGATGAACAATTTTATAATGGACCCTCTCCACCAAGGCTGAGGCTCTGACTTCTTTAGAGATGTATTTGCAGGCCAGTGAATGGCAGATAACTTTTATGGTTTGCACAGAGCAGAGCTGGTGTGCAGCTGCTGGGCAAGTGAGAAGCAATTTCTGGGGCACTGCTGAGGCTGTGTCTAGATGCACCATTGTGCAGAAGGGAAGGGAGCCAGTGGAGAGGGGAGAGGAGTTATGCAGTGGGCAGTGTTCTCTTTAGGATAGGCTGCAGGGGATAAACTTGGAGAGAGAGCTATGCAGTCAGAGCGCATGGGGCACCAGTCTAGGCAGGAGACCAGGAGCACACAGTGTAGGAGGTCTGGGACACGTGATGTCTACATCAAGTGTGTATTAGTCTGATCTCATGCTGCTAATAAATACCTGAGACTGGGTAATTTATAAAGGAAAGAGGTTTAAGGGGCTCACTGTTCCACATGTCTGGGGAGGCCTCACAATCATGGTGGAAGGCTAACGAGGAGCAAAGTCATGTCTTATATGGTGGCAGGCAAGAGCTTGTGTAGGGGATCTCTTCTTTATAAAACTATCAGATCTTATGAGACTTACTCACTATCACGAGAACAGCATGGGAAATTCCTGCATCCATGATTCAATTACCTACTACCAGGTCCCTCCCACAACACGTGGGAATTATGGGAGGTACGATTCAAAATGAGATTTGGGTGAAGACACAGCCACACCATATCAAAGTGCAAAGGTGATCGCCATGTTGTTCTGTAAGTTTGTTGCACTCTAGGCACTGTGGGCATCTGTCTGGGACAGAGTACCATCTGATGACCCTTCTACCCACATTTGCTGGAGGTACAGCCACCAGAGCTGGGAGAAAGAACCTCCTCCTTCCACAGGGTACCTCCAATGTCTTTCAGCGGATAAAGTTTATGAGGGTGCCCAGTATAAAAGAGAAATGTTTAAGAAAAATTATCTATTATTGCGAAGCTGGTACAAAGAGGGTGAATTTGGTCATGAGAACCAACAAATGAATAATTGCACAGTGATGTCAGGAAAATACACTCCTTTTTAATTAAACCATTAATAGTTAAGTTTCTGTTCATTGCAACATTATTTGTAACAGTCAAGACGTGTAATTAAAGGAAATGTCCATCAACAGATAAACAGTGTGTTAGTCTGTTTTGAGGTACAATAAAGGAAGACCTGAGACTGGATAATTTATAAAGAAAAGAGGTTTATTTGGATCATGGTTCTGAAGGCTGTACAAGAATGGCACCAGCATCTGCTCAGCTTCTGGTGAGGCCTTAGGAAGTTCTTACTTATGGAAGAAGGTGAAGGGGGAGCAGGTGTGTCACATGGTGAGACAGGGAGCAAGAAAGACGCCCGGCTCTTTTAAACAACCAACCTTCACGTGAACTAACAGAGTGAGAACTCATTACTGCAAGGACAACACCAAGCCATTCATGAGGGATCTCCCCCATGACCCAAACACCTTCCTCTAGGCCAACATCCAACTTTGGAGGTCACATTTCAACATGAGATTTGGAGGGGACAAACGTCAAAACCATGTAAAATGGTTATTAGAGAACAATATCTAGCCATAACAAATGACTTTTAACATCATTTAAAAATTTCAAAATTTTGGATTCAATTGTTGTCACATGCGTATATAAATTATAATTTTATCATCATTGTCTATGTATAACTCTTTTCAAGATGAAACTTCACTCTTTGTCTCTCTTTTTTTTCTTTTTGAGACAGAATCTTGCTCTGTCTTCCAGTCTAGAGTGCAGTGGTATGATCACAGCTCACTGCAGCCTCAACCTGCCAGGCTCAAGCCAATTCTCCCACCTCAGCCTTCTGAGGAGCTGGGACTACAGGCACGTGCCATCATGCCTGGCTAACTTTTTTATATTTTGCAGAGATGGAGTCTCCCAATGATGCCCAGGCTGGTTTCTCCTGGGCTCAAGCAATCCCCTGACTTTGGTCTCCCAAAGTGCTGGGATTACAAGTGTGAGCCACTGCACCTGGCCTTGTCTCTTATTTTTGCTATTGTTTATTATATTCTTTTGTCACAAGGCTAAGTGGCACAAAAATATCTTGAACAATAATATCTCAAAATCAAAGCTTTGAGATAATAAATGCTTCTTTCACAATATATTAAGATATTAGATATTGATAAATTTATCAAAGCTATCATGTGTTTAATCATTTTGAAGTCCCCCCTAACAAAAATATTCTGGCTTTCTCTTTTGTTATATTATCAGAAATATTCAACAGAATTTGATAAGACTGAGGCTCAAATTTTGTAATACCAATAAGTCACAATAAGAACTCAACTCACATACCTCATATCATTGCAAACAGGAACAATGAAATTTTCTCAGAGAAGAAATGTGTATCATGTTTCACTTCGACAATCATGATAGAAATATGAGCAATAATATTTCAATGAATGAAGCATCAGAGAGTTCAAGTATCCCTTGAAAATATCAAATTTCTGAAACTGCTATTCACAGTTGGGGAAGAAAATGTGATATCAGCATCAATGCTGAACTTAGGAATAATATATCTCAAGTGTGATTCTGTTCTTTTAGGGAACATAATGGTGTTATTTTATGCTTCATCACTTCGTGTTTTAAGAATATTCTCTATTTGAAGTCTAGCATGAGTATCAAATAGAATATGATTTTTTTGTCAATTTAATGTATGTGCAAAATGAATGCATGATTTACACGAGACATGAAATTATATTTCCAGTTATAGCTCTACATAAAGATTTCTAATGACAAGAAAATGAGGAACATGAAACTTTCAAAACAATATAGCTCATCCGTGAGCTCCCTTATCCAATACTCTTAAAATTTGTATTTTTACCCAAAAATACATTTATGATTCCATAATTTTTATTCATTATCAGGATATCCTTGCAATGATATATTTTCTTTACTATGTGTGACATTTTCACATTTACATCTTTAGGCAATGTTAATTTTCAGTAAAAAAAAAAAAGAAATAAGAAAGTGAAAATTGAACATGTAAATAAGATAGTTAAACCTACTTTAAATTTGCTTTTTACTTTTATTCTTAATTACTTTCCATTTTGTTTCATATTATGGCTATCAGAGTCTACACGCCTTCAAAATATCCCATACAGCAACATGACTCCATTCTCTCTTAGATACATCTCTATAATAAAGTTCATGATGGGACTAAACAGTACATTACGAAGACCTTCTCTTGAGAATTATTTTCTGAAGAATACATTTATAAAGGTATTGTGGGGCAGACGTTTGTTTCAATGAGTGAATAATTACCTTATTATATTCAACCCTATATAAGCAATAGCGCATTTGGATGGTGTTTGTGATTTTTACCTTCATCTTTGTAACTAGTTTCCTTGATCAATGAAGTCTGTTAGTCCACAAAATTCCATTGTCATCTTTCTGTCAACTGTGGTTCATGGCTGTTGCAACATCTCACAAATCATAAGCAATGTCAGCACTGCACCCAGCTTCATTTCAGCTGCCACCTCCCTGACTGACACTTTTGACCGTGACTTAAAGCTTTTCCTTAATTACCAATACAAAAATTCTCCGACTTGTGTGGAAGGATTTGAAAATGAACAATAGAAAGTCATTCTAAATCTGTAAGTAGAGGAATGACATAAAGTCTGTACCAAGCCCAGGATGCTATATTAAGGGATGTGGGATAGAGGCTGTCAAGTGATAAACCCCAATGCGGGCAATCATGGCTCAGAATATAGATTGTGAATGGGATTAAGAAAAAGGTGCAGAAGCTGCTGTCATACGATCAAGAGCACACTCAAGATTCGAGTTCAAGCCTTCCAATTCTAGGCTGTGTGTTCTTAATCTCTACAACTAAAAATGATTTTGCCCATTTACCTATATTTAATAGTACTTTTGTATAATTTGTGTATGCTAGTGTTCATGGATGTACATCTTCCTCATGGATAGTCTGACTGGTCTGTCAACCCCTGAAGATCTGAGATGGCTTCTTTTCTGTATAAATGAACTAAAATGTCTTAGCAAGGATGGAGGATTAATGGAGCAAGAATTACATGATAAACTTTGAATTGATTATATATTCTAGGTTGCTGACCAATAGATATAAGAATAGAGGTTACTCTGGAGTCGAGATGTGAGTTTTATTTTGGGTAAAACCAAAACTAAAATAATTTAAAAGAATAAACAACAAACAAACAAAAAAACGCATTGTGTGAACCTCAGTGTGTGAATGTACTAGGCTTTATTTTGGTTAGTCATTAAGTAATAACCAAATGTGTTAAATAGTTAAAGTGTTCAATGAAATAATAAACAGTGGAATATTATGTGAAAGGGAGTTCACAAGATGCAGGAGCACAGAATTTTTGTGAAGGGTTCATAGTAAATGTTCCACATTTTCTTTTTTATATGATACAGGGAGTCTTAGAAAGCCCTCCACACCCCACATGTATGGAAATACAAGCTAATCAGAAAATGTTAAAGATGTATAAATTGTGCTGGAAGTTCAACATACTACCTACAGAATGCACAGAAACAATGCTTAGCAGGGAAGGCTTATTTTAAATGATTAGTGCACCAAATGAAAAGTGGCATATTAAAGAGTGTCAGAGAAAATGGCATGGTACTTGCCAACTTTCTCTGTTGTAAAATGGCTAACATACAATTTTATTATGGAATCTAAATAGCCTTGGGAGTCTTAAAAATGAGAAGAAAATAAGAACAAGTACAATATTTCTATCTAGGGTTATAGTGTGTTGTACAATGATTTAAAAGTTTTTCATGACAAAAGTTTGAATGATTGCAGGAGAGGGTATATAATACAGGTAGGACATGGTTTGGCTGTGACCCCACCCAAATCTCATCTTGAATTGTAGTTCCCACAAACCCCCTGTCATGGAAGGGACCCAGTGGGAGGTAATTGAATCACGGGAACGGCATATTTGTCTGTTTTTTGCGCTGCTGATAAACACATACCTGAAACTGGGCAATTTACAAAAGAAAGAGTTTTAATGGATTTACAGTTCCACATGGCTGAGGAGGCCTCACAGTCATGGTGGAAGGCAAGAAGGAGCAAGTCACATTTTATGTAGATGGCGGCAGGCAAAAAGACAGGGAGCCTGTGCAAAGAAACTTCCGTTTTTATTTTATTCTATTATTCTTATTTTTTATTATACTTTAAGTTCTGGGGTACATGTGCAGAACGTGCAGTTTTGTTACATAGGTATGGTATACATGTGCCGTGGTGGTTTGCTGCACCCATCAACCTATCATCTACATTAGGTATTTCTCCTAGTGTTATCCCTCCCCCAGCCCCCAGCCCCTACCCCACCGACAGATCCCGATGTGTGATGTTCCTCTCCTTATGTCCATGTGTTCTCATTTTCAACTCCCACTTATGAGTAAGAACCTGCGCAGTTTAGTTTTCTGTTCTTGTGATAGTTTGCTGAGAACGATGGTTTCCAGCTTCATCCATGTCCCTCCAAAGGACATGAACTCCTCCTTTTTTATGGTTGCATAGTATTCCACGGTGTATATGCGCCACATTTTCTTTATCCAGTCTATTATTGATGAACATTTGGGTTGGTTCCAAGTCTTAGCTATTGTGAATACTGCTGCAATAAACATATGTGTGCATGTGTCTTTATGGTAGAATGATTTATAATCCTTTGGTTATATATCCAGTAATGGGATTGCTGGGTCAAATGGTATTTCTAGTTCTATATCCTTGAGGAATTGCCACACTTTCTTCCACAATGGTTGAACTAATTTACACTCCCTCCAACAGTGTAAAAGTGTCCCTGTTTCTCCACATACTCTCCAGCATCTGTTGTTACCTGACCTTTTTTATTTTTTGAGACTGAGTCTTGCTCTGTTGCCTAGGCTGGAGTGCAGTGTTGTGAACTCGGCTCACTGCAAGCTCCACCTCCTGGGTTCATGCCATTCTCCTACCTCAGTTCCCAAGTAGCTGGGACTACAGGCACCTGTCACCACACCCGGCTAATTTTTTGTATTTTTAGTAGAGACAGGGTTTCACCGTGTTAGTCAGGATGGTCTCGATCTCCTGGCCTTGTGATCCACCCACCTCGGCCTCCCAAAGTGCTGGGATTACAGGCGTGAGCCACCTCGCCCGACCTGTTTCCTGACTTTTTAATGATCGCCATTCTAACTGGTGTCAGATGGCATCTCATAGTGGTTTTGATTTGCATTTCTGTAATGACAGTGATGATGAGCATTTTTTCATGTGTCTGTTGGCTGCATAAATGTCTTCTTTTGAGAAGTGTCTGTTTATATCCTTTGCCTACTTTTTGATGGGGTTGTTCTTTTTTTCTTGTAAATTTGTTTAAGTTCTTTGTAGATTCTGGATATTAGCCCTTTGACAGATGGATAGATTGCAAAAATTTTCTCCCATTCGGTAGGTTGCCTGTTCACTCTGATGATAGTTTCTTTTGCCGTGCAGAAACTTTTTAGTTTAATTAGATCCCATTTGTCAATTTTGGCTTTTGTTGTCATTGCTTTTGGTGTTTTAGACATGAAGTCTTTGACCATGCCTATGTCCTGAATGATAATGCCCAGGTTTTCTTCTAGGATTTATATGGTCCTAGGTCTTAGGTTTAAGTCTTTGATCTAACTTGAGTTGATTTTTGTATAAGGTATAAGGAAGGGGTCCAGTTTCAGTTTTCAGCATATGGCTAGCCAGTTTTCCCAACACAATTTATCAAATAGGGAATCTTTTCCCCATTCCTTTTTTGTGTCAGGTTTGTCAAAGGTCAGATGGTTGTAGATGTGTGGTGTTGTTTCTGAGGCCTCTGTTCTGTTCCATTGTTCTATATATCTGTTTTGGTACCATACCATGCTGCTTTGGTTACTGTAGCCTTGTAGTATAGTTTGAAGTCAGGTAGTGTGATACCTCCAGCTTTGTTCTTGCTCAGGATTATCTTGACTGTGGGGGCTCTTTTTTGGTTCCATATGAAGTTTAAAGTAGTTTTTTCCAATTCTGTGAAGAAAGTCAGTGATAGCTTGATGGGGATAGCATTGAGTCTATAAATTACTTTGGGCAGTATTGCCATTTTCATGATATTGATTCTTCTTATCCATGATTATGGAATGTTTTTCCATTTGTTTGTGTCCTCTCTTATTTCCTTGAGCAGTGGTTTGTAGTTCTCCTTGAAGAGGTCCTTCACATCCCTTGTAAGTTGTATTCCTAGGTATTTTATCCTCTTTGTAGCAATTGTGAATAGGAGTTCACTCATGATTTGACTCTCTGTTTGTCTGCTATTGGTGTATAGGAATGCTTGTGATTTTTGCACATTGATTTTGTATTCTGAGACTTTGTTGAAGTTGCTTATCAGCTTAAGGAGATTTTGGGCTGAGACGATGGAGTTCTCTAAATATACAATCATGTCTTCCACAAACAGAGACAATTTGACTTCCTCTCTTCCGATTTGAATACCCTTTATTTCTTTCTCTTGCCTAATTGCCCTGGCCAGAACTTCCAATACTATGTTGAATAGGAGTGATGAGAGAGGGCATACTTGTCTTGTGCTGGTTTTCAAAGGGAATGCTTCCAGTTTTTGCCCATTCAGTATGATATTGGCTGTGGGTTTGTCATAAACAGTTCTTATTATTTTGAAATATGGCCCATCGATACCTAGTTTATTGAGAGTTTTTAGCATGAAGGGGTGTTGAATTTTGTCGAAAGTATTTTCTGCATCTATTGAAGTAACCATGTGGTTTTGTCATTGGTTCTGTTTATGTGATGGATTATGTTTATTGATTTGTGTATGTTGAACCAGCCTTGCATCCCAGGGATAAAGCCTTGGGATGCATCCACTTGATCGTGGTGGATAAGCTTTTCTAAGTGTTGCTGGATTAATTTGACAGTATTTTATTGAGGATTTTTGCATCAATGTTCATCAGGGATATTGGCCTGAAATTTTCTTTTTTTATTGTGTCTCTGCCAGTTTTTGGTATCAGGATGATGTTGGCCTCATAAAATGAGTTAGGGAGGCTTCCCTCTTTTCCTATTATTTGGAATAGTTTCAGAAGGAATGGTACCAGCTCCTCTTTGTACCTCTGGTGGAATTTGGCTGTGAATCCGTCTGGTCCTGGACTTTTTTTGGTTAGTTGGCTATTAATTATCACCTCAATTTCAGAACTTGTTATTGGATTCAACTTCTTCCTTGTTTAGACTTGGGAGGGTGTATGTGCCCATGAATTTATCCACTTCTATTAGATTTTTCAGTTTATTTGCATAGATGTGTTTTTAGTATTCTCTATGGTAGTTTGCATTTCCGTGGGATCAGTGGTGATATCCCCTATATCATTATTTTGTGTTTCTATTTGATTCTTCTCTATATTTTTCTTTATTAGTGGTCTATCTATTTTGCTGATCATTTCAAAAACCAGATCCTGGATTCACTGATTTTTTGAATGGTTTTTCATATCTCTATCTCCTTGAGTTCTGCTCTGATCTTAGTTATTTCTTGTCTTCTGCCAGATTTTCTATTTGTTTGCTGTTGCTTCTCTAGTTCTTGTAATTTTGTTGTTAGGGTGTCAATTTTAGATCTTTCCTGCTTTCTCTTTTGAGCATTTAGTGGTACAAATTTCCCTCTACACACTGCTTTAAATGGGTCCCAGAGATTCTGGTGTGTTGTGTCTTCATTCTCATTGGTTTCAAATAACATCTTTATTTCTGCCTTCATTTCATTATGTACCCAGTAGTCATTCAGGAGTGGGTTGTTGGTTGTTCAGTTTCCATGTAGTTGTGCAGTTTTGAGTGAGCTTCTTAATCTTGAGTTATAATTTGATTGCACTGTGGTTTGAGAGACTGTTTGTTATGATTTCTGTTTTTTTTTGCATTTACTGAGGAGTGTTTTACTTCCAATTATGTGGTCAATTTTAGAATAAGTGCAATGAGGTGCTGGGAAGAAAGTATATTCTGTTGATTTGGGGTGGAGAGCTCTGTAGATGTCTTTTAGATCCACTTGGTCCAGAGCTGAGTTCAAGCCTTGAATACCCTTATTAATATTCTGTCTCATTGATCTGTTGGTTTAAAGTATGTTTTATCAGAGATTAGGATTGCAACTTCTGCTTTGCTTTGCTTGGTAAATATTCCTCCATCCCTTTATTGTGAGCCTATGTGTGTCTTTGCACGTGAGATGGTTCTCCTGAATACTGATGGGTCTTGACTCTTTATCGAATTTGCCAGTCTGTCTTTTAATTGGGGCATTTAGGCCGTTTACACTTGAGATTAATATTGTTATGTGTGAATTTGATCCTGTCATTGTGATGCTAGTTGGTTGTTTTGCCCATTGGTTGATGCAGTTTCTTCATAGTGTTGAAGATCTTTACAATTTGGTAGGTTTTCACAGTGGCTGCTACCGGTTATTCCTTTCCATGTTTAGTGCTTCCTTCAGGAGCTCTTGCAAGGCAGGCCTGGTGATGACAAAAGTCTCTCAACATTTGCTTGTCTATAAAGGATTTTATTTCTCCTTCTCTTATGAAGCTTATTTTGGCTAGATATGAAATTCCAGGTTGAAATTTTTTTCCTTTAAGAATGTTGAATATTGTCCCCCACTCTCTTCTGGCTTGTAGAGTTTCTGCAGAGAGATCCGCTGTTAGTCTGATGGGCTTCCCTTTGTGGGTAACGTGACCTTTCTCTCTGGCTGCCCTTAATATTTTTTCCTTCATTTCAGCTTGGTGAATCTGATGATTATATGTCTTGGGATTGCTCTTCTCAAGGAGTATCTTTGTGGTGTTCTCTGTATTTCCTGAATTTGAAGGTTGGCCTGTCTTGCTAGGTTGGGGAAGTTCTCCTGGAGTGTTTTCCAACTTGGTTCCATTCTCCTCGTTACTTTCAGGTACACCAATCAAACGTAGATTTGGTCTTTTCACATAGGCCCATATTTCTTGGAGGCTTTGTTTGATCCTTTTTTTATTCTATTTTGTCTAATCTTGCCTTCTCTTTTTATTTCATTAGGTTGATCTTCAATCACTGGTATCCTTTCTTCCACTTGATCAACTCGGCTATTGAAACTTGTGTATGCTTCACAAAGTTCTTGTCTGTGTTTTTCAGCTTCATCAGCTCATTTATGTTCTTCTCTACACTGGTTATTCTAGTTAGCAACTCGTCTAACCTTTATTCAAGGTTCTTAGCTTCCTTGCATTGGGTTAGAACATGCTCCTTTAGCTCGGAGGAGTTTGTTATTACCCAACTTCTGAAGCCTACTTCTGTAAATTCATTAAACTCATTCACCATCCAGTTTTGTTCCCTTGGTGGCGAGGAGTTCTGATCCTTTGGAGGAGAAGAGGCATTCTGGTTTTTGGAATTTTCAACTTTTTGTGCTGGTTTCTCCCCAACTTTGTGGATTTATCTACCTTTGGTTTTGATGTTGATGTTGGTGACCTTTGGATGTGGTCTTTGAGTGTATGTGCTATTCCTCTCTGTTTGTTAGTTTTCCTTCTAACAGTCAGGCCCCTCTGCTGCCGGTCTGCTGGAGTTCGCTGGAGGTCCACTCCAGACCCTTTTTGCCTGGGTATCACCAGCGAAGGATGCAGAACAGCAAAGATTGCTGCCTGATTTTTCCTCTGGAAGCTTCATCCCAGAGGGGCACCTGCCACTTGCCAGCCAGAGCTGTCCTGTATGAGGTGCCTGTCAGCCCCTATTGAGAGGTTTCTCCCAGTCAGGATACACAAGGGTCAGGGACCCACTTGAGGAGGCAGTCTGACCCTTAGCAGAGCTCGAACACTGTGCTGAGAAGTCCGCTGCTCTCTTCAGGGCTGTCAGGCAGGGACATTTAAGTTTGCTGAAGCTGTGCCCACAGCTGCCCCTTCCCCAGGTGCTCTGTCCCAGGGAGGTGGGGGTTTTATCTATAAGTGCTTGACTGGGGCTGCTGCCTTTTTTCAGAGATGCCCTGCCCAGAGGAGAGAAATCTGGCAGTCTGGCCACAGCAGCTTTGCTGAGCTGCAGTGGACTCCATCCAGTTCAAACTTCCCAGTGGCTTTGTTTACACTGTGAGCATAAAAGCACCTACTCAAGCCTCAGCAATGGCAGACATCCCTCCCGCAACCAAGCTCGAACATCCCAGGTCGATCTCAGACTGCTGCTCTGCTGGCAGCAAGAATTTCAAGCCAGTGGATCTTAGTTTGCTGAGCTCCCTGGGGGTGGGACCCACTGAACCAAACCTTTTGGCTCCCTGGCTTCAGCATCACTTTCCAGGTGAGTGAATGGTTCTGTCTCACTGGTGTTCCAGGCACTACTGGGGTATGGAAAAAAATAACTCCTGCAGGTACTTTGGTGTCTGCCCAAATGGCTGCCCAGTTTTGTGCTTGAAACCCAGGGCCCTGATGGGATAGGCATGGGAGAGAATCTCTTGGTTTGTGGCTTGCAAAGACTGTGGGACAAGCCCAGTATCTGTGCCAGAGTTCCTCAGGCTAAGTCCCTCACGGTTCCCCTTGGGTAGGGGAGAAAATTCCATGACCCCTTGTGCTTCCCGGGTGAGGTGATGCCCCACCCTGTTTTGGCTTGCCCTGCTGTGGGCTGAATCCACTGTCCAACCAGTTCCAATGAGAAGAACCAGGTACCTCAGTTTGAAATGCAAAAATCACCCGCCTTCTGCATCGATCTCACTGGGAGCTGCAGACTGAAGCTGTTCCTATTCAGCCATCTTGCCAGCAATCTGGAAAATCCCATTTTAAAAACCATCAGATCTTGTGAGATTTATTCCCTATCATGAGAACAGCATGGGAAAGACCTGCCCCATAATTCAGTTATCTCCCACCAGGTCCCACTCACAACATGTGGGAATTATAAGAGCTACAAGATGAACTTTGGGTGGGGACACAGAGCCAAATCATATCATTTCACTCCCTGGCCCCTCCCAAATCTCATGTCTTCACATTTCAAAACAAATCATGCCTTTCCAACAGTCCCCCAAGTCTTAACTCATTTCAGCATTAACTCAAAAGTCCACAGTCTAAAGTCTCATCTGAGACAAGGCAAGTCCCTTCCACCTATGAGCCTGTAAAATTAAAAGCAAGTTAGTTACTTCCTAGATACAGTAGGGGTACAGGCATTGGGTAAATACAGCCATTCAGAATGGGAGAAATTGGCCACAACTAAGGGGCTACGGGGTTCATGCAAGTCCAAAATTCTGTGGGGCAGTCAAATTTTAGAGATCCAAAATGATCTCCTTTGAGATCCTCCTGGATGTCTCACATCCAGGTCATGCTAATTCAAGAAGTGGGTTTGCCCTTGTGGCTTTGCAGGGTACAGTCTCCCTCTTGGCTGCTTTCAAGGGCTGGTGTTGAGTGTCTGCAGCTTTGCCAGGTGCAGAGTGCAAGGTATCAGTGGATCTACCATTCTGGGGTCTGGAGTATGGTGCCCCTTTTCTCACAGCTCCACTAGCTCATGCCTCAGTAGGGACTCTGTATGGGGGCCCCTACCCCACATTTCCCTTCTGCACTGCCCTAGCAGAGATTATCTATGAGAACCCCATCCCTGCAGGGAACTTCTGCCTGGGTATCCAGGCATTTCCATACATCTTCTGAAATCTAGACAGAGGTTTCCAAACCTCAATTCTTGACTTCTGTGCACTCACAAGCTCAACACCACATGGGAAACTGCCAAAGGTTGAGGCTTGCACCCTCTGAAGCCACAGCCTGAGCTCTATGTTGGCCCCTTTCCACCACAGCTGGAGAAGCTGGGACGCAGGGCACCAAGTCCCTATGCTGCACACAACACGGGGACCCTGGGCCCCGCTCAGAAAGCTACTTTTTTCTCCTAGGCCTCTTGGCCTGTGATGGTACAGGCTGCCATGAAGACCTCTGACATACCCTAGAGACCTTTTCCCCATTGTCTTGTGGATTAATATTTGGCTCCTCCTTATGCAAATTTCTGCAGCCAGCTTGAATTTCTCCTCAGAAAATGGGTTTTTCTTTTCTATTGCATTGTCATGTGCAAATTTTCTGAACTCTTATTCTCTCCTTTCCTTATAAAACTGAATGCCTTTTACAGCACCCAAGTCACCTCTTGAATGCTATGTGGCTAAGAAATTTCTTCTACCAGATACCCTAAATCATCTCTCTCAAGTTCAAAGTTCCACAAATCCCCATGCAAGAGCAAAATGCCTCCAGTCTTTCTGCTACAATATAACAAGAGTCACTTTTGCTCCAGTTCCCAATAAGTTCCTCATCTCCATCTGAGACCACCTCAGCCTGGACCTTATTGTTCATAATACTATCAGCATTTTTGTTAAAGCCATTCAACAAGTCTCTAGGAAGTTCCAAACCTTCCCACATTTTCCTTTCTTCTTCTGAGCCCTCTAAACTGTTCCAACCGCTGCCTGTTACCCAGTTCCATAGTCACTTCCACATTTTTGGTTATGTTTTCAACAACACCTCACTTCTGGTACCAATTTACTGTATTAGTCTGTTTTTTTTTGTTTTTTGTTTTTGTATTTTTTTTTTTTACATTGTGCATAAACACATATCTGAGTCTGGGCAATTTACAAAAGAAGGAGATTTAATAAACTTACAGTTCCATATGGCTGTGGAGGTCTCACAATCATGTTGGAAGGCAATGAGGAGCAATTCACATTTTACGGGGATGGTCACAGGCAAAAAGAGAGAGAGCTTGTGCATGGAAGCTCCTGCTTTTTAAACCATCCCAGGTTTTGTGAGACTTATTCAGTATCATGAGAACAGCATGGGAAAGACCCACCCCCCATGATTTAATTACCTCCCGCCAGGTCCCTCCTACAACACGTAGGAATTATGGGAGCTACAAGATGAGATTTGGGTGGGGACACAGAGCCAAATCATATCAAGCAGTTACCCCCATGCTGCTGTTTTCATGATAGTGAGTGAGTTCCCATGAGATCCTACAGTGTTCTAGGGGGCTTTCTCCATTTTTTGCTCAGCATTTCTCCTTCCTGCCATCAAGTGAAGAAGGAAGTATTTGCTTCCTCTTTCACCATAGTTGTAAGATTCCTGAGGCCCCCCAGTCATGAGGAACTGTGAGTCAATTAAACCTTTTGTTTTTTTAATAAATTTCTCAGTCTCAGGCAGTACTTTATAGCAGTGTGAGAATGGACTAATACAGTAAACTGGTAGCAGGTAGTGGGTGCTGCTGTAAAGGTACACAAAGATGTGAAAGCATCATTGGAACTGGGTGACAGGCAGAGGTTGGAACAGTTTTGAGGGCTCAGAAGACAGAAAGAGTAGGAAAGTTTGGAACTTTCTAGAGACTTGTTAAATGGCTTTGACCAAAATACTGATACTGATATTGGCAATTAAGTCCAGGTTGAGGTGGTCTCAGAGGGAGATGAGTAACTTCTTGGGAACTGGAGTAAAGGTCACTCTTGATATGCACAGAGACTGGCAGCATTTTGCTCCTGCTCCAGAGATTTGTGGAACTTTGAACTTGAGAGACATAATTTATGGTATCTGGCAGAAGAAATTTCTAAGCAGCAAAGTGTTTGGGTGACTTGGGTGCAGTTAAAGCATTGAGTTTTATGTATTCACAAAAAAAAATAGTTTGGAATTGGAACTTAGGTTTAAAAGGAAAGCAAAGCATAAAAGTTTAAAAAATATGCCACCTGACAAAGGAAAAATCAATTTTCTGGGAAGAAATTCAAGCCAGTTGCATAAATTTGCACAAGTAATGAGGAACCGAATGTTAATCACCAAGACAAAGAAGAAAATATCTCCAGGGCACGTCAGAGACCTATGTGGCAGCCCCTCCCATCACAGGCTGGAGGCCTAACAGGAAAAAATGGTTTTGTATGCCAGGCCCTGTGCCTTGCTGCTTTGTGCAGTCTCAGGACTTGGTGCCCTGTGTCCCAGCAGTGGCTAAAAGGGGCCAAGGTACAGCTCAGGCCATGGCTTCAGAGGGTGCAAGTCCCATGCCTTGGCAGCTTTCATGTGGTGTTGAGCTTGTGGGTGGACAGCCTGTGGGTGCTGCCTAGATTTCACAGATTGTATGGAAAGAAACCTCAAGAATTGAGGTTTGGGAACCTCTGCCTAGATTTCACAGATTGTATGGAAATGCCTGACTGTCCAGGCAGAGGTGTGTTGCAGGGGTGGAGACCTCATGGGAAATTCTGTTAGGGTAGTGCAGAATAGAAATATGGGGTTGGAGCCCTCACACAGTGTTCCCACTGGGGCACTGCCTAGTGGAGCTGTGAGAAGGTGACCACAGTCCTCCAGACCTCAGAATGGTAGATTCACTGATAGCTTGCACCATGTTCCTGGAAAAGCCTGCAGACACTCAGTGGCGGCCCATGGAGGAAAGTGGGAGTGGGGCTGTACCCTGTAAAGCCACAGGGGTGGAGCTGCCCAAGGCTGCGGGAACCCCCCTCTTGCATCAGTGTGACCTGGATGTAAGACATGGAGTCAAAGTAGTTCATTTTGGAGCTAGCTTTAAGATTGGACTGCCCTGCTGGATTTTGGACCTGCATGGAGCCTATAGCCCCTTTATTTTAGCTACTTTCTCCCATTTGGAATGGCTGTATTTACCCAATGCTGGTATCCCCATTGTATCTAGGAAGTAGCTAACTTGCTTTTGACTTTACAGACTCATAGGCAGAAGGGACTTTTCTTGTCTCAGATGAGACTTTGGACTTAGACTTTTAGGTTAATGCTGAAATGAGTTAAGATTTTGGGGTACTGGTGGGAAGGCATGATTGATTTTGAAATGTGAAGACTTTAGATTTTGGAGGGTCCAAGGGTGAAATTATATGGTTTGGCCCAAATCTCATCTTGAGTTGTAGTTTCCATAATCCCCATGTGTCCTGGGACGGACCCAGTGGGAGGTAATTGAATCATGTGTTGTGATTACCTCCATGCTGCTGTTCTTGTTATAGTGAGTGAGTTACCGCAAGATCTGATGGTTTTATAAGGGGCTTTTCCTCATTTTACTTGGCACTTCTCCTTCCTGACATCATGTAAATAAGGACATGTTTGCTTCTCCTTCTGCCATAATTGTAAGTTTCCTGAGGTCTCCCCAGCCATGCAAATCTGTGATTAAATTAAACTTCTATCTTTGTAAATTACCCAGTTTCAGGCAGTCCTTTAATGCAATGTGAGAATGGACTAATACAAGGTAGTTTTCCAGGTTTATGAGTTTTGTTTTTTTTTTTTAAATAAGTTACGCAGCTATCTTCTTTACAGACTCCAAGACAGTAAAATTATAAAATATTTTTAACATATATAAATATACGTGGTATGAAGATTAAAAGGAAATTAATTTCCAAATTATCTTGTTGAAGTTAATATATTTTGGAGTTAAGATGAATATCTTATCCTAATGATTCCCCAACTAACCAGAAATTTAAATAGAATAACTTCAGGTTTCAATTACTAATATTATATTTGTAGATTATTGCGTAGTTGAAAAGACACTTTCATTTTGTCATGTATTCTCACCAATATCTTTCACAATAAATGAATTGATGGCGTCATCATTATCATCATCATCATCATCATTATCATTGTCATGACCATCATCTCCGTTAACAAAAGTATGGGGTAATCAATAAGAAATCATTAAAGATGCCATTGAGCTTAATAATAAAGGTGGTGTTATTAATACAAGGTATAGATAAGAAGGTTCAGAAAGAAACTGATGAGATTTTTATATTTTTCTCTTTTCTATCATTACATTTTTTTCTAATTCTCATTTGGCAATTATAAATTAGAACACCATTACAATTTTGTCTTCAGAATTCTGGGTTGCCCCATAAGTTGTTAAATATTTTTTGTGCTGTTTCAATCATAAAATTAAAAGCAATTCTAGAAATGAGCTACTGCTAATTTACATAAAGATTATTATAATTAAAATTGTAGTGGAGACTAAAAGTATGTTGTAGTTGTAGACTCTTCTGTAAGTAAAATAATATATGCAAATAACAATAAATAACAATACTGATAACTACATGTGTGCATTTCCATAATCATTTTTGATTTATAAAACTTTTACCAATACAAATTTAAATCCAAGATTTGCAAGTATATCCTATTCATTTCTTCTTTTTAAAAAAGGAAACACTATCTCTATACATAATTCTTAATTCATTTATTTTGTAATCAAGTCTTCATTTATTTTACAATAATTTAAAATGAAATTTTATTATACCAAACTTTATATTATAAATCATTTCATTATCACACCTTGCTTTTTCCAATCACACTTTTTAACTTCAGCATTCATTTAATCATTCAATCCAAAATGATTGAAGTAGCAGAAGATATACACTACGAGGCAGAGGAATAAAGACAAATGTCCACAAAACATCACTTTGCATCAACATGCTGAAACATGGATAGCTTCAAATGGAATCTGACAAAATTCCAAACATGTAATACATGTCTTAAAATGCATTTCCCTATGAGATGATATAATGAAAATACTTTTAAAAGTTGTGAGAATTAAATGAGATCCTTGGTTCAGTGAGCGTACCGGAATCTTGCTGGAATGCAAAGCCCTGGTATCCAACTGGAGTCATCTTGTAACTAAAGGGGTCATTCCCATACAGTAACTCAGGGAATTGCTCACTCAAACAGTAGATAATGGTATTTCCTGTTCTTTCTGTGAGTTGGAAGATTCTAAACAACTTCATTCTAAGAGTCTCACTGCTTTAGATGAGGCTGACGTGATTATTTCACTAAGGATTACACTATTTCTCTAGTGAGCGAAGCTCTCCTTTTTGTTTGAGAAAATATAGCAGAAGAGTCTGCCTTATACAGTTTTCTCTTGCAACACTGAAAAGGCTATTAGTATTTACTGTTTACTGAGTGAACATTGTTTAAATTTGCATTAGACAATCCATTTAAGAAACAACTAAATGCTGATGATTACAATGTCTGCATTACATTAAAACTGTTAATTTGTGGCAGTAATAATTTAGGATTTTAATTATAAGCCTGAAAAGCAGATTTAGAAATGCAGTTGGCACGACTAATGTTAATTTGTCCTTTAGCGTTTATTGAAAGCAATATATCCAATGTAATTATAGTGCATGTCAAATAACCTACTATTTTATTTTTTAAAAGTGTGATTCCTTAATTTGCTTGATTAAGATGACTTGCCATCTGTTAAAATTTTTGTTGTGTCGTTTTTGGTGGGTTTTACATTACTTATCAACAATAAGACTTTATAACTTTTTTTATTGATTCAGTGATCATTTTCCTAATGCTTATTCATGAAGTTCATCATCATTTTCTCTATGCTGATTACATCAAGGGTCATGTAATGTCTACTTCACTAAATGCTGCAAACGTTGTTGGGAATCAGATGTGCACTATCATAACAGACATGAAATCAATGCCAAGCATACAGTCCTGCGTTCTTTTTCGTTGAAACTAGTACAATCTACCAAGAAATTTTACCTCTATGATAAGATGACTGGTTCTAGCCATATTAGCCTTGTATAAATCTTTGAATGTTTTCATTTGTTCTTCATAATATTCTAAAAACATTAATGCAATGTGTATTCAACTTTATGAGAGTGCATTTTTAATATCTTTGGCTGGAGATTCAATAGAATCTATGGATATAATTGAACATTTATGGATATAATTGAGCTGAAAATCTCATTAAAACTTAAATATGTCTTTCATACTACTTGTATGAACCTTTCATTCTAATTTTTACTGATTAAATTTTATAACTGACAAGAGTATAAATATAGTCTCTTCTTCATTTCAACCACAATATGAACACATCCTAAGAAATTTAAAAGAATAAGCTTTAAAGAGTATCAAAGGCATTCATTTAATAAATATGAGCTTTCCAATTCTGTTTTCACTCACAAGGATTTTATTGATAGTAATTTTTATTAATAATTTCAGCGTCAAATAATTTTCATGGTTACACCTCCTACCTCACTCACAAAATAATCTTTGACTGTGGCATATTATTAATATTTTTACTTGAACTGGGATAATTTGTAAGTGTTTTACATTGTTTGCAGTGAATTTTAACAACACTTTATTAGTCAAGAGGGTCATACAATATTGGATAATCTATGGAAATATCATTTAAAACCAATAGCTATGATTTAGAACTGTTTAAATTCAACTTATATTTGGAGATAATTATTTTACAAAAATATTAACATGTTTTTGATAATTACATTATAAAAATTTAAAAAAGAACTTGGTACCAGGTAAACGAAATCCTTTTTTAAATCAAATTAGTTTATATTATAGAAGACAAGACTATCCAAATATGCTAGTAATTCTCAGTTTAGCTGTCATTCAAGTCACCCTTTTCAAAATGTGTTCTAGGAAATTTTGTTTTGGAGTTATCCTAGAAATATTGACAGTCTATTATTTACTATAAAACAATTATGCAACCATTTATGTAAAGTAATATGAGAACTTCTGTACATGACAAGACAACACTTAAATTGTTCTCAAAACAGCAGTGTCACATATGTCTCTTTCAAACACCTAAGAATAATCCTCTGTTTAGTTAGACTCATGTAGAACTAAGAGAATATTCACACCAGATTTTAAGATGTGCTGCTACTAACTGACTATAAGGAGAGAGCTTAGAGTTTACATGTTTTAAACTAGGTTTAGAATTTTTTCCTGAGGATTCAGGTAGGTTGATTAAATACAGCTAGACTTTACCTTTACTCAACGTGTATTTGACTGCACACACGTGCACATACGCACAGGCACAGATGTATTTTTCTTTTATTGGATTACTTAGGATTAGGATAATAATAACACTGATAATAATAATCATAGCAATCATTTGTCATATATAATACTCTTCCATGTCCTATAGAGGAGTTATGGTATTGGTTGATGCATGAATATTATTTTCAGTGATGGCAATAATCTTTCAAGATAGATAGTTATTATTAGCTCCATTTTAAAAATCAAGAATATAAAGCTTAAGGAGAGTATAGTATTTACCTGTATCAAAGTACTAGAGATCATGTCTGCTTAGTTTTAAATTCCACATTTTCTCTATTCCCATAGATTTTAGAGAAGTATGATAAACATATTCATAGTATGAGATTTTAACTAGTTCTCATGGGCATGCTTTCTGAGTTCAATGAGGATAATTTCAATCACTCATGTGAATATATAAAATAATAAATTATTGATCACAGACACAAAGATAAATTTTGTCATTTTTCTAAAAATAAAGAAATCACTATTTACAATCTATCTTTGTGTTCAATGCTATTGTAAAAACTAAAAACAAAAGCAAAAAACCCTCTAAGACAAAAATATTAAGACGCATAGTACTTCATCTCTTGAAACACAATTATGCACACTTTGAAAATGCCCATCTAGGTAAATTTAGGGTCCATGGTTTTAAAGTAGAAACTATACTCCCATTAACACACACACACACACACACCCTATGTAGAGTTTGATCTCATATCCCCAAAACAAAAGTTTTTATTGACTATTCTAAGTTCACTAAAGCATATTAGAATCCCTCTGCTATATTATTATTATAATAAATTATCCCTCGTTTGTATATAAATCCATTATGAGAAGGTGTTGTTGGTGATTAGGACACATTTGCTTTTAAAAAAACAAGACTATTAGAAGTTCTATTATATTCTCTCATGCAAATAACATTCAAAGTTTGGATGTTAAATAGAGGCATTTCCAGGCACAGATCAACTCTTCGAAAATTATTGTAGGAGGCACTTTAAAGGAAAAAAATATGTTTGGCACAGGAAATTACATTTAACTAAAAGCATTTTTTAAAATGGGCATTAACAAATTAGCCGGGAATGCATCATTCCCATCTTACGCTCTCAAGCACTTAATGCGGATAGACCTACAAATCACATTATCATCACTTTCCATACCTTCATCAAATGTCATAGCAACAGCTGCCCTAGTAGCTCTGAGTGTGCCTTAGGCTAAAGGAGACATCTGTTTGCTGACAACTTCAGATCAAATGACAAATGGGAGACAGAAATGTCTGTGCATGGTAAGGTCAGAGGCCTTACCTATTTGTTAGTTTCAGTTGTAATAGGGATTTTCTTCTTTTGATAGGCAGGGAAATGACTAACATACTATCAGTTAGTGATAATACTAATTCTTCTTCAATCAAAATTAAGTAGGGTTACAAAAGGAAGATTATTATTGTTTTGTGATTGACAGGTGTTAGTTGACACTTTTTTTTTTTTTGGTTTGTGTTGACATTCATCATACTTTAAAAGTAACCACAGATGTTTCTTTTAGTCTGATCAAAATGAAATTAGGGACTATAGGTTCCACTTCTTTTGAGCTCTAAAGAGAGTGGTCTTTTAACTTAAGGGTTACTTATTTAAAATATTAGTTTAGTTCTTTCGAACTAAGAAAAAAGTCTATTTACATTGTTTATAGTCACTGAATGTGAATGCCCATTTTTAAGTGAAAATAACTAATGTAAATAGCAAATAATTCCATATTTTAGTCACCTTTAATCCTTTTTTAAATTCAGGTGAGAGTTTGGTTTCTGTATGAAATCGCCTTGAAGAATATTGTGCTATTCCTCCTCATATTGTTTCCACCCAAAATGACAGAGACAGATACTGTGTGAAGGAAAAGTTCTCAATGCTCAAAGAAAGATGCCCGAAGCCTTTCCACAGAGTTTTGATTCTGTTAGGTTTTATCAAGCCTGCTTGAGATGCCATCCTTTTGTGAGAGAGTCTTGGTGATAAAGAAAGATGACATGGGTTCCTCATACAGACGTATTTTATCTCTGACAATTCCTGCGTTATTTTTGTAATATTTTTTGGTTAGTTTATGCTTCATTTTCACATGATTCTATGTTGTTTCTTTTAGTATTATTTTTTCTTAAGTCTAATGTAGTCAATATTATTGAATGATTTACTGGTCCTGTTAAATGATTCATTTTGAAATCTACAAATTCTAATGTTTTTATGAGCAGATTAACTTGTCAATTAGATATACATGTAAATTTAGCTTTTTACTTTTCTTTTTTATTTCAGTGTTTATCTGTTTATCCTGTTCATAAAACTGCTAATGTACAGGGAAAATGCCTAAGGCAAACAACTTTTTAAAATGCAGGGAAGAAAATTATTCCCTGTGTTTCTTCCTTTTCAGCTATTCTCTTGTGAAAAATTCTCATTTTTTTCACTTTTTGCTCGCTTTATTATTTTAAGTTTGTCTTGCTTTATATTTTATTCAATACATAACAAACTTACTTCTCAGTAAGAAGGTAATATTAAATTTTGGAGTTTAGTTCAAAATCAATCTGATGCAAAAATCTTTGATAGATTGACATTGCTTCATTTATTGCTTCATTTGGCATACATTTATTTAGTTTCTATATTTTCTTACTGCAATACTAGGATCTCAGGCTAGAAATATGAGTGGGAACTAAGTCTATCCTTCAGAATCTAAAAATCTAAGAATTAAATATTTGAACACTCTACATATATTTTGTGAGAGTGCAATAATATGAGAAACATAAAACAGTGGTCAAAGCAAATTTACTTTAGATGGTTTTTAAGAAGGAGTCATTTGTGCTCAACCTTGTTAAAGAATTTTATTTTTATGTTTATGAGTCACCTTACTCTCTTTCACTTTATATATTCTGTTTTAAAAATTACATTAAAGTATTCGAAGTACTTTTGTTTTCTTACCTCTCTGTTTGGATGTCCTACGTTTCTTTGATCATTTTCTCAACAACAACAAATTAATATAGAATTAGGTGCTATATCTAGACACAGTCATTAAAATCCCTCAAATGTGAAGCATGGGATAAAATATAAAAGGCCAGAGGCTTACTGACTAATTGAAAATATAGTAAAATCCTTAACTTCTTTTAATTGAAAACAAGACTTTCTTAAGTCTACCTGTAATTTACCAGTCTATTTTAAAAGCCACATTAAGTTATTTTTAGTTTTTTAATGTGTAGTAAACTAAGACATTATATTTTTTTCACATGAAATGCCTATGCTGTTCTAGTAGTTAGCTTTTGAATAAATTTCAGAATTTAACATTATCTTAAATATATTTCCATGTTATTAATTTCAGCACATTATGAAATAATTTAATGAGAAATATGATATGAAGTACCTAAGTTATCAACTCATAAACTTTACAAGATGTATTTAAATAAATTGATGAAATATATTCTGTAGGATATAAGATCTAATTACAAGAAGATATGAACTACATTTCAGATAAAAAGATTATACTGTCTCCAAGTTATCCATATATTTAGTAAATTCACAACTAAAATAAATTGTAAATGTAAAATAAATTTCTGATAAAAGATTTAAATACTTCTAAAAGAGAAAAGTTAAAAACAAAGAAATGATGAAGATCATTTTTCTCTCAGATATGGACACTACCATGCAATTATAGTAACTGATGTAGTATGGCAGTCATTCAGTACTATACAAATTTAGGATTAAAAGAGGCTTGTATTTTAGAAACAGTTGATTTTCTATGCAAAGGATGCATTTTAAAGCAATGCAATAATATTTTGTTTAGTAATTCATGATGGGATGATTGACTGCTCTTTTGAAAGAACTGAAAATAGATCTTACTAGCGCAGAATGTAAGAGCAAAAACTGTGGAGCCAAACTTCCTAAGTTCTGATTCCACATCTTCCAATTACTGGTCAAATTGAGACTTTTATTTATGACAGAAACTTGCAAAAACATTAATTCATTGACATTCATAAGGCCACAGTCAAGTCTAGCCTCTTGGAGTTAAAATATCTCGTTTCCAGGTTGCTTATGCATGATCTATGAGTCCCAAGGCAGGAAGCAAGAAGAATAATGCACGAAATTGAAGCAACATGCTGTCAAGTTGTACCTGAATGAAGCATAATGTGGTTGTTTCAGCAGTGGATGGAGAGACAGTTGAGACCAAGAAGATTTGAAACGGCATACATGAAGTATATGATACAATATTCAGTATTCATTCAAACCAAGAATGGCAAAAAGAAAGATACACAGAACAACAATTGAAACAAAATAGTAAAATGGCAGTAAATGATTAGATAGTAAATTTAAACTGCGATGTATCAGTAATTGTATTCTTGCAGATGGACTAAATGCCGTAATGAACAGTGTACATTGTCAGACTAAATAAAAACAAGACAAACAACAATAACCTCTCCACTTAAAAGAGACACATCTTCAATATGAGAATACAGAGTGTGTTGAATCACAAGAACTGAAAAATTTTAACATACAAATAAAGTGTTATATCTATAATAAATTAGAACAAGTATAATTTAGGGCAAAAGCCATTATTGGTAATATAGGCGTATTTTATAATGGTAATATGTCAACTTGACAGGAATATATAACTATGTAAATGGCATGTACGTAGTAATATAGACTCAAATTAAATAATGCACAAAATAAAATGATTGCAAAGAGAAATAGACAAGTCTATATTTACAGTGAGGCATTTTAACCCACCAACTCAGTAAATGTTTATTTAATCCAGTTAAAAATCCTAAGGTCATCAGACATTTGAATGATACTGTTAAAACACTGGAACTAAATGACATAAACAGATTATTTTATCCTACTCAGAGATAGGCAGTTTTCAAGATGATCTGGATCATTTTATAAAATTGACTACATTCTGGTCCCTCCAGAAAATCTTACCCTAGAGGGAAGAAGGAGAGGTAGAGACTTCCTTCTCTGGAATCATTAGTAGCATTTAAATCTCTTCTTTCCATTTTCGAGTGGCCCATGTCATCTTTAAACACATCTTTATGACTTTTTCAGGGGTTGTCGCCTACAAAAAATCTTGATACTTTATCTATTTGCAATGAGAAATATATATTTGCAAATATTAATTGGAATCAAATGGAAAACATTTAAATAATTCATTAAGCCTATTAATACAAATAGAAATGCGGATAAAAAATCTCCATTTGAAACAATCTTTACATTATTTAAAACAATTGATGTTTGTCAATAAATAGAAGCCCTTTGCTAGCTGATTATCTCCTCACAAGGGATTTTCATATCTTCACAAAGATAGAAATGGACATTTTTATTTTTCAGAATCATAATTTTAAAAGTGTAGTTATACATATAGAGATGAGAAATGTAAACTCCTGAAACTTACATGTTTTTTAAAAACTAAATGAGTATAAGCAAAAGATGGAATGCATTATGATAATATTGTAAACTAAAAAATTACTATATTTTAATCTTCAGTAAATATTTTCAGAGTAGAAATTACTCCAAAATGGCGCACACTACATCTGTACTCTCCCTGTTTGAGAAGATGTTTATTCATTGATATACCATAGATATTTTCTTTGATTTAAAAAAAATTAGAAATGTAAAATTTTAGAACAAAAGCAAGAGAGGCATTTTCCTCTCTTTCTGTTTTATTTGCATAAGGTCTAAATCTCTAATAGCAGCAAATACTTGATCCCTTTTCTCCCTCTTCTGAGTTACCCATCTTGGTTTGGCATTGAAAGGATGCATATCTGACTTCATATTTTGATTCTGGAGCAAGGTCCTTAAATAGTTAACAACAAATTTGGTATCAAATATCATTACTTTTTAGTGTAAGTATGTATTTTAAAATTTTACACAGAGTGGTGTTACATATAATTAACTTATTTCTGTGAATACTTTCTATATTACCTCTAATCAAACAAAACAAGTCTTCCTGTTCTAGTTTAGGATGTCACCTCACCTTTGCCAATTACAAAAATATCTGTAGTAGCACAAAAACTACAATGCAAATCACTAGCACCCTTCAAAATAGTAAATAAAGTAAAATCAATATCAGATTTCTAGATCATTTTCTTCTAACTATAATGCTTGCAAGGCTGTATGAATACAAAGAAAGAACAGGAACTTCCTCATAAATCAAGGAGATTGTGCACCCCACTTCCACTCTCAACTTCCGGCTCAGCACAGTAACATTATCTGGGTTTTGGAGCAAACTTAAATTATTCCAAAAACTTTGTAGTTCTTCCACTGTGGCTATTGTTTACTAAGTACAATTTCCAAAACTAAAGTCACAATTTCCTAAATGCATACATGCAGACAGACGCAAAGTCATTTACCTAACTTAAAACAAACAATAAAATGAATGGGAAACACATCATTAGGTAAATAAAATAGGATTTTTTTTTTAAGTTGCAAGACAACATTTTGAGAATAAATCAAAGAAAATAGTAATAGAAATCCAAGAGCACGGAAAAACAAAATAATAGAAATACAAAAATAAAATTTAAAAGGAACATGCCTGGAATACACAATTAAGGAAATAATACAGACAGTACAATAAAGATACAAACAAGATGAAATGAAATAAGAAAGAAATGATTCGATTACTAAAGAATCAGTATAATAGAACCAAATAGAGCTCGAATTGTAGTTCCTCAAAAAAATTAATAAATAAAAAGAGAGAGAAAATTTAGATGAAATAATCAAAACTGTAAGTCCAGGAAATTTCTTGAAACTGAAAAATAAAAACATGAGTTTTCTAACTGTTAGGGTCACCTACTTTCCAAGCAGTGAAGGAAAATTAGAACTGCAATAAGGAACACTTTTTCAAATTTTGGTTTACCAGGAACTGGAAGATAATCTTAAAGACTTCCAAGGAACTCATTAACGTAACTATCAATGTCTTAATACTGGAAACTAGAGAGGATTGAAGAAATACGTTCAAAAGAAAAGGTATTACTGTAGAGAAAAGAAATTCCCAACCATAGTTCTATATTTAACCAATTCAGTAGGAGCCTAAAATAAAGGCAATTTCATACATGGTACTTTCTCAAAATCATTACCTTTATTTTTGACATAATCTCCGTAAAAAAAAAAAAAAAACAAAAACAAAACATGAAACAGGAAGACAGGAAAGATCCATTTGACAGAGTACTTGACACAGGAGAGAGAAGAAATACTCATGTATCTGAAAGTATTCAAAGGGGGAGTGTTAGGAGATGAATTAATTTAAAAAATGAGTAAGAGTAAAATAGTTTAAAGTTAGACCCTGAGGAACTCCAGGGAAGACAAAGTAACACAAGGAACAAGCAATGTTAGCCACTGCCTAACTTTCCTCAGGGTCATGTGTGCCTCGCCATAATTATGTAAACACTTACATTGTTAAAACGAAATTCGGAGAACTAGTTTGAGTAAAGGGGAAAAGAAAGTATGTTATTCATGTCGGAGTTGGAAATATGTGATAGGTTGAAATTCTCAATTTCCTAATTGGAAATCATTAAGTCATACTGAAACCTGAAAATTCAAGAACTGACAACACAATTGATGTTGAGATATGGAATTTGGTACCTGATGAAAGATTAGAAAATTATTAAAAGCAATTTCTTCTGGGTGGTGCTACAAGATGGAAGAAGAAAGGACAGAAAGCTCTTCATAATCAGGTAGACGCTTTGACTTTTTAAGTGGTATGCCTATATGCCTTTAAAAAACAACTCAATTTAAAAGAAAATTAAGAGATGCTAACAGCCGATTTAAAGAAAATTTAGTAAAATATTCAATTGTATAAAGATACACAAAATATTGGTTATCTACATGATAGCAAAGATGAATTAAGGGATGGGGATAAAACTCTTCTCAATAACACCAAAATTAAAATAAAACATAATTCATATATTTAGAAATATCATTACAGAAATATGTTGAACTTGTATTAACAGCCTCTCCTCAAAGGTAGCATGGAGAATCATGCAAACTTAATTTGGAGATACAAAAAAAATTGAGAATGTGTAGTGTTGTTCTTTAATTCTAACTGTAATGGCTGAATAATATTTTGATCATGATTGTGATACTATAGCTTTCATTGCTACAGAGAAATCATACATACACCACACAAAAATAAGAAACTGAAAATAATTTTAACAGCGAACCACAATTATGAGTGAACACTTATAGCTGGAAACATAATAGATTTTTTTTTTCAGTTAACACTCCCTTATATTTGATCAATTCTGTAATTTTTTGTGTAAGATATTGTAAATCATGGGAAAATTAAACCAGTTTTTATTACAGCAATTTGTTCTGATCTGCTGTTTTTTCCATTGTGTTGGTATCAACTATGCAATTAGAGATAAGCTTCAGACAGTTTTTATTTCTCTTTCATAAATTAAAAAATTACCCTAGTATAAAGAGTGTCTCGATTTAATGAACAAGAATAAGCAAGAGTACATCTTTAATACAAACCAGTAGGAAAGAATGCTGGAAGTTTTAGCTAAAGAAATAATTTAAAATACAGTTGTCATCAAAATGCCATTGCCTCAGTTTGATTCACAGTCTCTTATTGATTTGAAAAAACTGTTTATTTTTTCATTTGCTTTCCTCTTGGGGATTCTATGTGCATATTCATAATTTTTACAGTCAATGGCCAGAAAAATTATGACATTTCTTTGTGTGAGGTGGAAGTATAAGCTATTTACTGATTTGTTGCTTCTTACCTCTGCATTCATTTCTTAATATGTGGATTGCTTGATCCATTTGAAATTACTTTCCATATATATGATTTCTATTACCCAGCATAATGTGGCCATCACAAAATGTCATTTCAGATGATAGAGTCATGAGTTGGTTACTGAAATAAATATACGTGCACTTATGAAGGACATAAATAATGGATTTTCCAATACAAATTTGAATGCTAGCAGTAGAATCCTCAGACATTTTTATTTGTAGCCTTTCTTTTATTGTGTTCTAGAAGGTAAATACACCAAAAAATGTTTAGCACACTACAGATATCAGTCTTAAAATATCATCTAAATTGAGCCATTCTAACATCAAACAAATCACATAACAAAATGGATCATTTTTCAAATATGCTTTACTGTTTCTCCTTCCCTGGCCATTTGATTTGATTCATTTTGACAGTTATCGATTAGCTACTGTATATAAGGCATCATATTAAGGACTATATGGGGTATCCATAGATCAACTAGGCCCAGTCTGTGGCTTCTAATAGCTAATAGCACAGTAGGGAACACCTATGAATACGAACATAACCACAATAAGAAAGGTTTAGGTTAAGTGTGGCGAAGAACTACAAAATACAATGAGAAAACAGTAAAAAGATCAATTCATACCAGAGGATATGGGTAAGCTTTTGCAGTTATGGTTGGGGCTGGAGTCTTTCAAAATTTGTAAGATGTTATAAAAATTTGGAGTTGGTGATACCAGATGTTCAAGCAAATGGAGAGTAAAAAACTAGTCATGGAGATTGGTATTTTTTGGAGAGTTATAAGAAAATAAAGTGTCTAATGCAGTGGCCACTAGCCACACATGGATATCGAGCACTTGAAATATAGGATGGGTACCATGCTGAAATGATACTACTCAGAATATAATAAGGTAAATAAAATACAGAAAATTTGAAAGTACATATATTTGAATTCTGGGACTGCCACTTAAGAGCACTATGGACTTCATAACTCATTTAAGCTGTATAAACTTGATTTATTTCTTCCATAGAATGGGGATAGTTATCCCAACATGAAATAGTTGGTGAAAGAATGAGATACTTTTATTCTTTTTCACTTGTAAAATAGACTGCATGTGAAGTATTGAACGCAGTAATAGGACCATGGAAAACATTCAATCAACAGAAGCTAGTATTGTAATCACTTTAAAGGTAAGTGACTTGCCCAAGGCAAGAGCTGATGAATTGACAAAGCCAAGAAACTCTAATGGCGGTCATCATTGGACCTCAGGTACATTCTTTTAGGCAGAGCACCTCCTGAATTTTCTCAGTATGTCCAACAGTTTCTGAAATAATGAAACATTGGCCTTGCCCATTCCATACATACTTTTTTCCTTTCTTTTTTTTTTGAGATGGATTCTCACTCAGTCTGTCTCCCAGGATGGAGTGCAGTGGAGTGATCTCGGCTCATTGCAACCTTCACTTCCCGGGTTCAAGCAATTCTCCTGCCTCAGTTTCCCCAGTAGCTGAGATTACAGCCATGCACCACCACACCTGGCTAATTATTTTTTTTATTTTTTTAATTTTTTTTTTTTTTTGTGGAGACGGGGTTTCACCGTGTTGACGAGGCTGGTCCCAAACTCCTAACCTCAAGTAATCCTCCTGCCTCAGCCTCCCAAACTGCTGGGATTACAGGCGTGAGTCACCGCACTGCACCTGGCCCATTTCCGTACTTTAATCTGTCCTTTCTCGGGTACATCACCTAGATGCCTGATTTCATGATGGTAATACCTCAGTGTTAAGAACTGGTTAAAATTTGGGTGGGGTGGAGGTGGAGGAAATGCAGTCTTTCACATACAAGACTTCTGGACCCTTCTACTCTGAAATTGTTCTATCATAAACTCGGCATTGCTGCTAAGGATGAGACATGACAATTAGATTTGTTATGGTTAAAAAAAAAGTAAAAAATACTGCCTATTGCCTTCATGAACAATGTATGGAAACCTGTAGAAGTTCCATGCAAAAGATTATGGCAACCCACTTTTAGCATCTAGTTTAGAAAAGTATGTAGTTTATAAGCTATTGCTTCCATTTATATCCTACATTAAATGACCCTTAGCACAATATATCAAGATTTATGCATGTACGTATATATTGAAATGATAAAGTTATTTTTGTACTTTTCAATTAAAATTCCACATTTTAATAAAATTGTATCATAACTGTGGAGGTGACAGAGGGAAATTCTGCATACCTATCAACCATTAGATCATTTGCCCTATTTTCCTTTTTAATATTTTTTTCCACAACAAACGTTTTAGTAGCAATGCCTGTCTTATTTGGGACAAAATGCGCAACCAATACCAAAGATTGCTGACTATTCCTAGACAGTTTTAGTTTATCAATATGGTATAATTAAACCTCATTTCCCCAAATCAAATATTAATATTGTAGATGGTTTTTATTCAATAGCCTTTTTTTCCTTCTTGAGTGATATACTTCTTCGAAAGTAACCTCTAAGTACCTGTAATGAGGGGGACATGTTGAGCTGCAAAGATTATGTAACTATTGAATGGAAGTGATAATATGCTCTTAATAATCCCATTAATCGAGGCAAAGTATACTAAGCCTGAAACTATTCATCTAAAATGCTCACAGGCTGAGGATGCAGGATTCCTTCTAGCCTGGCAGATGCATTTTCTTTCTACTAGCGAGCAGGTAAATTGAGTTGCACAGGGCGAACCATGGGAAGTGGGATCTGATGCTTCCATTTCTCCCCAGAAGCCTGCGTGCATTATTTCAGAAATCTGCCTCTGGATGTCATGATTGAAGGAGAGCTGCTGTGCGCTGTTTACTGGGGCTTTGGACTCTGGCTAATAAACTCTTCCAAATCTTCCTAGCTGACAATGCTCTTCTCATTTGCCCTGTCATGAGGTAGCTACCTCATGAGAAAATTTTAAAGTGCCTCAAGCAAGCAGGTAGCAAGTGGCTGCTCAAGATTAATTTCCATTGGCAAGCCCTCTGCTGCAGCATGAGTCTGAATACCAATAATGCAGGATTAAAGAACAAAAGCAAGCAAAGAAAAGCTCATCCCAGAGGTGAGAGAAAGGTGAATTGTGCAAATATGGACATCGAAGTTATTCAGACACATATGGTTTCCATGTCGTGAGACCTTAAAGCACTCTCAGAAACTCCAAGAAAGCTGTTGATTGGTCAGATTTCTCACTTTTGTCCCCTCAAAACAAGATTGTCCTGAACTTATAGGAAATATACTCAAAAGTAGTATGATTTAAGGAAGTCTTCCAAATACCTGCCTCGTTTACAGATAATCAATGGAATTCCAAAAGATTTTATGTGTTTTAAGCCCTAAAAATGCAAATATCCAGGAAAGGGCTAGCACTAAACAGAGCTGGCATGTATGCCTCAGTGCAGGTGTATATCTCAGTGTCTCCTGAAGCCAGGGCCTTAGAGGATTGTGGAAATAGGTACACTGACAGCAGGGACTGGAAGCCACAGTCTGGAGAGCAAAGAGCAGAATCCATACTTACACCTCAAGATGAGCAGAACAGAACATAACCATTTTGCTATGAGCTCATCTCCACCTTCTTCACCAAACTGCATCCCTGTTACTTCTCCACTAACCTCAGGACATACCAATTCTTCTAAAATGCTCAGCTCTCTCAAGCTTCTGTGTCTCTCCAAATAATGCTGTTTCCCTTCCCTGCATTTCTTCCTTCTCCACCGTATTTGACTTGACTAACTAATATCTAGCAGAGCTGTCAACCAGTTCTAGTCAGTTTTTGCTGCTGTAACAGAATACCACAGACTGGGTCATTAATAAAGAAGAAGAATTCATTTCTCATAGTTGTGGAGGCTAGAAAGTCCGAGATGAAGGCGCCAGCAAATTTGGTGTGTGGTAGGGGTTGCGCTCTGCTTCCAAGATGACGCTTTGATGCTGCATTTTCAAGATGGGAAGAATGCTGTGTCCTTGCATGGCAGAAAAGAGTGGAAGAGAACAAGCCACTCCTTCAAGAATTTTTTATAGCAGCATTAATTTATTCATGAGGGTGGAGCCCTTATGATCTCAGCTGCCATGGGTCCCCACCTCCCAACACTTGCACTTGGGATTAAGTTTCTAACACATGAATTTTAGGGAACACATTCAGACTGTAGCACAACCCCTCCAGGAAAACCTTTCTGACCTCTGCTACCACTGACTCTAGACTAGGCTTGGTATCTATCCTTGCTTCCCGGCATCATGTACATATCACCATTATAGAATTGACCACTATGTCAGAAATGTCCTTCATCACATGGCTGTCTCTGCTTAGACACTGCCTCCTCCTAAAGATTAAACACTCATGTTCAAAAGTCTTTCTTCATGTCAGAGCACAGCACCACAGATATAGTAAACGTTCAGAAAACACGTAGTGAAAGGAAGAACTTTAACGCTGAAAATGCTCTTTCCTAGTAACCTCTAATCATGCATTTGAATAAAATCAACATGTATATAGATATATACACACATATACATATATATATATATTTGTTGAACATTTACCAGTTTAAACAGTGTATTAGTTTCTAAGCATTGTTCTTAACAAAATGGTAACACGTGTTTTCTGTCAAGTAAAGACTACAAATGAAATGGTTGATATCAGAATGACGCACATATGTAGAGAACAAATCAACATGTGTACCCCGACATCCAAAACAATCACAAAATAGCTTTTTGTGTAGGAATGTATGAATCGCACGATGTCAGTCCTTAAATGGCACTGCATTGGCAGGGAAATGTCATGACATACATGTTGCGTGACGAAGGAAAAAAGCTATGAGCTCAAGTTTAGGTCTCTGATTTTAGTTCTTCACAAATCTACTCACCTTCTGTTTCTAATTTGCTTTAGCTCGTCTCTTTATTCAGTTTTCATTTGAGCTACTCTTCTCTCAATACAGATCCATATGGTGCTCCCTCTAAGAAAGCCTTGGTAACTTAGAGCAGCCAAGTGGCTTCCCTCCCAGACTCTGTAGTCCACTCAACGGCTCGTGCATTCTCACCAGATGCTGACTCTCAGCTTTAAGAGGGTTGCTGAGAGGCATATTCGTCAACGATTGCCTTATGCAACAACTGGCCATCTGTCTTGCCATTGCTCTAAGAGGCTAGAGATTCAGTTTCCAGACATTTCAGATTCACAACATGCACTTTCAATAAATGTTTCAAAGATGTTTAGATTAACAACATTCTGCCAAATGATGTTTACTAAAGTTATTTTGAGATTTAGTAACAAAATCACAAAACAAAGGAAAAAACATTGATGCTGTCATTCATGCATACATGTAGCAAATTTATATCTATGAGTTCTTCATATGGACAGCACACAATATATGTTTACAAATATGGACACAAAATCAGCATACGTATGACTACTACTGGCTATCTGGTTCGATATAGAAGGTTTTGGTGTAAAACAATATTTTTCCACTTGTATGTAAGAATTTTTTAAAGTTACAAGATATGGCCTTAGACATATTTTGAAAGAAGCAGTGTGTATATTGTTTGGAAACACATTAAAATATAAACTAACTCTAAGGGTGCAGGGGGCCACCATGGTACATGTATGCCTCTGTGGCAAACCTGCACTTTCTGCCCACGTATTCCAGAACTTAACGTGAAATAATAATAATAATAAAATCACATTTAATGAAGCACTGCAATTCTTCCAGTCAGGAGTTTGAAATAGACAGAATCATGGTTTGAAATGACTAAGATGGTGAAAATGGGCATAGAACTTATCTCTATTAGGTGCTTCTATGCAAATATGACTTAAGTACCATTTTGCTCACTTTATGGATGAGAAAATTGAAGTGTATAATTAGAAAATCACCTGACTAAAGTCATAAACTTATCAAGGAAGTAATAGGCTCTGAAATAGAACTGATACAAATCCCAAAGTTGTTTTTTTTAAAGAAAAAAAAAGGCTTTATTTAGAATATTGGATATCCAGTCAACTGCAAATATTTAAAGTGTAAAATTTGATGTTTGGTATTAGTAAACATTTGTAAAACCATGACCAAAATTAGGAGTGGAATGATTGCTCCCCAAACTTTGTCATAATCTTTTTAACTGTTTTGTCCCACTCCCTCACTACCATACTTCGTCTCCAGGCAACTACTCAACTACTTTCTGCCCCTAAACTCTAACGCGTGTTTCCTAGGATTTAATATAAATGGACTCACACATCAATTGCACTTTCTTGCCTAACATATTTCACTGGCATTCTTAATTTGAGAATCATCTATGCTGTAGTATTTATGAATTGTTTATTCTTTTTATATTGCTGTGTAATATTCTATTGTATAGCTATTCCAAGTTTGTTTATTCATCCTCCTGATGGACATTTGAGTGATTTACAGTTTTTGGCTATTACAAATAAAGGTTTTGCAAACATGGGTTTATTTGGATTTGTGCAGACATATTCTTATTTTTGTCTTCCCGAATTATCCAGGGGTGGAGTTGATATAATGGTAGGCAAATGTTTACATTTTCATAAACTGCCAAACTCTTTTCCAAAGTGATTGTATCATTTCACATTTTTTTCAGCTCTATGTGAGTGTTCCTGTTCCTTGAAATTCTCACCAACACTCAGAATGACCAGTTTCTAAAAGTTAGTCATTATAGGAGGTGTCTATTTGTATTATGTTGCAGTTATAATGTGCATTTTTCTAACATCCAATAGTGGTAAGAATCTTTCCATGTGCTTATTTGCCATCATTATTTTTTTCTGTGAAATAACTATTCAAACTTTTGCTCACTTATTTTAATATTATTGAATTTTAAAAATGCTTTATATAACTTGGATATAAGTCATTTTCGAATATGTGATTTGCAACCTGCTATAGTGGCTTCCCACAAATTTTTACATGTTGTGTTATCATTTTGATTAAGCTCCAAATTCTTTAAAATTTCCCCTATAGTTTCTTTATTGTTCCATAGGCTATTTAGAAGTGTGTTATTTATCGAGATTTTCAAGGGATCTTTCTGTTTGATCATCATTTAATTCCACTGTGGTTGGAAACATGCTTTGTATGACTTGAAACTTTTTAAACATTTGATGTGCCTTAGTAAATGTTCCATGTACAATAAAGATTGTATATTTTCTACTGTTGTTTGATAAGATTGTTCTAAAATATCACTTTAGTGAAATTGGTTGATAATCTTATTCAAATCTTCTGTATCCCTACTGGTTTTCTGTCATTCTATAAATTATTTACAGTGGGATATGAAAATATTTAACTATAATTGCAGATTTGTTTCTGCCTCCTGGCAGTTCCATCCATTTATACTTTATGTATTTTGAAGTTCTGTTATTAGATGCATAAAGTTTAAAACTGTTATGTCCTCTTGATTAATTGTGACCTTTATCATTATAAAATGACTTGCTTTACCATGATGATATTTTTCATTCATTCTCAAAACTGTTTTATGTGATATTAATATAGCCACTCCCGTTTTCTTTTGACTAGTGTTAGCATCATATATCTTTTTACGTCTGCTTACTTTTCAGCTATTTTTCCATTCATGTTAAAAGTGACTTTCTCATAGGAAGCTTATAATAGGGTCATAATTTGCTTCCAATCCAACAATTTCTTGCTTTTGCTAAAGGTCTTTAGACAATTATCATGTAATGTGATCATCAATATGGTTCACCGTAGGTCCATCATTTGTTCTCTATGTGTCTGCCTTCTTTTTTTTTTCTTTCTATTTTTCTGCCTTATTTTAAACTATTTCTTATGATGCAATTTTATGTTCTTTATTGGATTTTAGCTATACCTCTTTGTTCTGTGATTTTAGTGGCTGTTTTAGGGTTTATAGTGCACATTTTTAAGCTATCACAACTTACCTTCAGGTGATATGCCACTTCATGTTTAGCACACGTTTGTTCATCTCTAGAATATTCTATGTCTCATCTCCTGAAATGTGTACTATTATAGTTACATATTATCTTCTATCTATTTCATAAATGCCACATTACCTTGCAATTACTTTTGTTAATATAGTAAACTTCCTTGTAAAGAAATTTACATTTTAAAAAATCTTAGGTATTTACCCAAGTAGCTATTCCCTTGGTCCCTGATGAGGTTGAGATGACTGAATCATCTGCCTCAAGGAAAATATTTAAGGGTATAGCAGGAAAACTCAAAGATGAACAATATTTAATGTCATATTTAATATTAAAATTAATGCAAAATATCCATGATGAACCCAATGTCACCCCTTAAAATAAAATTGGGATGTGACCGTGCATGGCCAGGGCCCTGAGACTCAGGCCATGGGGAGGCACAACAAACAAACACAGCTCTCACTTGCAGCTCTGCAGACAACGCTTGCTCTGTCATTTGGGAAGATGACAAGTTGTTTCTGCTATTTACAGAGGCAATTCATAGCAGGGACTGGTAAAGAAAAGGTTTATTTCTTAACAAATACATTATGTATATTATTTAAACTATAAGAGAACTTTGAGTAATTCAAATTTTATACATTTTTTTTTAAATTTATCATTCATGAGATTTAATAAAATATCAAATTTTTTCTGAAAAAATATTTTTAAACAGCAAAATAAGCTTATCAGGAATACGCATGTTTATTGACCTAAGACTGTCATAAATAGCTGGCTGTTATTCACTTCTTTATATTTAAAAACATATTTTTCACTTTTTTTTAAATGAAATATGCTTGGAAACACAGTGCATACTTTCATGTCATTTTTAATGACATATTTTATAGTTTAATGTAAATTTTATGTATGCCTACTTGTTATGTATTATAATTTATATGAAATAAGTTAATTGTTATAAATTAATTAAATATTTATTGTATGGTATTTTTACATTAATTAAATATGCATCGTTAAAGTGTATATATTTTAAGTTTAACCGAAGTTTGTAGACAACAATAGCGTCTAAAAAGCCAAGTAGTTCAATGTTTGTAGAAAGAAGGAATATGGGTATAAAAATGCATCTGAATTATAGAGATAATTAAAATGCTTGGCCAGAAAAACACAGTATCTCAGCATTTTGATGAAACTGATCTTAACATAAATGAGTCGCTAGGATTGATCTTATTAAAACAAAATAATCAAATTCAGAGTTAACTAAACAATTTTGAGTTCCAATAAAAAAATCAATAAAGTAGAAATCAGAAATTTTAGAAACCAATAAATATATAGATGATGAAGAATATAAGAAGCTGCAGTTTGAAATGTTAGTAGTACACTAAGATGGCCACCAATTACTTGTTTAAAATTAAACATTGTAATAGAACATGGGCATGTACAAGAAAAATATACAATTTCATAAAAAATATTTCATATAATATCTGAATATTTTTAAAAGGCCATTCAGAGAAATGATCTAATCGTGAGTTGATTCATGGGAACAGGCTTATTTATTCCACAGAAGGCTTGTCTTTGTTTGTTTTCTGTAAACACTTTCTTGCCTACATAAAACAGAATAAAATATTTGCAAGTTAAAAAAAGGAGGAAATTTTAAATGTTGGAAAAAATTTAAAGAGAATTTGTGTCTATTTGAATTCATAATTCATTTTCATACTTTTATAAAATGTTTTTAGAAACATTTTGCTTGCTGGAAATTTATGATTGGGTGCCAAATATTGTAAATTGTATATTGTCAGGTGCTGCATATTTTGTATTCTTATAAATATTTTTAGTCTTTGTTTTGGGACACAGCTAAGCTACGAATAAACAGTTTTATCTGTTTGGTTCTTGTTTTGAAATTATTTAAGTAGGATTAGTGCAGTATTATAAGACTAAGTAGAGCCCGCTATGGAGGCAAACTCCTCTATGCACTTTCCCCAGTTCCCATAAACCATGAGGTTTTCCAGTCTACCTGGAGGGAACAGGGACTATCCTGTGCCCAATGTGAATGATAGGCACCTTTCTTTCTAATCATTTTGGGTGGTTCTTTTACTCCTCATAGCATGTGTTTATTCGCTCTCAGATACACAAAGGGGATTTCTGTAGATCTCTAGGCTCACTCCTCACAGCTCTCTCCTGCCCAGTACTCCATTCTGTGAACTCTAGTCACCTTGGCTTCTGACTCTCAGCTCCATCTCCTCCACTCAGGGAGTTTGCTGGACTGCTTCTTGGCTCAGTTCCTCTAAGTCATGGCCTGGAGACTATCAAGGCTATAAGCTAGAGTTATTGTAGAACTCACCTTATTTGTATTCTACCTCTTGGGGATCATTGTTCTTCACTGCTTGAAGCTCAGGGTCTTGAAAAGTGTTCTGCATGTGTGCCATCTGTTTTGGGTGTTGTTCATATTTCAAATGTAAGGGTAAATCCAGTTCCTTTTCCTCCATCTTAGTTGTAAGTGGAACCCTAAGCTAAATATTATTTCTATAAAATATTAAAACAATAACTACAACAAAAGAAATGGTATTAATAAACTGCACCAAAAATTGTATTAGCTACTACTGGGTGGTGTCATTAAAGATTGGGGGAGGCAGAATTTTCTTTTATATTGTATGTTACATTGTATTTTTTTCCTTTGAAAATCACATGCAATTAAACAGACACATAGATCAATAGAACAGAATAGAGAACCCTGAAATGAATCCACATATATACAGCCAACTGATTTTTGACAAAGATATCAGGAACATTCATTAGGGGAAGGACAGTCTCCTCAATAAATGGAAAACTGGGTATCCTTAAGCAGAAGAATAAAACTAGATCCTTCTATTTCACCATACACACAAAAAAAAACCTCAAAATGAATTATAGACTTAAATCTGAAACCCAAAACTATAAAACTACTGGAAGAAAACAAAGGGGGAAATGCTTCAGGACACTGATCTGGTAAAATATTTTACGAATGAGACCTCAAAAGCATAAGAAACAAAAGCACAAATAGACAAATGGGATTATATCAAACCAAAAATCTTTCTGCATAACAAAAGAAATAATCAGTAGTAAAAAAGGCAATCTCTAAAATAGGACAAAGTGTTTGCAAACTATTCCTCTGACAAGGAATTAATATGAAGAGTGTACAAGGAATTCAGATAATTCAACAGAAACAAAACAAAACAAAACAAATGTCCCACAGCATTTCAGCCTGGGTGACAGAGACCCTGCCTCCAATATATATATATATATTACACCCGACCATATAACCCAACCATATATATATATATATATATATGTGTGTGTGTGTGTGTGTGTGTGTGTGTGTGTGTGTTTTGTGTATGTGTGTGTATACATAATGCACATAAACACAGTCAAACAGCACATAATTCAGAGGAGGATGTCTATAAGATTTTCAGGTAAAACCTCATTTATTTAACTAAAAGGTACATTTTATAAGTCTGCAAATATTAATAGGGGTGTAGTGCCATCTTATCATTATTTTACTTTGCATCATCCTAATGAATAATGATGAACATATTTTCATGTCTTATTTGCCATCTGTATATTCTTTTTTTGAAGAATCTGTTCAAGTCTTTTGCTTATTTGTAATTAGGTTGCTCATTTTTTAAATGTTGAGTATTAAGATGTTTTTTAAAAATAAATTCTGAATTAAAAATTCTTTCTAGATATGTGATTTACAAATATTCTCTTCAAGTCTATAGCTTACCTCTTTATTGTCCTGACTTTCTAACAAAAAAATATTTTTTCTGTTCTCCAATCTGTCTTTCTTTGGTGAGATTTGCTTGTTGTTTCCTATTAATGAACTCTTTGCATAACCACATTGATGAATTATTTTCTTTTTTTTACAAGCTTTATATTTTGTGTTTTACATCTACATTTATAATAGATTACTAGTTAATTTTCATATATGATGTGAGGTTCATTTTTTTAAATATGTGAATATCCAATTTTTCCAACAACATTTATTGAAAGGCTATTCATTCCTCATTAAATTACATTTTCGCTTCATTTTAAAATGAATTTATAACATGTGTGGATATCAGGACTCTCTCTACAGCTCTTTTGATAAATTTGCAGTACTATATTATATTGTCTTGCCTACTGTAGCCTTCTACTAAATCTTAAAATTGTATAGCATGATTTTCTTTTACTTTTTTTGTTGTTGACACAAAATATCACTAGATTACTTGTCATCTAGGCTGAAGTGCAGGGATGCAATCATGGCTAACTGTATCCTCGACTTCCTAGGCTCAAACAATCTTCCCATCTCAGCCTCATGAGTAGCTGGGGCCACAGCCACGCACCACCATGCCTAGATACTGTTTTTTTTTATTTTTTTTATTTTTATCTTTAGTGGAGACGAGCTCTTGCTACATTGAACAGACTCTGCTTGAACTCCTGGGCTTAAACAGTCCTCCCTCCTAGGCCTACCAAAGTGCAAGGATTACAGGCATGAACTACTGCAGCCGGCCATATAACCTAATTTCTTAAACTTTATTCTTTCTAAATCATCTTAGCTTTTCTACTTCCTTTACCCTGCCATTCACAGACCTGACTGACCAATTTGAGGATGAACCTGTTTGGTTCCCTGCTAATTACCTCTGGTTTTTAGAGAACCAGATTGTTTGCTTCAAAGTATCCTATGAACATCAGGTGAAAAAGCAAAGGTACGTGCAGTTCAATGAAAGTATTCATGTTTGCAGCTAGGTGTAGAGAAGCTACAGGATGCACCCCAGATCACGTGGGTTTTGTTGCTGATGTTTGTTTGTTTTTAAATTAACGCCATTGCCCAAGTGTGAATCCCAGTTAATACAAACTACATCTCTATGAATGGGAGTTGGGCATCTTTACCTTTTAACATCTTCAGGGGTAATTTTGACATTAAGCGTACAAAGAAGCACTGCTAAATAAGTAGTTTGCAAAGTAAAGATAAAGGCCATGATATCTTCTAAAGAACATTGCAGTGAGTACTGCCCCAATCAGCAGTGTTTATGCTTATCAGATACGTGCAGTATTACCACTTCCGTATTAACTTGCTCTGCAACACCCTGCTCTCTCTTCCTCTTAAGTGCTTACAGGAGTAACTATCTCAACTGGGAAAAGCTAACAAATGATTTTTTTTCTTAGAAGCTCTTAGGAAGACTTCTTTTTAATATAAATACATATTTTTCACTTTTGTGGTTACATATTTATGTAATAAATGTACATATTTATGTAATAAATGAGATGCTTTGAAATAAGCATGAAATGTGAAATAATCACATCATGGAGAATGGTGTATCTATCCCCTTAAGCCTTTATCTCTGTGTTACAAACAATCCAATTCTACTCTTTTAGTTATTTAAAAATGTATAGTTACATTATTATTGACTATAAGACTTACCTTTTTTAATGATTAACCTAGCTTACACATTTATTTATAAGTAAATAATCTGATAAGAATATTTTCAGATATGTTCTTGTTTTAATAAGTGGATGAGCTTCAATAATAAGAAAGGATATAGAAAAATAGTGACAGTAGAAAATAAATCCTTATAAAGTTATTATAGTAATGACTTTGATTTTATAATTGCCCAGTTTACCATGAGCTGTCAGATACTTGCACTCTTTCAGTGTGAATGCAAATTTCACCTCATTTGTAATTACAAAAATATTCACTTCAGAAGCAGAATAAATAGAAAGAGCCCATTCCCAGCAAAAAAAAAGAGGAAAAGTGTTACTGCTTCTACTTTTAACATTCTTTACAGCAATTCATCGTTCACACATTGTAACATCATATCGAACATGAAATAGTACACTTAATGTCTGATAAAATGTTCAGATTGGAATACTCATAAACATATTTTGAATCGGAAAAGCCTTAATTCACATATCACCACACTTTAGCTGTAAATATAAATCCTGACTACTGTCCTGCTGCTTGGTAAATGCCCCTAAGAAGAGAAACTCTAAGCTTATAATTTAATGTATTTGTTTTCTTCAATTGAAAACCACTGGGATTCAGCCAACTTTCACACCATGGAAAGAAGCACATTTTTCAACAAGATTCCCTTGAAGCCTTCTGGGTGAAAATTATCATTTAAAAGTCTTCCTTTTGCTTGTGGTAAATATGTTGTCACGGGCAATACAGCAAATGTAGCCATAAACTCACTAAGAAAAGTCTTACTACTGCATGATTATCAGGCACAAGTTGAATTAACTAGGATTGTTTTGAAGGAGTAAGGAAGTCTTATACTTTAAAGCATTGTGTACTGTTTGATCTCATGAAAGCTCTATTTATGGATGTTGATAGTTAAAGTTGCCATAGCTATGAAGAGAATCACCTTTGGGGCTAGAGCAAAAGGGATTTTTAGATTGTTTTTGTTAAAGGGCTTTATCATCCAGTTTATACAGATTCATTAAATTCATCACCTGGTAAAGTATATTGCATTATGATCTTCACAAGATTATCACCTGCCTTTGTGAAGCAGAAGAATGTCAATGGTAATTATGAGGCTATTATCATTTGTCACAGATAGCTTCCCCCTTCATAGAAATAAAGTGCTTTTATGTGTAATATTCCATTTAGTTTTGTAAATTAGCAACGTTTCTGTGAAAGAAAATGTTATCATCCTCATTTTATTGAAAGAAAGTAACAAAGACTTGAAGGGGTTAAGTGACTGAATATAAAACCAGGAAATGGGCATTGGTACAATGTGCACAACTTATTCAGGTTTTGCCAATTTTACATGCACTCTGTGTGTGTGTGTGTGTGTGTGTGTGTGAGATCGTCCATGCAATTTTGTCACATGTGTAGATTTCTTGTATCACAACCATAATCAAGATTTAAAACTGTTCTTCACCCTAAGATTCCCTCATGCCCTACATCACCATCCCCAAACTCTGCCCACCACTAATCTCTTCTCCATCTCTATAATGTTATCATTTTGAGATTATATATATATATATATTAGATGGAGTTGTGCTCTTGTTGCCCAGGCTGGAGTGTAATGGCGGGACCTCAGCTCACCGCAACCTCTGCCTCCCGGGTTCAAGCAATTCTCCTGCCTCAGCCTCCGGAGTACCTGGGATTACAGGCATGCGCCACCACGCGGGATTAATTATGTATTTTTAGTAGAGACCGGGTTTCTCAATGGAGGTCAGGCTGGTCTCAAACTCCCGACCTCAGGTGATATGCCCGCCTTGGCCTCCCAAAGTGCTGGGATTATAGGCGTGAGCCACCGTGCCCGGCCGAGAATTTTATGTAAACAGAATCATACAGTATGACTTGTGCATGTCTTTTGAGAGTTAGCTTCTAGACTCAGCACTACGTCCTTGAGAGATCCCTCCAAATTGTTGTAGTTGTGTATATCAATAGTTCTTCAGCTTTTATTGCTGTATTTCATGGTGTGAAATACCATAATTTCTGTAACTATTCTCCTATTGAGAAAAATTTGGATTGTCCTCATTCTTGACTATTATAAATAAATCTAATATGTACAAGATTTGGGGAACGTAAATTTATGTTTCTCCGAAATATGAAACCAAAAGTGCATATATTAGGTTGTGTGGTAAACAATGCGGTTATTCAGACAGACAAAAGTAGATAGAGCTCAGAGTGACAGGGTTGTGTTGTGAGTAAGGATGTGTTCTCTGAGACCAAAATGTCTTTGTTTTATATACGAGCTTCACAACCTGCTACTCATGGGACCCTCAGTGATAAAAATGAAGATGATAATAACAATGATGCCATTTCAAATGGAATCATTGTGATGATTGTGTTAGTTAATTCATGACAAGTCCTTAGACCTGTAACTAACAAGCAATAAGTTTTCAATAAATGTTAGCTATTATTGTAATTGCATAACTTTGGACACTAGTCATATTAAACACTTTCCCATATATTTATTATCTTCTTGAATTTATTCTCTTGTAGAAAAATGTTCATGCTTAAATATACTGATATTATCTAAGAATTTTTATTACTGATTTGAATAACTTTTATAGGGTTTTGGAAGCAAATGCCGTCAACTGTTTCAATCAATATTAATATAAACAATTGTGTATAAAAATCAATAATGAAATTTTAAAAAAATTCCTAGGAATGAGACTTTTTATAAAATTTACTTATTTTATGTTTGGAAGGCTAGGCAACACATTGAAGGAGGGTGTTAATGAGCCAGCCCATATGAACAGTGTGGTGCCCAAATTTCCTATGTCTGTGAAATTTCATGGCAATCTGTCAAAATTAGCCAAACTTGTTTCCATTAAATACACTGGTGGTATTCAAATAATTTAAGTTCTGGTTCCAAATCGAATATAAAACTGTGCTGAATATAAAGAAAAAGGAAACCTCAAAACCACCTTCAAAACATATTGAAGCCTTAAAATATTTCTGGACTTTTTAAAGGGTCCCAAGAGTAGAGAACAAAGTTTGGTGACAGTGTTTTGAAATGAACAGACAAGGGCACTCTCTGGACATAATCCCTCAGGCCAAATATACTGTGTAATTTGGCTGACAGCACCATTTCCAATTTCTATTTTGCTTAACTCCAATGTGTTTAATAAAATGCAACAAAAAGTAAATACTTACTTCAGTGAGCTTATTTTTCCAAAAGCAGCACTATGCATCCACCTTATGTACCCATAGTAAAACTTTTGTTATTTTTATACAATTATTATAAATTTTGGATTTTATATTAATTCATTAATTTAACACATATCGTGAGGGCTTGCTGTATACACAGCACTAATCTAGCCACTAAGATCATAGGGTTGAGCAAGAGAGAGAAAGATTCTGCTTTCATGATATTTATTCTGTTGGGAATGTTGACAACCTTAATGGTAAATAAGTGAATGAACATGAGATATAATTTCAGGTCATGGCATGAGCATTGAATGATAATGAGGCAGGGTGAGGGTATGAACAGAAACAGATGTACTGTCATTGGTGATCAGAGAAGTTCTCTCTGACCAGGATAGAAGCCCAGAATAAAGGAGAAAATAAGGATGCAGTCATTTCCAGAAGAGATTTTCAACCAAAGAACAGAAAATTTTAACGCACTGAAGATGAATGGGTGATTGATCTCAGGGATGAGGTTATACTTAGGTCATTACATGTGGTTTTAGGCCTGTGTGAAAAAACATGAAGTTGTTCCAAGAAGAGTTTTTGTAAGGTAGCCTCTAAACCTTTCTAAGCTCCCAGTTTAATTTCCAAAGAGCCCACAGTGGAAAAGGACAAAGCATTGGGAATTATTGCAATCATTTTTTGTATGCTCTCCTTTTTTAGTATAGTGTGCATTCCTCAAAGTAGTAAATAATGGTGTTTTACTCATCTCATAGGGCAAAAGATTCTAGATCTCTGTGGGGTAAGTCAGGCATCAAGTCAATGTGTGTTGAATGAAATATTTTTAAGTCCCTGAGATTAAGATCATTTTGTTCCACAGAACAAAATGGAGCCACTGTTTAAACCTGTTGTTACACATTTTCCATACCCAGTGTGACCCTTAATACTGAGTGTCAACTTGATTGGATTGAAGGATGCAAAGTATTGTTCTTGGGTGTGTCTGTGAGGGGGTTCCCAAAAGAGATTAACATTTGAGTCATGGACTGGGAAAGGCAGTTCTACCCTCATTCTGGGTGGGCACAATTTAATCAGCTGCCAGCATGGCCAGGATAAAAACAGGCAGAAGAACATGGAAAGACAAGACTGGTTTAGTCTTCTGGCCTATATCTTTCTCCCCTGCTGGATGTTTCCTGCCCTTGAACACTGGACTGCAGGTTCTTCAGCTTTGGGACTCATACTGGCTTCTTTGCTCCTCAGCTTGCACATGGCCTGTTGTGGGACCTCACCTTGTGATCATGTGAGTCAGTACTTCTTAATAAACTTTCCTTTATATCTACCTCTATCTTATTAGTTCTGTCTCTCTAGAGAACCCTGGCTAATACACATAGCCAGTCTAAGAAAAAAAAATAATTATAACATTTTTTTTCCTGTTAATTCCTTCTCAACAACTATATTGTCACAAAACTGCATAAACCAATGTTCTAAATTTGTTTACTTGGAAATAGAAAGGAAAAGGAAAGTTTATATGTTGGTCTATTCTACACGATAAGATATACTTCATTTTAAAATAGAATAACTGAAGAGTATGAAAATTCAGTAGGACTTCTGTATTTGAGTTTTTACGGTTTTGCTGTGAGAAATATTGGATAAGTTCTTAAAATAAAATTTCTATCAACAAGGTTCAATATCCAAATATTTATTGAAATATTTTAATTATTTGTACTATAAATATTTTACTAAATGAATTGCAGAGGCCATTGTGTAGATAAAATCCTGCTCTTTTTCGTCCCCTACGGTTCTTTTTCATCAATCTATGGTATTGTTCTTTTTCCTCCAAGTGTCAATGTATTTATGGTATGATAAAATTTTCTACTGATGTCCACAAGTACTTATCTCTCTCTATATATCACCCTTAACTCTGTATACCAACTGAAAAATACAGCCTGAAGTTTAATTTTTGTAGTATTCTCTTTTTAGCTATTTAATACACTTGCTCATTTTAATACTTCCAACGTATTTTCTCCTTTAAAAAAATTGGACAAAACTGATGTGTTGATTCAGTTGTGAGTCTCATAAACAGCATGTAAATGAGTTAAGTTGAAATTTATCAGGAATGCTAAAGCAAGGAATCTTTAATCTCAAATGGATGCTCAACGAACTTAAACCAATAAATCGTGTGCCTAATTATGAATAAAAAGAACAAATGTACAGAACACGAAAAATGTCAGAAGGATTTTTTCAATCCATGGGTCATGAGGAATCCCATTTTTTGTTTTATATAGATAGAATCAGCCTCTTCACGTATAATGTGTTTGTTATAGTCTGAATGTTTCTGCTCCATCCCACTTCAAATTCATATGTTAAATTCTAACCTTCGATGGCATGATATTTTGAGATGGAGCCTTTGGGAGTAAATGAACATCAGATGAGGTCTTGAATGTGGGGTTCTTGTGATAGGATTAGTGCTCTTGTTTTCCCTATCAGCCTATCTCGAGTACCTCCGCCAAAACCTAGAAGACCCCAGAGCGCTTGCCCTCCCTTTCTCTACGTGAACAAAGAAGAGGTCATGTGAGCACACAGCAAGATGTAGGCTGCCTGCAAGCAAAAAGAAAAGGCAGCCCTCTGCACGCTGGGAAAATAACCCTCACCAGAAACTGACTGAGCTGGCACACTAATCTCAGATATCCAGACTCCAGAATTGCGAAAAAATTAATTCTTGTTGTTTAATACACCTAGCACGATTAAGAAAATATTTTTTCATTGCATATACTATCTTATTTTTTTTTCAGGAACACACTAGGTCAGACGTGTATCATCTACATCAAATTCGCTTAAGGAAACCAAAATTTCTATTTTCATTTTCTGAAATTTAGTGCTGGAGTCAATAGTAGGGATTCTCGGGATTCTTTAAGGTTTTCTCTTTCAGAGAACTGACTTCTCTATCTGGCAGTCTGCTGTTTACAGCAGTATCAGTCCCACATATTTATAAATGGGACTAGCTAGCAGGAGTGAGCTGTTGAGGCAGTGTTAACAGAAGAGAAAGCTCAAACTTCCCAGAAGTCCATAGACACATTTTCTTTGCTCCTACTGGTCTGAATCGTGATGAATGTCTTCAATCAGTGTCTTTAAAGTACCATAATCATGGTCTGCATTTTTTAGGGAAAAGGGTGAGGCTAGGTTAAAGAGTACATATTTTGAAATCAGGGACGCTTAGCCAAGGGAAAGGGAGCAGCAGATATTAAGCACCAATAATTAATGTCTACTACAGTAGGAACATAGAAAACTATTTATTTTATTTATACATATTATGACTTTGCTATTCATTTCAGTGGCATCAATAATTAAATTTGTAAAAAGATGGACAATAATTTCTCAAATCTGAAAATGTTTAAGAACAGTGCTAAGGAAATTTACACTTAAAATGAAAAGATGTATAATACTATGATCTTTCAGATTCCCTTCAATCCGGAGATTGTATAAGTGTGTGATCATTATTGTCATTTTAGTCTTTAGTGTTCTTTCTTGAAATACACTATGCAGAATAATCTTTAATATTAATCTCTAGTATTAATATTTTTAAGATTGCAATCATTAAACAAATGTGTTTAATTGGCAGAAAGTATGCCAATATTAAAAGGGAAAGGAATTGTGGACTTATTTCTTTAGGGGTTTTATTCAATAAATACCTCTAAGTGGTAAAGTCACCGTGTCATCTGGCATCATAGAGTCAGCATTTAGATCATCTTTGGTTATTGGTTACAGGTTTATCAGTTTCTACAACCCACTCTTTTCGTAGGTTTTACATTTAAATCATAATTTTGTACGTTATTGTACTTCATTCATTTTTAATTCAACACATATTTTTTAGCTGATAATTTTGTAGAAATCGCCACACTAACCATATTGTGTTTGGAGGAGCTAGATGAACTTGAGTATGATGTTTTCTCCTTCAATTTGTTCAGCTGCTAAATAATATTTCCTACATCATTGTGTGATTGAGATTAAATTAGACAATGCAATTGCAAGAATTTTCTGGATGATATTTACCATTATCATTGCTGTGATTACTTAGTAGATGATAGAACTTACTAACTTAAGAGCAACAATGATGACTCGTGCCATGACAGATTGTGACGAATTGCTCCTACATGATGCTGGTGAGCATGCATTCTCTCAGCTCTCAGAAAATTATCAATGGCTATCATCTGGGCTTTATTGTGGCACTATTCACAATAGAGAGACAGAATCTACCTAAGAGCCCATCAATGGATGAATAAATAAAGGAAATTCACATGTATACACAATGGAAATTTTTCCAGCCATAAAAAAGAATGAAATTCTGTTATTGGCAACAACATGGATGAGTTTGGAAGACATTATGTTAAGTGAAATATGTCACACATAAAAAGATAAATACTGCATGTTCTCACTCATAGGTGGGAGCTACTCTCTACCTTTCACGGAGGTAGAGAGTAGAAGATAGTTACCAGAAGCTGGAAAGGGTGTATTTGGGGAGTGCAGAAGGGGAGTAAAGAAGCATTGGTCAATGGGTACAAATATAAAATTAGATGGAAGGAACAGGTCCTAGTGTTGCATGGTATAACAGAGTAACTGGAGGTATAAAGATGTTTTGTATTAATCTTCTCTAGAAGAGAAGATACAGAGTGTTCCGAACACAAAAAAAGATAAATATTTGAGGTGATGTAGATCTCAATTACACTGATTTAATCATTACACATTGCATGCATGTATCAAAATATCATTTGCACCCCATAAATAGGTGCAATTATTACATATCAACAAAGTAATAAACAGTGGGGAGGGATAGCATTAGGAGATATACCTAATGTAAATGACGAGTTAATGGGTGCAGCACACCAACATGGCACATGTATACATATGTAACAAACCTGCACATTGTGCACATGTACCCTAGAACTTAAAGTATAATTTAAAAAAAATAAAAAATAAAACAATCAAATAAAATTAATAAACTAAAAAAGTCGAGCAATTTTAAAAAAAGGAAAAAGAAAACTGACTTAACCTGGATTAAAAATTATGGTCTTAAAATGTAAAGAATTAATTTAAAACAGGATTTTAGGGGAAATAATTTCTCATAAAGTGCAGTAGAGTGTAGAGTAGTTTAGAACAGGTTTTCTCATATCATAGTGCCTAATTTCAATTCTAGGTTCTACTAGTTTCCCAATGTGTGCCCTGGGGATGTTTACCTTATTCCATGGTTCAGTGTCATCATATTATAAAACAGGCTCATTATAATAGCACTTACCTCAAAGGGTGGTTTTAAGGATTAAAAATTCCAAAGGGTTTAGGAGAATGATGCATGAAAATTAATTTTTTTATTATCTGTTTTAATATATAAAGTGTATAACAACAACAAAAATTTAATTTTAATATGTAAAACATATTTCATTATGATATCCATTTATTTATTTTGTTTTTAGACTAGTTATTTTGCTAATGATGTACTTGCATTTATGGCTATAAATAAAGTGCTTCAGGAGAAACCAAAGAAGTAACATAAAGTATTTCTTAACTACCTATCATATGTACGCATGTGTCTGTATGAACATATATTCATATTATCTGATAGTCACCTTAAGTTAGGTGAACACTGTGCAAGAGGATCTCTCTCTCTTTCTCTCTGTGTACCTATATATATATGTGTGTGTGTGTGTGTGTGTGTGTAGCCCATATATATATATATGTTTAGCATTAAAATATACATATTTACAATATATATAATAGAGAGACAAAATCTACCTGAGAGCCCATCAATGGATGAATAAATAAAGGAAATATTGCATATATACACAATGGAATATTTTCCAGCCATTAAAAAAATGAAATTCTGTTATTGGCAACAACATGGATGAGTATGGAAGACATTATGTAAAGTGAAATATGTCACGCATAAAAAGATATATACATATTTATGCTAAACAAGAATTCCAAAGAAATGTATTAAGCAGTGCATGGACTGTCTATACACATATGTGGTAGGCAAATTCAAGTAAAGAAGAAGTACTTTAAATTAATGGGAAAACTCAAAAAAGACTTCAAAGCTTAGCGAGATCTTGGGTTATTCTTTTTTTTTTTTTTTTTTTTTTTTTTTTTTTTTGAGACGGAGTCTCGCTCTGTCGCCCAGGCTGGAGTGCAGTGGCGGGACCTCGGCTCACTGCAAGCTCCGCCTCCCGGGTTCACGCCATTCTCCTGCCTCAGCCTCCCAAGTAGCTGGGACTACAGGCGCCCGCCACTACGCCCGGCTAATTTTTTGTATTTTTAGTAGAGACGGGGTTTCACCGTTTTAGCCGGGATGGTCTCGATCTCCTGACCTCGTGATCCGCCCGCCTCGGCCTCCCAAAGTGCTGGGATTACAGGCGTGAGCCATTGGGTTATTCTTTTTTTAAAAAAATTTTAGATTCAGGGGGTACATGTGCAGGTTTGTTACATGTATATATTGCCTAATGGTGGGGTTTGGGCTTCTATTGAACCCATCACCCAAACAGTGCACATAGTACTCAACAGGTAGTTTTTCAGTTATTACCCCCCTCCCTCGCTCCCAACTTTTGAAGTCCCCCGTGTCTATTGTTTCCATCTTTATGTCCATGTGTATCCATTGTTTAGTACCCATTTATAAATGAGAACATGTAGTATTTGGTTTTCTGTTTCTGCATTAACTCACTTAGAATAATGATCTTCAACTGCATCCATGTTGCTGCAAAGGACATGATTTTATTATGTTTTATGGCTTTGTAGTATTCCATGTCGTATATGTACACTTTCTTTATCCAATGCACTACTGATGGGCACCTAGGTTGACTCCATGACTTTGCTATTGTGCTAGTACTCCAGTAAACATACACACACAAATGTCTTTTTGGTAGAACATTTTCCTTTCCTTTGGGTAGATGCTCAGTAGTGGGATTGCTTTGTAGAATGGTTCTAGTTTTAGTTCTTTGGAAAATGTTCAAACTGCTTTCCACAGGAAATGAACTAATTTACATTCTTACCAATGGTGTATAAGTGTTCCCTTTTTTCCTCATCCTCACTGATATCTGTAATTTTCTGATATTTAATAAGAGCCATTCTGACTGGTGTGGGATGGTACCTCATTGTGGCTTTAATTTGCATTTGTCTGGTGACGGGTTTTGTTAAGCTTTTATTATATGTCTGCTGGACATTTATATGCCTTCTTTCGAGAAGTGTCTGTTCATGTCTCTATCTTACTTTTCAATTGAGTTGTTTTTATCTTGTTTAATTGTTTAAGTTCCTTATAGATTCTGGATATGAGTCCTTTTTTGGATGCATAGTTTGCAAATACTTTTACATTCTGTAGGTTGTCTTTTTACTCTGTTGATAGTTTCTTTTGTTTTGCTGGCCTCATTTGTTTAATTAAATCCCAATTGTTAATTTTTGTTTTTGTTACATTTGCTTTTGAGGTCTTAGTCATAAATTACTCACCTAGGTCAATGTCCAGAAGAGTTTCTTCTAGGTTTTCTAAAGGATTTTTACAGTTTGTTGTCTTATATTTAAGTCTTTAATCCATATTTGGTTAACTTTTGTACATGGTAAAAGGGAGGGGCCCAGTTTCATTCTTCTGCATATGGCTAGCCAGTTTTCCCAGCACTGCTTATTGAATAGGGTGTCTTTTTTTCATTATTTGTTTTTGTCAACTTTGTCAAGTATCAATTGATTGTAGGAGTGTAGCTTTATTTCTGGGTTCTTTATTCTTTTCCATTGGTCTATGTGTCTATCTTTGTACCAATACAATGTTGTTTTGGTTACTATAGCCTTGTAGTATAGTTTGAAGCCAGGTAATGGGATGTTATATTACTCCCTTCTTGCCTTGCTATAAACAAATACCTGAGACTGAGTAATTTATAAAGAAAAAAGGGTTTAATTGGCTCATGATTTTGCAGGCTGTATGGGAAGTATAATGACCTCTGGAGAGGCCTCAAGAAACTTTCAATCATAGTTGAAGGCAAAGGAGAAGCAAGTATATTTTACATGGCTGGAGCAGGAGGAAGGGGGCAGAGGTGCTACATACTTTTAAAAACCAGTACTTGTGAGGACTCACTCACTATCTCAACACAATACAAAGAGTGAAATTTCTGCCATTATCTGGTGGGTGCCAATTACATCCCACCAGGCCCCACCTCCAAGATTGAGGATTACAATTTGACATAAGATTTGGGTAGGGTCAAAGATACAAACTATATCATTCTACTCCTGTCCTCTCCCAAATCTCATGTCCTTCTCACATTGCAAAATATAATTATCCTTCTCAACAGTTTCCCAAAGTCTTAACTTATTCCAACATTAACTCAAAAGTTCAAAGTCCAAAGTCTCATCTGAGACAGGCTAATCTCTTCTGCCTATGAGTCTGTTAAAAAAAAAGTAAGCCAGGTACTTCTGAGATACAATGGGGGTACAAGCATTGGGTAAATACACATTTTCCATAAAGGATAAATCAGCCAAAAGGGGCTACCGGTCCCACACAAGTCTGAAAGCCAGCAGGACAGCCATTAAGCCTTAAAGCTCCAAAATAATCTCCTTTGGTTCCATGTCTCACATCCAGGGCATGCCAGTGCAAACAGTGGGCACATGAGGTTTTGGGAAATCCTTCCCCTGAGGTTTTGCTGGGTAGAGCCTCCATGGTTGCTTTTATTGGCTGGCATTAAGTGCCAGCAGATTTTCCAGGTGCATGGCGCAAGCTGTCAGTTCTGCCATTCTGGGGTCTGAAAGACAGTAGCCCTCTTCTCACAGATCCACTATGTAATGTCCCAGCAGAGACTCTCTGTGGGGGCTTAAACCCCACATCTGTCTGCACTGCCCTAGTAAAGGGTCTCCATGAGGGCTCCGCTCCTGCAGCAGGCTTTTGTTTGAACATCCAAGCTTTTCCATACATTCTCTGAAATATAGGCAAAGGCTCACAAGCCTCAACTCTTGCACTCTGTGCACTTGCAGGCTTACCACCACATGGAAACCACCAAGGCTTATGGTTTTCATCCTCTGAAGCAGTGGCTTGAGTTGTATCTAGGGCCCTTTTAGCTACAGCTGGAGCTGGAGTGGCTGAGATGCAGTGAGCCCTGTCCCTAGGTTTTGTAGAGTGGTGGGGCCCTGAGCTTGGCCCAGGAAACCATTCTTTCCTCCTAGGCGTCCAGGCTTGTGATGAAAGGGGCTGTCTCAAAAGCCTCTGAAATGCCTTTAAAGCATTTTTCTTATTGTCTTGACTATCAGCATTTGTCTTCCTTTTAGTTATGCAGCTTTCTGCAGCCCCATTCCTCACCTGAAAGGGAGTGTTTCTTTTCTATCAAATGGCTGGACTGCAAATTTTCTAAACTTTTGAACTCTTGTTCCTCCTTAAATATAAGTTTCAGTTTTATGTAATTTCCTTGCCCACACATATAACCATAGGTCAAATCTTGAAGCTTTGCAGTTTAGAAATTTCTTCTGCCAGATATCATAAATTATCTCTCTCATGTTCATGTGTGTTGCGGGGGGGAGTGGGGGGCCCTACACAATTTTAAATAGATCAAACCTCATCTTGTTAGAACTTAATCTCAACTTGGTACCAAGGGGAAAATTCATCCCATAATCAAATCACCTCCCATCAAGCCCTACCTCCAACACTGAGGATTACAATTCCCTCTAGATATAGATGGGGATACAGATCTCTAAACCATATCAGATACCTCCAGGTTTGTTATTTTTGCTTAGGATTGACTTGGCTACTAGGGCCTATTTTGGTTCCATATGAATTTTAGAATTTTTTTCTGATTCTGTAAAAAATTATATTGGTAATTTTGTAGGCATTGTATGGAATCTGTAGATTGCTTTGGACAGCATGGATACTCATTGACTTTTCCAATCTATGAGCATGGAATGTTTTTCCATTTCTTTGTGACATCTATAATTTCTTTCATCAGTGTTTTGTAGTTTTCCTTGTAAAGATCTTTCACCTCCTTGGTCAGATGTATTTGTAGGTATTTTATTTGTGGCTTCTGCAGATGGAATTGGATTCTTGATTTGCTTCTCAGGTTAAACATTATTGGTTTATAGAAATACTACTGATTTTGTATGTTAATTTTGTATCCTGAAAGTCTACTTAAGACATTTATCAAGTCTAGGAGTTTTTGAAGGAGTCTTTAGGGTTTTCTAAGTATAAAATTATACCATTGGTGAACAGAGATAATTTGACTTCCTCTTTTTCTATTTCGATTCCTTGTAGTTCTTTCTCTTGCCTGATTGCCCTGACTAGGGCATCCAATACTACGTTGAATAAGAATAGTGACAGTGGACATTCTTGTCTTGTTCAAGTTCATAGTGGAAATGCTTCCAACTTTTTCCCATTCGGTATGATGCTGGCTGCAGTTTCGTCATAGAGGGCTCTTTTATTTTGAGATATTTTCCTTTGATGCCTAGTGTGTTGAGGGTTTTTATCAGAAAGGTACGTTGGATTTTATAAAATACTTTTTCTGTGCCTATTGAGGTGATCATATGGTTTTTGTTTTTAATTCTGTTTATGTGGTGAATCCCATTTATTGGTTTTCATATGTCAAAACATTCTTGCATTGATCTAAGGTTATTCTTGATTAGCATACTCGCTGGATCAGCAGAATCAATTACAAGAGAACATGTTAGAAATGCAAATCATAGGCCAGGTGCGGTGGCTCACACCTGCAATCCCAGCACTTTGGGAAGCCGAGGCAGATGGTCATGCGGTCAGGAGATGGAGACCATCCTGGCTAATACAGTGAAACCCTGTCTTTACTAAAAATACAAAAAAAAAAAAAAAAAAAAAAAAAAAGCCCGGCTTGGTGGCATGCACTTGTAATCCTATCTACATGGGAGGCTGAGGCAAGGGAATTGCTTGAACCGGGGAGGTGGAGGTTGCAGTGAGCCGAGATGGCACCACTGCACTCCAGCCTGGGTGACAGAGCAACATTCTGTCTAAATAAATAAATAAATACATACATAATGCAAATCATTGTCTCTTCCTCACACATTCTGTATCAGGCACTCTCAATGTTGAGTCCCTAAATCTGTTTCTATGTCTCCTACAAGTGATTCTCATGGCCACTTAAGTTAAGGAACAAAGGTGCCAGAGGAAACTGGGGATGAATGGCTGTCAATTACACATCAGGGAAGCCTTTACATTGAAATGTGAGACATTTCTGTTTTTGCTCACTTCTCAATGGTCAGGGCTGAGCACTGTACCACACTGCTTAGTTCTTCCTTCTTTGTTCTGCCAGTCTCAGTGTATTCATCCCATATCATTCCAATTTCTTATTTTTCCTGCATGGCAAAGTGTGTCTCTTTGTCAGGTAGCATATTCATGAAACCCAACCACAACGACCAGTCAAGCAAGATGTACTATATAATGAAAGTCTCCTTCTAAAAGAATTCTGCCACTTGCTCAGTGTTACTTGCTCATCTTCTCTTCTAGGATGTGAGCTACTGTAGGCAGAAACATTTTTTGTTCATTTTTCTAAATTGTTGGTGTCTGACAACGCTTGCTGTAGAGTAGGTAACATTCACTGCTTGGGTGACAAATAATGCACCAATTATAAGGGTGTGAAATGTGAATTTTTTGTTTTGCAGAAGATGCAAAATCATGCTAATGAAATTCATGAGTAAATGTATTAATAAAATAAATGTATTTCAAATAAAGCTGACCATTTTTTTTTATTTTTATTTTTTTCGACAGAGTCTCACTGTTTCCCAGGCTGGAGTGCAGTGGTGTGATCTCGGCTCACTGCAAACTCTGCCACCTGGGTTCAAGCAATTCTCCTGCCTCAGCCTCCCAAGTAGCTGGGATTACAGGCACGCACCACCATGCCCAGCTAATTTTTATATTTTCAGTAAAGATGGGGTTTTGTCATGCTGGCCAGGCTGGTCTCAAACCCCTGACCTCAGATGATCCGCTTGCCTCGGCCACCCAAAGTGCTGGGATTACAGGCATTAGCTATTGCGCCTGGTCCTTATATGGGTTACTGATACACCCATGATCTTTATACTGTATTACTTAAATGTTATTTGGAATACTAGACATTTCATTTCTTTCTAAAAATACTTCAATTGTAGATATAACTAAAAAATAAGCTATACCATCCAACAAAGTTTTCTAATATATGTAGTCTTCCTTTCTCTTGTTTTAACTCTCATCCTTTGGTTTTTGTCATAACATTTGATTGGTTCATCAATATTTTTCAGATTTTTAACACTTCTAGGCAGTAGCAGTAGTGCTGTCCTTAAGAAATTATTTTATTATTATTTTAGGGTAGTACTATTATTTTATGTACTTTCAATTGCTTCCTGACAATTCTCCCCAATGGCTTTAAACAAAGTATCATTCCCAACACACAAATTATATAATTACAGGTTAGGTATCCCTTATCTGAAATGCTTAGGACCAGAAATGTTTATTTATTCATGTTTCATTTACACCTTATACACATGGCCTGACGGTAATTTTATGCAATATTTTAAAGATGTTTGTGTATAAAACAATGTTTTGAATGCATTTGGATTGCTACTATTCACAGGAGGTTAGGTTTGAAATTTTCCACTGTGGCATCATATCAGTGCTCAAAAAGTTTCAAATTTTGGATTTCAGGTTTTCAGATTAGTGATTCTGTATCCACAGTCAGAGAAAAAAATGCTGAAATAGCCTAAATTTTTGTTTGTAAAAGACAAAACCTTTCAGGATCATGACTTAACCAGAAAGCATTTCCCCAGCACCTCTAAGTTATCAGGAAAGACGAAGAATGTTCAGAACATGAACAGCTGCTCACATAACAGTGACTGTGGACTCAGCCTCCTTCTCACTTCCAGCCCTAACATCACCTCAAAGGGCATTTTGTCTTCATAGCTACCACATGGCTGTCAGGTTTTCTGCCATCTCCAGGCTTCTGCCATCATAACATGCAGTAAAAAGAGAAGAGGAGAAACATGAAGGTGTACGGTAGCTGACAATGTTTTTCTCAAGAAGAAATAGCCTACTAGTGACTCCACCGTTTTAACTTGCACTGACATCGCACTGGCCAAAACTGTGTCACATAATTATTCCCAGCCTTAAGCAAGTCCAGAAGGAGGTGAGTCACATTGACTGGACACGTTGCCGTTGTTAACAAAATGGCGCTTCTCTTAGCAAGGAAGAGAAGAATGCAAATAAAGTGGGTAACACCCATATATGTCAGCTGCAAAGAGATTTCCTTAATGTAACTAATGAATAGTACTGGTAATTAAATTTTTGATGCAATCTTATATATAAATATATGCTTCTCTCTTTTTAAAAAATGCCTCACTTAAACCATGTAACTAAGTTGTTGCTTTACCAATGTTAATGGACATTGCTCTAGACACAGTTTATCAAAGTATGTTAATTTTATAAATCAATTAAGCCCCATGATAAATAAAAATAAAAAGTAGGGGAACAAGGAGTTGCAAGGTAAGCCGAAATTATTCTGTTGGCCCTCATTGCAGCATTTATTGATTCATATGCCGTAAGAGAAATTGCAAATTCTGACTTTATAGAGCCTCACATTTTCTTCCTTATACAGTTTCCAGGCAGTTTTAGGCTCTTAGAGAAACATTCTCAGCATTGACGTGTCAATGAAGTTTAAACTATTAGTACCACTTTCGTGTACTTTAGCAACATTTTCTGATCTCAATCCCGTAGTTCAGTGAGCAGAAGCATACAATGTGGCAGTTATTTCATATTTCCATGATAGTTCAATTTTTTTATTGAGGCGATTCTAAGAAAAATGTATAAGCAGTGGCAAATTAAGGAGCTGGAAAGAAAATAAAAACGTTTCTTTTCTGTTCCACAACTGGAATTAAGTTTAAGCTGAATTACTGAGTCTTCACAAAGGCAAAATTTTTGACTCTTAATTTTGTTAATCTATTTCAGCTTATTTCTCAGGATAAATATATCATCTTTTTGTGCTAATTAGTACTTTCATAGAGAAAAAGTTTAATGATTAGTTATTATGCTTACCATTATTTTTATTTTAGCAAGGGTATTAATATTTTTTATCACTTACAGATTTTTTTCTTTTCAATATGAAAGACTTTGCAAAATTATTTTGACCTGGAAGTTCAGCGTATTATTGTTTGTTCCCTTATTATTATCCATTTTACTTTCCTTATTCCATTGTTGTTATTTAATTTAAAATATTTCATACGGGATGGCAAACCATGAACCTGGAAATAGAAAGCTGATGCATTTAAATAAGGTGCACTTGATATGGTAGCACCCAAATAGCCTGGAGGCTGTATAAGCTTTTCTGGACAGTATGATAATCAATTCATAAATTATGTACACCTGAGCCCTTTTCACCTTAGGCAGTTTCAGGATGTCCAAAAAAACTTCAAACTTAGCTCTTTCAAATCAATGGTTTAAGCCATCTTAATAACCAATTAGCATCACTGCAGAAATAGTGTAATCCATTATGAATATTTAAGTATTAACAGTTTAAGAATCTTAAAAGATTTTATGCCAAATGTGTAAACATACTCTTTATCTTTCTAGCTTTAAACTCTTCCTCCTTTGCTGCTGTCTGTGTGCATTTTTACCAAAGGTAGAGAGAATTTATTCTCTTAACGAAGAGAGAAATGGAAGCTTGCCCTCATAACCTTTGTTATAACAGAATACTAGACCTTGAAGAAAAGAGAAATTGTAAAGAAACATTGAAAATGAAGCGTTGGTCAACTGTGGCTCATGAGAAGAAAACCATGCTGGTCAAAGATTTTAAGAATTTTTGCCATTTTGGCTGAAACCCCCACCCCAAAACACACACCCAAATCAAGAGATTTCCACATGAAATGTATCACCCCATGCAGTGGCATAAATGTGGTGGGTGAGAAGGGAACATCTCTTTTTCTTGACTGTGCATGTTTTATAATAAAAATACTAGATTGCCAATTAATTGACCTTAGCTGTTGTAAAATTACTAATCCCTAAGTATCTTTTATTGGAGAGTTAATTATTTTCTCAATATTAAGCAATCTTCTTAAGACTCTTCAAGAAATTGAAATAAACATGAATTCATATAGAGCTAATTTTCAATAAAAAGTGAAATGATTATAAAAGTGAATAGAATCTCAGAAGAAATAAGGGAGGGTATTAGAATAACCCATTGATCAAATCAATGAAATTTGAAACATGAATGAAACTTATACGTGAATGTTCTCTGTGAATTACATTCATTACCTTAGTAGGAAGCCTGTTTCTTAGTTTCATAGATAGAAAGCTGACAAAATATTTTGTTTGGTTTTTAATTCATTCACGATTGTCAATTGTGCATTTACTTTGTGGTGAGTCTATTTTTTAACCCTGTTCTTTGAAGTGTTAGAACAAAGATATTCCTTTGTTTCCACAGGGAAGACTTTAAATGTTTGAAATTAGTCACTATGTTTTCTTCTTTGAATATGGTCTTTCTTCCAAGTTAACAATCTAATATGTCCAGTTGTTTTTTATATAAAATTCTATTTTTATCCATCAATCTCCTGTTGACATATCAAGCCCAGTATTTCAGATATTTATACTTAACATTCCAAGAAGAGGCTATGCTTTTCACATTTATGTACACTCAACTTTTATTAAGGCAACATATGCTTTTCTTTTTAGCAGCTTCTTGGCACTGTTGGTGATTATTGAGTTACAGCCAAGTCAGGTCTGATAACCACAAACTACTGTCTGCAGTATTTACTACTTTACATTTCTTTTTCTCTCTCTCTCTCTCTTTTTTAATCTAAAGCATGCCTTGAGATTAGTTTTTATCAGATTCCATGTTCTTGGTATTCACTCAGCATTCCAGTCTTTTGAGATAACCTGAATCTCAATTTTGTCATCAACTATTACATTGTTTACGCCTTCCAGTGTTGTATCCTCTCAAATTTGAAAAGTGACATGTGCAGCCTTGTTCATAATCTGCACCCTGTCTCTCCTTCACAGGTGGAACCAATTGATCCATGTCTGTAGCATAGACTACTGCCTAATTCTAAGAGCTATCTTTCTCAGATAGAAAATATTTAAGCAGTTTCAGCTTCACTTTCAACAAAAATATTTATGGTATCATGTGGATATGATATAAAATGTAGACTGATTGTTGGTATTATTATGTAGATTTTAATGTGATTTAATATCTATAGCTAAATTGTAAGGTATGTCATTGAAATGTTGGATGAAAAAAGATACCATATATTTTCATATGGCATTGTAGATACGCAAATGAAAACATTAATTTCACTACACTTCTAGAAAAAAATTAATGTAAAGATCAAATACTGCATTTAAAAAATGAAGTTGAAATCAGAACACAAAGAAACCAATTCTACTTTACTTGCATATTATGCCATTTAAATTTTCTTACAATTTCATAAGACCGTCAGAATCAAAGTAGCTCTCTAATATTCAGGTAGTTAATTTGTTTTAGAATACCATCTTTGGCAAGTATAAGTCCTCCCTGATTTTCTTACAGAATTGAAATAGTTTACATTAATATTTGTGCAATTTTCTAGAGCAAAAGAAATTGTGAGATAACCTCTCTGATTACACTTAAATATAAGGCTCAGTGGTTTCAAGAAAATCTAAGTATTTTCTTTCTTTTCTTTTTTTGAGACGGAGTCTTGCTGTGTTGCTCAGGCTGGAATGCAGTGGCGCAATCTCGGCTCACCGCAACCTCCGCCTCCCGGATTCAAGTAATTCTCTTGCCTCAGCCTTCCGAGTAGCTGGGATTACAGGCGTGCGCCTCCACGCCCGGCTAATTTTCATATATTTGGTAGAGACGGGGTTTCTCCCTGTTGGTCAGGCTGGTCTCGAACTCCCAATCTCAGGTGATCCGCCTGTCTCGGCCTCCCAAAGTGCTGTGAGCCACGGTGCCCGGCCAGTCATTTCAATGATAGGTTGGGAAAGTTATTTTTTGTTGAGCAAGTGGGGATGAGAGTGCTTCTTTCCTTTGCTTTTACATAGAGGGAGCTCAATTAGAGCAACATCCCTGGCAGCTTTCTGCTGTGCTTCACTTATTTCTTCTCATAGAGGAGAAACGACGTGTCTCATTGGTGAGTTTGGAGTTTGGGAGAGGCACTTGGACTGCTCAGTTAAGTCTTTCTCTTCTTCATTTCTTCCATATCTGCCTAGCTACAGATCATGCTCATTCTCTCTGTTTTTCCATTATGTAAATTTAAAGGAAAGTATCTAATTCTTAGGGTGGGTATTGGGAAACTCACCTTCTCCAACATAGACTTTGTGAGTAATAAAAAAGTCTAACTTTTGTGATCATCGTCATCTGTCTAACTTGTGATGATCTCTAATTGAGAAATGAGGCTGTCATTTATTAAGTGCCCAAAACTACAATATTGTATTTGTTTGTATTATTTAGGTATTCACTTATTGTTTCAGAATTTTTACTTTATTGTGGTAAGAAGAGTTGCTATGAGATCTAACACATTTTTAAGTGGACAACATATAATTGTTGGCTGTAGGTACAATGTTACAGAGCAGATCGCTACAGCTTATTTATTTTGCTTGACTAAAATTAATGCCTGTTGATTAATAACTCCCTATTTCTCCCTTCAGTATCAAAAAATAAATTTTAGAAAGAGGCTAAATATATGATACCAAAAGAACTATATATGTAAACAAAAAAAAACCTATTTCTATAAAGTCTAATTTTTAAGTGTCCTCACCTATCAACGTATTGAAGCAACACGTTTAGAAGAAGGTGTGAACAAGGGCCAGACACTGGTTGCAAGTAACATAATTTGCATCTTTTGGAAATGAACAAATATTTTATTCACTAATTATAGTATTTTCTATATATTTCCCTTATTTTAAACTTTAACTTACACATCATAGATCCCTGCAACTGAGAGCTATGGCTAAAAAATCATCTAATTCAATACCTTCTTGTACAAAGACAAGTGTCTAACAAAGTTCTAAATGCAAAAGTTACCCTACTTTGATATCTAAAACAGGATTATGATTCTATCTCAAAAAATTGGTTATTTTCACCTAATATATACTCACACTGTTGTAAAATACATAGGTTGTGTAAGAAGTATTGAGATGGTATTGCAGATCCCTAAGACTGGAGAAGCTTTACCAATAACAAAATGAATAACTCTGAAAGTTAAGGATGGAAATTGTAGGCAATCTTCTAGTATCCCATTCTAGTATTTACCAAGTAAATGTTATTCCTTTTTGTCTTTTTGCCATATTCAGTTTTAAGTGTGGAAAATTTCATACGTATTTACTTATCCTATCTTTTTCCAGGGTCCTTGCACAAAGTAGGATTTATCATAAAAACTCAGTAAAATGTTCTTATTCCAGTGTTGTTCCAACTTTTATAATTTTCAACACACGATTCTCCAAAACATCAGACTATTCTTGATGCTGTTTAATATCTTCAGATTCTTTGGATAGCAGGAGTTATATTAGATCCCTAGAAAACATTTATTTAATGTCGAATGGAATATTTTTACCCTAATTTTATAATAATAATATTTCTAATAGTCATTCATAAGCACTTAAAGTAACATTTATTTTCATATTTCATGAAGTAAGGTATAGTGCATATCCTGGAAGAAACAGATTACTAAAGAATCTTGAGGCATAGTAATGTCTGTTACAACTGACATTTTACACGATGACTATCAAAACATTAAAGTACTTAACAACTGACCACCAATAATATTAAAATACATGTTTCTAGCACATTTATTAAGATTGTTTTGGACTGTATTTGTTTTTGAGGTACCAATACTAGCAAGATAATGTTAAAGTGTATATTTTAGACATGTTAAAACTGGTCCTCTGTCATCAAACTGCTCTGTAAGCAAAATGCATATATGCAGGTGCGTAAAAAAACTCCAAGACATTTTTTTTAATTAAAAAAAATCAAAACATTAGGCAGACTCTTTTTGAAATAAAAAATAAAACAAATATCTACTTCTAGGAGCTATATTCTGTAGGTATTCTAGCAAAACAAATCCTCAAATGAAAATACTTCAAATTAAATAGCTATTAACTAGAAAAATAGTGGGGTGTACACCTAACTTTTACCTCTTAGAGGTTAATTTCTTTATCAATTGTTACCTCTTTCATTTTGATATAAGTAAAGTAAATTATTTATAAAAAGTTATAATGCATGAAAAGGAAAATATTGATTTCAAATGAAAAATAAACAGAAAAAAAATCTTTTACTTCCACGCTTTGGATACAATTTTAAAGCAGGTAAGAAATGAAGAGAAGAAATTTGGGATTTTATTTTTTGGTCATAAACAGGATAGTTAATGATTTCCACCAAGGTTTCGACTTACTTGAAAATCAAATGATCTGATATCCAGGTGATCTCTGGAAAGCATGTGAACATTGTGTTTCTGTCTTTTGTTTGCACTGGAATGCCAAATCTGCAATACAACTAGTTAGAAGGTTTGACCACCCGACGACCACACAAAGTCTAAGTGGAGAGTGCTGAGAGGTGATTCACCCTCCTTCTCTGCCTGGTCAGCCCGCTGAAACCCTCCAGCCATTAAACCGCTCTTAACACTAGGGAGCACACTTTCCCCAGGAATTATCCTGGGGAAGTCAGAGACAGGAGGCTTCCCTTGTGCAAGTCAGCATCAGGCCCCGTGCCAGCCCGTGCTCCGCTGTAGAGAATGACAAGTCACACAAATATGACAGTGCTAATGGTAAACAATGACAGTTCTGTCAGGAATCTGAGAGGCTTTTCATACTTCTGCATGTGCCGAAAGAGAAGCAGAGCTATTTTATTTGTGGCATATAAAAATGACGGCATGAACTCTTCACCCCCTTTTTTTTCCCCTTTAAACAAATCAAAATTAGAAGAGTGTTAGCAGCTTTATGGTTTGGGAACAGAAAGCAGGAGGCTTTAGACATGTGAAAATTCTTCTAAAAATTTCCCTAACTAAAAATTCGAACATATAGTAGTTTTAAAAAAATTACTTAAATGACCTTAGATTTGTGATATCTTAACATAAAGCTTTCTTGCATTCTCAAGGGCATGCTAATGTCATCTAGAGGGCATGGAACCAATAGCCACACACCAGAGGCTGTTAGACAGGATACACCCCATGTAAACATAGATGAGGCATGCTCTGACAAGGCTACAGTAGAAGGAGGCCACGTGATCATTGGATCACCCGCAATGTTACATCCATCAGATTTTCCACTGAGTTCGTTCAAAAGTGTGTTATATATTTACGGTGTGGAAAACACTGCCTGAACTATTTGAGACATAAAAAGAATGAGGCAAGAGCTTTGCTTTAAGGAGCTCTGGGTAAAGATGAACACCTGCAATGTCTGCTATACGAAAACACAAAGTACCGTACGATCAAGAGATACAGACAAAGTACTTCGTTTGTTTGGGGTGTCATGCTAGGTATTGCGGGGATAAGAAGACAAAGAAGATAGGGACATACACTGCAGCGAACTCAGAGTCTAAGGAAAGACATAAGACATGTATAGATAAAAGACACTTTTATTAAAAAGAAGAAAGCACAATACAATCAATGAGACACGAAGAGAAAAGAGGAAGCAGTGATACTGATATCAGTAATTATGAAGTGCTTAAACTCTGAGAGCAACCATGTAAGCTGTTGACAGAAATGATCTCATATCTCCCAAACAATGGACTTTATAGATAAGAAAGTTAAAGATGAGAGAGGTGGCTGGCAAGTTATAGAGTGAAGATTCAGGCACACATTTAAGCACAAAGATGTCTTTGTTAACGACCACATAACTATTTGCTTCAGTGAGCTCCTTTTATTTTGTTTGTCTAAAATTTCTTTCCCTTTTTCTGGCGAAAGCCTTTGTGGGGTGTAGCTCTGATGGATGTCAATTATGGTGAGACCCGGTCCTTCTGTATACAAGGGTGGAAACATAACTCAAGCCCCCAAGCCACTGTAATTAGACTGGAAATAATGAAGGGCAAAGCCAAGTCAGTAAAATCCCTTCCTTGCAGCGTTTTATAGTGATGTTGAGAGAAGGATCATCCTTCTTCTCTCCTGGATTTCTATTTGTGATAACATTAGCTAATTCTGCTCTGACACCATATTCCTCCTCCACTTGCCGCATTAAAAAAAAAAAAATCCACAGTAAAACAGAAAGAGGCTACAGTTTGGTGATGGGGTCCACAGTTCAGTTGTGCATGCCTGAGTCTAGTTTCATCTGAGGATTTGGCAATAAATTGATTTGAGTTTAGTGACTCTTATTTGCAACCTGAAAATGTCTAATTAATGAATTCATGCTTAGAGGATGAAAAAAATAGAAGGAAAGTCATATTTGCATGAGAATTCGAAGAATAAATAGTATTCAAATGAGAATTATTCCATTGCAAGACAAGATAAAAGCTATGTGTCAGGCTGACTATATATCCCAGTTTGCCTAGAAAACATTTGATGTATGTGTTCTACCATAAAGACACAAGCACACTTATGTTCATCTTAGCACTATTTACAATAACAAAGGTATGTAATCAAACTGAATGCCCATCAATGGTAATTTGGATAAAGAAAATATGGTACATATACATCACGGAATACTCTGCAGCTATAAAAATGAACAAGAGCATGTCCTTTGCAGCAACATGGATGGAGCTGGGGGCCATTATCCTAAGTGAATGAATGCAGGGACAGAAAAGCAAATACCATTTGTTCTCACTTATAAGTGGGAACTAAACACTGAATACACATGGGTATTGAGAAGGGAACAACAGACACCAGGACCTACTTGAGGGTGAAAGGTGGGAGCTAAGAGAAGATTGCAAAACTACCTATTGGGTACTGTGCTTATTACCTCGGTAATGAAGTAATCTATACACCAAAACACTGTAACACACAATTTACCCATGTAACAAATTGGCACGTGTTCCCCCAAAACCTAAAATAAAAGCTAAAAAAAGAAAACATTTAATTTCTCCTTATTGTCTCTATCTTTTACTTGTTGTCTCTCTCAATAGTTTCAACCTTTATAATAAATTATATGGTGTAGTCATCCTTTTATATATAAAACTGAAACAAAGAATGCATATATAGTTTTACATATATCTATATGTGTAATTTAGAATTTAGGTCTGAGACAAAGTGGGAAGTCTCTTAACTATTATATTGATTACTTAAATATTATATTAAGGATCTAAGTGTTAGTGTGGATCACAGGAAAGATATAATCATAACCTTTAAAGATATTGTAGCTGGTAGTATTAAATTTCAATTGGTAAAATATGAAACTAAGAAGTTATTGCTGCAACCTCTGTGAGAGATAATTAAGCTCTGAAAAATTGTGGCCCGCGCACACACACACACACGAACAGGACAGTGATTTTTTAATTCAGTGAGGTAAACAGAGTAAGGCCTCCATTTAAATGAGAATGCCAACAGCTAGCAAAATAAAGAACAAAATCAACCTATGCTTTCCTTCACCAGGCAGAGAGGATTGAAGGAGCTGGAAAGAGGTTTTAGACCTTAGTGAATAATCTTGTAAAAAATTAGATTTATATTCAGAAAAGTAAAACATAAATTCTATCAAAAAGTTTGTACAAACCCAAGGAGGTTGGTGAAGACCATGGTTTTCTGGTGATTGGGGCATTATCCAGATTCAATATGTTCTGAATTTATGGGATCATAACTACTTTAAAAGGCACCAGCTCTTATATCTAATATTATTCCCTACTTTAGTTCAAACTCTCATGATCTAGATGGAGCTACTACCAGTGCCTTGGCTGAGTGGGATTGGAGAAAGCTGAAACTGACATAGTAAGAGATAGTATGGAAGGAGAACTAATGGGGTGTGGGCTATTGATGGCTTATGGAGGTCAAAAGAGAAGAAGAAGTTGAGGTAACTTATTTTTGTTCTATACTCTACATGACTTCGTAGATGCCAATGCCTTCAAAACACAGGTTTTAAAAAATAGTGGTAGAAAAAATGATAAAGCTAGTGTCAGCATTTGAGTTTGAGACAATGGTCAAATATTCTAGTGAAGCTTTTCACGTTTTACTTTAAATGTGGATTTAAAACTCAAGAGAATAAAGCTATAGATATAATAACAGAAATGTATCATATTTACAAAGAAAGAGAGAAAGGAAAGCTGATATCACGTCTTTGAGGAAAGGCCTGCATTTCTATGTTAAAAGGACAAAGATGGAGTACCTACAGACACCAAAACAACAATTCAAACAGATGCCATATGATGAAGCTAATAATTGTCATTATTGATAGTGCTCAAGTGGTCTTGCAAGGTAAAGAGGATGAAACAGATTTTATAATTTCAAGATATGTTTGAATAGAAACAATTTAAATAAAACAAAAAGCCTTTTGAGAAGAAATTGATAAATGGAAGGTGGATGAGATTGGGTAACATTGAAAATAGCAAAGTGAACTACAATAGGAAGATGTTTGAGGGTGAAAGGTCAGTAGATAATAATGTAGAAACTCAAAAGAGTATAAAGTTAGTGGGAAGACTTTGTAGAATGTATTAGTCCAGATGGCATAAGTTGTGCGTTATTTTCTATTTAATAAGCACACCACAGAAATATAGCATTTGTAGTTTTGGCTCTTGCAAAATCTGAAGAGAGCTGGGTGACCCCCTAGGGCCTGCTCCATGGAGTGACTCAGAGGGGCAGACATCTTCCAATGACCTCCATCTTGACATCTTTCAATGACCTCCATCTTAAAAGTGGAAGCAGCATAAAGATGTTTGATGAGCAACAAGTGGCCACACAAGTATTGGAGAAAAAAAAAATTAGAATGTGGGGAGAGAGGCAGTAGACACAATAAAAAATTCTATATAACAAATGCTATATCTTTAAGAAATCGAATCTTTCCATTAAATATTTGTTTAAAGTTACAGACTACTTAGATGTTAAAGTATCACTTATCACAAAGATCAGTAACTTATTTCCTCTGTATAGTAGATGCCTCTTCTGTAGAATTAACATTTCACTATAATCTCTAAGATACAGTTCAAGGGCACAATTTTATAATTCAAAGATATTTACGGCATGAAATTGAGTTCTAAAACTCTTGTATCTTTAACAACCATTTTGTAATTAAATAACTGTTGACATTTACAATCATTGAAGAACTATTTGAACTCTGTAGAGTATAGATATTGAAGTACAAAATTAATTATGAGATAATATATGGAGCCTGTCGGCTTTATTTTTTAATAAGTATGTATGTATGCCAATAAAGGCATTTTTGTTTCCTTATGTAAAATGTCCTATCACCCCTCAGCTGATTTTGCTATATCCACAAACACTACAGTTAGCAGTTGAGTTTTCTTATTTGCTTTTTCTTTAAAAATTATTTATAACTTTTGGTTTCTGAAAAAATTGGTAATAAAACAGGCAACGTAGGAAAAAGAATTATCTGGTGGTAGAGCAGACAGAAAAATAAACACTTCAGCATTTATTTTTAATGACCTAGTTAACCCCACTCACTGGATTTATATAGCTGACAGTTTGACCTCTTTTATTGCTGATATGAATTGAAATTTATTCCATGAACTACACGATTGATCATTAAGAAAATAAAGACATGAAAAGTGGCAAGACTTAATCTGATCTCTGTGTATGTGATGCTTATATTAAATCTTCCAAATATATAAAATAAATTCAAATAATTCAATTGTTGTAGACACATTGATTACTTAATTGAATTTATTTATTTATTTATTTAAATCCAGATTACCAAAATTATTACCTAGAAGAAAAAGATATTTTAATCAGAAAAATAAAATACTTTATTATTCTACGTAGGATGAAATTTGGTTCAGAATAACAACAACCATTAAACGGGAAGAATAACAACTTAATTTCAAGTGGAATAAAATTGAGAGTTCTTTCTTCCTTTTTTCTTATTAAGAAGCCATAAGAGATAGTCATATTACTGATTTATGGGTAAATAATTTTCATTTCATACGCTAAGAGATTAATCTGGAGTCAGTTGGCTTTTTATTATTTTTGCGTGCTTTTTAAATCAGATTTTGAAGAAGTAAAAGAAATAAACATCAAAACATAATTAAAATTTTTTATTTATAAAGTGTTGTTGGCTTCTGCCTATTACTTAATATTCATTCGGTATTTGGTTTTAAAGACAGATTCTCTATGATAATAGATTTAAGGAGGGAAGTAATAAGTATGTACTATAAACTTTAATTCTGGATGCATAAAATATATTTTTCATTAATTTTGAAACACTATCTCATTCAACTAAATATCAGAATTGTACACTTATTTTAGTTTTTAAATACAGTTTTCAGGGTCCAGGACCATGGAATTTGATATAAGCATTTAAAAATGTGTTTTTTCTCATGGTGAAAGCAGAGACAAAAGATAATCTGTAAAGGAAAATAATTATATATGTTATTGGTTATCTTTTTGTTTGTTAGTGCATTTTGCTTCATTAATTTGGGAATTATCAATATAAATACAGAACATAGTCTTCACTAGTTCCTATGGGTTTGCATGAATTGTATGACTGGGAAAAATGTAAAATGCAAGCTGCTCTTAATCAGCAAATTTTTCAATAAAATGTCAATGATGAACAACAGAAATTCTCTTCTTACTGGTATACTGGAGTGACTTGTGCTAATGAGTTGGGGATAGCACATAGAATAGTTTAGATTCAAATAGTGCCAGTTGGCTCCTTTAGACTATTAGTAAATGGACAGCCTTTTTTTTTTTTTTTTTTTTTTGAGAGAGAGTCTCACTCTGTCACCCAGGCTGGAGTCCAGTGGCACTATCTCAGCTCACTGCAACCTCTGATTCCTGGATTCAAGCAGTTCTCCTGCCTCAGCCTCCCAAGTAGCTGGGATTGCAGGTGCACGCCACCATGCCCAGCTAATTTTTTAAAATATATTTTTAGTAGAGACGGGGTTTCACCATGTTGGCCAGGATGGTCTCAATGTCCTGACCTACTGATCCACCTGCCTCGGCCTCCCAAAGTGCTGGGATTACAGGCGTGAGCCAGGACAGACTCTTCTTAATGCACCCTTGGCAAATGCCATGTTCAGCCATTTTCAACCGAATTTATTTATTTATTTCTATATGAATGCCCTTAATGGATTGTTTCCCAGACGATATGGTTTGGGGGTCTATTTTCTGCATTGTAATAACCTTTACTACAGTAATTACAAGTTCAAAAACACCAAACATCTAATGAATTTCTCTATGACATTATCTTCCATAATCATATCAATATGGTGCTAATAGCCAGAGGAGACATTTGCACATTCGCCTTTGTTTTTATAAATCTCAAGACAAACAATATTCTTAGGTCAAACCGTATCTCCATCATCTAATGGATGACAAAATGCAAGAATGAACTTTATGACAGATTAGCACCTGAACCGTCTCAGGAGGGAATTTCTCAGGTTGTCAGTACATAGCATTAAAACAGCTGAGTTATAAGTCTGTCAGGTTTCTAGTTATGCTCCTAACGGAGGAAGAATTACTGCAGTGATAGTTACTTATCAAAGTTCTGGCCCCCTTCCCACCTACTTTTGAGCTTCTGAAGACTCATTTCCTAATAGACAAGTTAAGGGCAGTGAGTGTTATTCATAGGCTCACTGTTAGTATTTAAGTGAATTATTTTCATTTAATAGTTTCTTTTAGTTATGTAACCATAATACATAAGGTAATCATTGCATTTCTTACGCTGTGCTGGCATTTTTAATGTAAATTAAGCCTTTGTTTCTAGGGTAATTTATTGAATCACATAGCAGACTCTAAGACTCACTAGTACCTTATGAGCAATTTTAGTTAGTTTTCCCTTTTGTACTTTTTTATGAGAACTGGTTTTATTTCATTTGGGGAAAACATTAAATTTGTCTAGGAGGATTATTAAAATAAAGTGAAATAAGCATTAGATTTAAGATGTGATTTGGACGATCAACCTAGACTGATGTTCATTATGAAAATATGTTCATTACTACATGGAAATTGAGTTTCACTCTCCAAAGATTCAAGATTGATTCCCTAGATAACAGGCTAAATTTAGTGTAAACTCCAATATTGAACCCATCTACTTTTGACCAACTAACTTTTGGCCACATACAAGGAGCTACCTATTACTTTCTTTATGATTATATCTAAATTTGTGTCATTTCTGTTGCTCTACTTTTAAACTATAGATTAATAAAAAAAGGGGAGATGAGATAAATTTAGACTTTTTCTCTTCTATATCTTATCCTTGTGATCTTTTAAGTATTGTAAACTTAGAGAAAAAGTCATTTGTTTAAACCTTTAACTCAGATTTATACAAATCATAATGTAGTCAAGGTCAAAAATTTAATTACACAAATCTTATATACAAAGTTGACATTATTTTTTCTTTCTTTTCTGAAAGTTATTTAATCTTCATTATAAGTTCCCACTTCGTTTAAGTAGAAGGGAAGTTTAGATTTATCCTTTAATTTTTATCTTGGTTTTATCTTGTTAAAAAGCCTCGTTTGGTTAAATTTTCAGCTCATTCTATGTTCAACTTCTAGATAAGAAGATTTTACATTTTCTCATATTCAAGGTGAAACAAGAAAAACCTGATTATATTTCCTGGCAACAAAATAAAGGTAACTAGTCTCAGCTCTCTCCTTTTTGGCTGGTCCTTGCTGTAGAATGGATGTCAGGTTGATTGGTCTCTGTACTGTCATCAACTGAGATTAATGCATTCATCCATCTCTTGCTGTGGCTTCGAAACCACTGCTGCTGAAAGTCGACCAAATCCAATCCAATCCCCAATCTCTGCCAATTGAATGATCCTTTAAAAGCTGCATGTGCCTCATGAGAGCACACAAAATCTTCTTGATTTCCTGAATGCTAAGAACAAGTTGTGGGGTGATTCCATCACCATTTACCTAGTAAATTCTCTCTTTTGCTATACTGTTACCACATATCATGCTGGACATGGCTGAATATGAGACTTCAGCTCGAGAGCTGGTAAAACAAGAAATGCTTTCTTGGATTATTTCTTGCTTCTTTGCGTGTTTCTGTATTTCACCCACTCAGATTTCAACCCTTTCTTCTAAGTCTTTTTTTGCTTTCCACACTCTTCCCTAACCCCCAGGACTGGTACTGGTCCATGGCCTGTTAGGAACTGGGCTGCACAGCAGGAGGTGAGTGGTGGGCAAGTGAGCAAAGCATCATCTGTATTTACAGCTGCTCCTCATTGCTCATATTACCACCTGAGCTCCATCCCATGTCAGATCAGCAGTGGCATTAGCTTCTCACAGGAGCATGAGCCCTGTTGTGAACTGTGTATGTGAGGGGTCTAGGATGTGCACTCTTTATGAGAATCAAATGCCTGATGATTTGAAGTGACACTAGTGCTGGGGAGTGGTGGCAAATCCAGATTAACATTAGTAGAGTGGTTTGACTGCACAGAGACCATAATAAATCAATCGCTTGCAGACTCATCCAAACTCTATCAATGAGTGGAGAGTGACAATTGAGCTGCATCTTGTGGCAGGCTTTATAGTGGCAAGTGAGCTGATGTACTTCGATTGTACAGCTGCATCTGGTGGCCTTAAAAGTTTGTTTGAGACAACTTCAAATCTCCATATGTTCTGGGTTAAAGTCAAGGTGGAATATTCTGAGACTGACACAAAAGCACTGAAAAGCCTGCTTCCATTACTAACATCCTGTCTTTGTGAAACTGGGTTTTCTGCAGTCACAGCAACCACCAAAACAAGATTATGGAGTACACTGAGCATCAACAACACACTTAGGTGTCACTGTCTCCCATCACCCCCAGGTAGGACCGTCTAGTTGCAGGAAAACAAGCTTGGGGCTCTCACTGATTGTACATTAAGGTAAGTTGTATAATTATTTCATTACATATTACAGTGTAATAATGAAGATATAAAGTGCACAATAAATGTATTGTGCTCGAATCATCCTGAAACCGTCACACCCCCGCCCCCAGGTCCAGGAAAAATTGTCTTGCATGAAACCAGTCCCTGGTGCCAAAAAGTTTGGGAACTGCTACTCTAACAGACCAGAATGGGTAGGTTTTCTGTTTCTTCCTTCATATCCTACTAGGACTATATTTTTACTATGATATTTTTATTATGATACTTTTATAATTCCTTGAGTCATCAAGTATCCAGATACAGCTTTATAATATAAGAAAGATTATCGATATCCGATGAAAGTTCTGTCAGTTAAGACCAACACATTTGGTTGACAACGCAGGAAAGTCAGAACCACTGAGATCATGGATTACCATGAAGTAAAGTGAATGTATTTTTGAAATCCTCCCACACATTAAACATTTTATGAAAACTTGAAGGCAATATATTCTGGTTATTTCAGACTAAGTATCTGAACTTAGATCCTATTAAGTCAAACCATGTGGAAAACGACAAGGTTGGACCATAGGAAGTTGTGATTTTTGCATGTCAAAAGTGGAGGAATATTATCAATGTAGGTTCAGTTATTTCAATTCTTCCCTTATCTTGTTTCTGTGAAAACTAATTTTGGGAGTCATTGCCAAATGTGTGAACACAGACGCACACACACACACACACACACCATTCTCTTTGATAGTCAAGTCTTTACATATTACACAAAAAATGTTGATTTATTTCTACATTTTAACATTCCACTTGATAGAAAAGAAATTATCAACTTAAATAATTATATTGTGCTGTCTCCTCATGTTATAATAAAGCCATAACATACATTATAAATATGTATATATAATATATAAATATTCACAAAATAATAATTGCATTTTGTTTAATACGTATCCAAAGAGTGTATTAGGATTACACCTGATTTTTCATCGTGTATTTTGTTTGCCTGGGAGGTTCTATTTGCCATTGGCTTTATTCTTTGCACTATCAAGATATCCAGTTTCAACATTTCTTAAACATTTCAAGCATGCTAAGAAATATATTTTTTCCCAAAAAAAAGTGTAATTTTAATGGCCTCTTTCTAAAATTCAGACTGGCTGCTTTCTAAGTTTGAACCTCACACCAATGTCCTCTGTAAATTTCTCATCATTTGCTTTCTGAATACAGCATCTTATATTCCAGATATCATGTTTTTCTATTTCATAACTACTTGAAGCACATCCTAAAGTAAATTGATAAGAAATGATATGCAGGGTTTAAATTAATGAATCATTGATTACCTAAAATTTAGTTTAATTTAGTGTCAGTAGAGGATTCTAGGTGGAAAGGTATTCTACCTAGTTTTGAAGACATTTTCACTTCGTATCACATCATCCAGCATTGCTAAGAGTCCATTTCCAGTTTCCTTAGCTGTCCTTTTGCAGTGGTCTTGTTTCTCACCCGCTGACACTATGTGTGTTTCCTACGACTCCTGTAACAAAGCACCACAAACTGGGTGGTTCTCGTATTTTACTCAGCTTACTTTTTTAAAAAATGTGTTTGTTTCTTTGTTAGGTTGGTTGGTTTTGCTATTCTGTCGTTTGGGATTTTTATATATTTTTATATTAACCCCTTATCAAATGTACAGTTTGTAAATATTTTCTCCCATTGCATAGGTTGTCTTTTCAGTCTATTGATTTTCTTTGATGTACAGAAATAATTTCTTATTAAATTACACAAACATGCATATATAATTATTTGCATAGAGCACAGTAACTTCTAATTTTCTGCAGATGGCTTATGGTTTTCTGGATTTGATACATAAAGAGGAGATCTTGTAATAATAAATATTTTGAGTCTTATTATGCCTTATGTATGTTAAATTTAATACTTTCTTCCGTAGGAAAAGTGAATGATTAAAGTGTGACTTAAATGTATGTGACTGAGGCAAAGGACATATTGCTAGGTAAATCTTGTAGATGCCAAGAATTGAAGCAGAGGCTTTATAGGTAAACTAGCAGTTGAATTTCTCAAGTTCTCTTGGAAACATTTGTAGAAAAAATATTTTTGAACATTTAACGAAGCAGTATGAGCATACCTAAGTCACTCAGCTGTCTGAGATGATGTTAGAATATTTCTCTCGCTGTAAAGGAAAACGAGCAAGCAGACACTTTCTCTAGCCCATCTTCCCAGCCGCCAGTGTCCAAGACTCTTAATAACCTCTGTTTGATTTGTTACTTGGAGGAGGAATTTGCTCATGTGTCATGACTGTCAGAAGCCCTTTTTGGCAACTGTATCAGTAATTAGCTATGCCTTGTTTGTGCTCAAGGCAAGTGTATCTGTCACATTGATTTTTAAAAGTTCTAGTTTTTATTCTTGTTTTCATTTCAACTCCCATGGTAGCCTCTCAGCATTGTAAAACCAACAGTCACAATATCGATCAAGCTTTCATTGATACTTATATTCTAGAAAATAAGAACCAGCATGCTACGTCACCCTCAGTTAGTATCAAATTTTGAAAAGTTAATATTTAGAATGCAAAGTTAACAGCAAAGTTAATATTTGGAATGATTTGAAAACATTTTTGTAAATTTTTAAATAGCTTTTCCGATTGAGTGAACATAAACTGCCTTGTGTAGAGTTTTCTGAGAATTTTTTCATTGATCAAATATACCCATATATTGTCTACTATAAAACAGTAAGTTAATTAAGAGTTTCTCTTCCATTGGTAAAAAAAAAATGTCGTTTCAGACTTTTACTTGGGTTTTAGAGCAAATTAAAAAATAGACATAAAATGGCATAGATCAGAGATTTTCAAAGTTGAATCATCGACATAATCAAAAGTAACAATAGTTTAAAATGACATTTTTTAGGGGAAAACTTACTGTAACAAAATATTTGTGAAGAAAACAACATCAAAATCAAAGTGAAAATGGAAAGAAGAGTCTCGGATAAAGTATTTGAAGAACTATGTAAAAGGTGATATTCATTATTAACATTTCACAGATATTTAACATATAATTGAGCTACTATGAATTAATGAGAAAGAGACCAAAATTAAAAATCTGCAATGTATATGAACAGGAAATTTAAAAGAAATGTAAATGGTAAGTAAAAGTTAACACGACAGTATGTTCAAACTCATTGATCCTCAATGGAAAGTAATAAAATAACAATAATGTTTTTCTTCTTGCCTTTCAGATTTGCAAACTTTAAATAAGTTTTTAAAAGATCATCAGCAATTCTGGCTATGATGTAAATAATTTCACAATATCATCAATTGTTAGTGAGATTTTCATTTTATCAACTTTGAATAGAGCTGTAAAAATATCTCCCTGAATAGATCTTACATTAAAAGAAAAAATTATATTATGTTTACTACTGTACTGTTGTACTAACTAGAATAGTGACTAACTGGCACATTGTTGATTCTCATATTTAACCAATTCAATTAATTATTAATTGTACATATCCTCTGACCTAATTATCTCACTTCTAAAACCAATCCTATAAAAAGCATAACATGAGTGATTAGAAGTGTATGAGGATATCCATTGTAATACTACATTTTGGAAAGAAAAGCCATGTAAATGTGAGTCAATTTTAAAAAAAGAAGGAAGTAGATTTGAAAGATATATATGATTTGGAAAGATATATAAAATATTACATTAAAAACAAAGCAAATTGTAAATTATGTGTAGTGTGGTCAAAGATTCTCTAACCTGTTCAGGCTCATTACCTAGGAGGTTTGACAAATCTGTTGGTGCATTTTAAAATTTGAGGAAGTACTAAAACCAGACACATAAAATATTAAACAGATGAAAACACGTATGAATGAATTATTAACTTTGAAAAAATACCTATGAAAGGAAACATTTTAATACTTATTACACATCACTTGACTTACTAGTGAAAATATGCAGTCATCAAACATAAATGCTTGCTATTTATGTAAAAATCTTTTTTTTTTTTTGGGTTCAAGTGATTCTCCTGCCTCAGCCTCCTGAGTAGCTGGAATTACGGGCACACACCACAACCGTTTTGTAGAGATGGGATTTCACCATGTTGGTCAGGCTGGTCTCAAACTCCTAACCTTGTGATCCGCCTGCCTCAGCCTCCCAAAAAATCCTCATTTTTAAAAAATGAGTTGTGGCAGGCAGGGTATGGTGCATGTGGAGGAGACTAAATACTCAGCTACAATAACAGGCAGCAAAGAGCTCTTGTGTATATTTAATCAAGAACTTCCTACCTAAGTATATTACTAAGAAAAATACAAGTAAATACCAAAGGAAATCTTTAAAAGAAAAGAAAGGCTCCAGTGGAATGAAATTGGACAGGGTTGTGCCATTTCTATTTTAAATATTTTGAACTAGCAATCTTAAGATTTTTATCAGTTTGAAACGTAAGTAATCTTTCCGTTTCTGTATTTATTTGTTTAGTTTGCCTTTTTGATAGGGCAAGGTAAGAAGTTTTTAACAGTTCATCAAAAGATCCAAATTACTGACCTGTTTGCAGTGTGTTCCTTTTTTCTTTTTTATAAGTTTTACCCATGAAAAGAGAAGTTGGTAATTTTTTGAAGCTAGGGAGAAAGATATAAAGAAAAAAGATTACAGAAAGGGGGATAAATACTATTGTATGTGGTTGGAAATATCAAAACACTGAAAACTACGTCTCTTGAAGTAAAAAAAAAAAACTATTGATTTTAATGGCTAGCACATTTAAATACAATATTTTATTACCATGACCTGAGAAAAATTAATTGCTCAGTTTTCTATGTGGATTTTAGTCTTCTGTTACATTAAAATATATGCTGGCAATAGTTTGGGTACTAAGTGCGCAACCTCTTATCCAAAAAGCAGGAAGTTCTCACTTTAGTTTATCAGCAAAAAATAAAAAAAGTGATTTCTGTGCCAAAATATTTTATTCTAAAGGTAAGTTACACTTTCAACCAGAATACATATAATACTAATCAGGAAAAATCTTATTTTTAGCATGTATTTTAAGAATAACTTCTTATGAGCGTCATAAACTTGCAAGATTTTATTAATCAATTTGAAAATCAGTTAAATATCTGTTAAAGTGGAACTATACAAGTAAAATTTGAACTGATCATTTTATTTCAGATGATCATTCCTTCATAATTTAGCATGTAATTGTATCTAGACAAATAAAATATAATAATGCCTCTGATGCATTAAAAATACAACAATGACAAAATTGTGATTTGGCCTTAACAATGGACAGGGATATAAAATCAATTATAACAAATTCTCAAGAATGCTCTGAAATAATTATATTAATTTGTCTGGTAATATTAAACAAAAATAATCAAACATTTATTTTATTTTCTAGGGTATTTATACCATACTAATTTTTATTTTTGTTTCAAATTAAAGGAACCAAAAAGACAGTCCCATCCAAATCATAATCAATTCATGCTGACTTCATGGCATCAACATTAGCCAGCCACACCATATGCCTGGCTGTAAAATGGAGTAATTAGTATGTGCCCCTGAATAGTAGATTGCTATTTGATTAGTATATTAATACACATTAATGGAGAATCACAGAAATCTGCAGATGTGTCTGTTTTTTCGGTATGCCCCAGGAACAATGAGATCTAAATGTTCCCTCTGTGGGCACCGGCTGAGCTCTGCCCTGTGTTGCTTTCCACTGTGACAGGGCAGCACTGACTTCCAATGCCAAGTCTCACAGTCACTGTTCTCTCTCTACAAACCCACAGATTCTTTCTCCTTACCACATAGCCACTGCCAGCTGAGTGAAGAGCCCTTCGGTCTTGAGTGATCATTGGCAGTAGCCAGGCAGTACTCTCCATGGGCCTGGGCAATGGTAGCCATGAGGGGAGGCTCCTTCTCCTTGAAGAAAGGAGAAGGAAGAGTGTGAAGGACTTAGTCTTGTGGCTTGGATACCAGTTCAGTTGTAGTAGAATAGAGCACCAAGTAGATTCCTAAGTTTTCTGACTGTAGGCTTGACTCCAGGGGGGCATTTCTCGACCTGCCTTGGGGTGGTGGTGTGCTCACAGTCATGAAGGGAAGGCCACAAGGCCTGGCCAGATTCACAACCTGCTGATTGTAGAGCACATGGGCCTGGAAGAAATACTGGTGGTAGCCAGGCAGAGGTCACTGTAAGCCTGGGGCAAGACTCAACGCTGTGCTGGCTTTGGGTCTGAGCCAGTGCAGTCATGTGGTAGTGGCCCCAGGGGTGCTTGTGCCACCCTTCCCTCATTTCCAGGAGGCTCAGTACAGAGAAATATATTCCATTTATTTGGGGGAAAGTAAGGGAAGAGCACAGGAGTCTCTGCTTGGTAGTACAGGGAACTCATCTGGATCTTACCTAAGACCAGCAAGGCAGCATCTCTATGAGTCTGTAAGAGTCAAGACAGGGAATTAAAAATAGCTGCTTGGAGGAAACTCAATGGCATTCCAGATAACACAGAGAAGGAATTTACAATCCTATCAGGTTAATTTCACCAAACCAAGTGATCAAAATAATTAACAAGAATCAAGCCGATATTCTGGAAATAAAAAATTCAATTTATATACCAAAGAATTCATCCGAGTCTCTCAACAGCAGAATTGATCAAGCAGAAGAAAAAATAAGTGAGCTTGAAGACAAGCTATTTGAAAATACATATAGGAGACAAAAGAAAAAAATAGACAAGAATGAAGCACAATACAAGATCCAGAAAATAGCTGCTAAAGGACGAATCTAAGAGTTATTAGCCTTAAAGAGGAGGTAGAGAGAGAGAGATCAGGATAGAAAGTTTATTCAAAGGGAAAATAACAGAGGACTTTACAAACCTAGAGAAAAAATTTGATATTCAAATACAAGAAGGTTATAAAGACCAAGCAGATTTAACCCAAATAAGACTGCCCGAAGACTTTTAATAATCAAACTCCCAAATTGAAGGATAAAGAAATAATCTTAAAGAAGCTAGAGAAAAGAAACAAGTAACATACAAAGGAGCTCCAGTATGTCTGGCAGCAGACTTCTCAGTGGAAGCCTTACAGGCTGGGATGAAGTGGCATGACATGTTTAAAGTGCTGAAGGAAAGAAAACCTTTTATTCTAAAATAGTATAGCCAGCAAAAATATCCTCTAAATATGAAGGATATATACTTTCTCAGGAAAAACAAAAGTTGAGAAACTTTATCAACACCACACTTGTCCTACAAAAAATGCTGAAATAATTTCTTCAAACTGAAAGAAAAGAATGTTAATGAGCAATAAGAAATCACTTGAAGGTATAAAACTCACTGGTAACAGTAAGTACATGGGCAAATACAGAATATTATAATACTGTAATTGTGATGTGTAAACTACTCATATCTTGAGTAGAAAGACTAAAATATGAACCTCTCAAAATTAAAAACTATAACACCTTTTCAAGACATAGTATGATTTAAATAGAAACAGCAAAATGTTAAAAAGAACGGGAGAAAAAGTTAGAGTGTAGAGTTTTTATTAGTTATGTCTTTGTTGTTTTTGTAATCAGTTTAGAATAATGGGTTATAAGACACTATTTGCAAGTCTCACGGTAACCTCAAATTATGAAACCTACAACAGATCCACTAAAGTAAAATAATAAGAGCCCACATGTAAAAGTTCAAATAAACAATGTAACTATGTATTTTAAACTATGCATTTTAAGAAACTAGAAAAGCAAGGATCAACGCAAAATTACCAAACCCAAAATTAGTAGAAGAAAAGAAATAATAAAGATCAGAGCAGAAGTACATGAAATCGAAACAAAAAATACAAAGGATCAATAAAATGAAGATATGGTTTATTCAAAAGATAAAGTTGGCAAACCTTTAGCCCGATTAAGAATGAAAGAGAGAATACCCAACAAAATCAGAGATGAAAAGTAGACATTACACTGATACTGCAGAAATTCACAGGATCATTAGAGACTATGAGCAACTACATGCCAGTAAATTGGAAAACTTAGAAGAAATGAATAAATTACTGGATACATACAACCTACCAAGATTGAACCATGAAGGAATGCACACCCATAATAGACAAGTAACAAGTAATGTGACTGAAGTCATAATGAAAATTATCCTGGACAATGACAACAAAAAACCCCATAGCTTCACTCTAAATATGAACAAACACTTACAGAAGAACTAAAACCAATTCTACTCAAACTATTTTGATGAGTAAAAAGGTGAGAATACCTCCAAACTCATTCTGCAAAGCCAGTATTACCTTGAGACTCAAACCAGGCAAAGACACACACAAAAAGAAAATTACAGGCCAATATACCTGATGAACATTGAAGCAAAAATTCTCAACAACATACAAGCAAACTCAACTCAGCAGCACGTGAAAAAGATCATTCATCACGACCGAGTGGGATTTATCTCAGGGATGCAAGGATGGTATAACATATACAAATGAATCAATGTGATGTACCATGTCAACAGAAGAAAGGACAAAAACCACATGATCATTTAAATTGATGCTGAAAAAGCATTTGCTGAAATTCAACATTTTCCTTCACGATAAAAACATTCAGTAAAACTGGGTATAGAAGGAACATACCTCAATACAAAAAAAAAAAAAACCCATGTATGATTGACCTATAGCTAGAATCACACTGAATGGGGAAAAATGAAAACCTTTCCTCTAAGATCTGGAACAAGACAAGGATGCATAAGCTCACCGTGTTTTTCAGCATAGTACTGGAAGTCCTAGCTAGAGCAATTAGGCAAGGGAAAGAAATAACAGGAGTCTAAATTGGAAAGGAAGAAGTCAGTTGATTCTTGTTTGTAGATGATATGATCTTATATTTTGAAAAACCTAAAGATTCCACCAAAAAACACTATTAGAACTTACAAATAGATTCAGTAAAGTCTCTATCAGAGAAAGTTCTCTTTCCTACTTTTAGTTTAGTGAGAGGCTTTATCAGTTTTAGTGAATTCTATCAATGTTTCTTCTGTGTCCACTGGGAAAATCTTATATTATTTTTTCTTTTCAATTCATTAATATACTACTGCTGATTTGTTTTTAACTGTTAAAGCAACCTTGCAATCCTTAGATAAAATCTCTTCGGTCGCAAACTCTGAATTTTACATATTAAAAGTATGTATTGGTAAAAGTCATATATTCAGAATACATATGACTATATTCATGAATATTAGTGTCAGAATTTTTTCCTTACAGTAACTTTAGTACCAGGTGAATGCTGGACACACAAGTTGGGTAGGAGAGTATGCCTCCTTTCACATTTTCCAGAATAATATGTGTGGAATTGATATTATTTCTTCCTTAAATGATTGGTAGATTCACCAGTGAAGTAATATGGAAAAGAATTTCCTTGGTGAGAATAATTTTAATTAAAAATTCAATTACTTTAGTAGACATAGAGATATTCTGGTTATTTATTTTTCGAGTGAACTTTGGTAGTTTTTGTCATACACCAATCTACCCCTTTAATTGAAGTTGTCAAATTTGTTTGCATAAAGTTGTTCTTTCTACACTTAGTGTTATCTCATTTATTCTATTTTATTTGAGCTTAATATATTTTTTCTTTTCTAGTTTCTGAAAGTGGAACATTGACGTGAGACCATTTTTTTCTATTCTTACAAAGTCAATAGTGATAGGTTTCCTTTTAGGCAATACTTACTGAAACAGGAAAATTTTGATATATTTATTTTTATTTTGATTCCATTCAAAATACTTTCTAATTTCACTTCTTTCTTTGTAGACCAAAGGTGTATTTAGATAGAAATGTGCAATTTATATTCCAAATACTTATAAACTTTTATCTTTACATCTTTGATTTCTAATTTCAATCTACTGCATTCTGCATACATGCTTAATATTATGTGAATGCTGTTAAATATATTGAAACTTGTTTTATAACCTTGAATATAGCTTATATTGGCAAATACATTGTATTTTCTTGAAAAAATATGAACTGGAGTGTTGCTATAGCATTTTTGAATAAATACAAGTTAGGTCAAATTGGTTGAGAGTATTTTCGGTCTTTTATATTTTTAATGATGTATGATTAGTTTGTTATACAAATTATGGTGAAGGAATGTTAAAATCTTTAGGAATTATCATGGATTTTCTATTTTTCCATGCAGTTCTATCAGTTTCTGCTTTAATATTTGTATTGACTTTATTGAGATAACAATTCACGTTTCATAAAGTTTACCCAATTATAGAGTATAATGCAAAATTTTTCGTATATTAACCGAGTTGTGCAATATTATTACAATATATTAGAAGGTTTCCCTAGCTGTAAAAAGGAACTCTATGCTTACTAGCAGTCAGTCCGCAACCCCAAGCCTGATCCCCAGACCTACAACCACCAGTCTTCTTTCTGTCTCTATAGATTTGCATATATTAGACATTTCATACAAGTGGATCATGCAACATGTGTTATTTGAAACTGCCTTATTTCACCTTGCACAATGTTCTCAAAGTTTATCCATGTTGTTGCATGCATCCACATGTCAATATTCTATAGTGTAAATATCTCATGCTTTGTTTGTTCATTTGACCGTTAATGTATATTTGATTTACTTCCACTTTTGGGGTTATCATGAATAATGATGCTATGAACATGCATACATGGTTTTGTGTGGATATATTTTTTTGTTGATGGATATCTTCAAGTGATATTGCTAGGTTATATATATGATAACTGTATTTATTATTTTGAGAAATTGCCAGATATTTTCCAAAGTAACTTCAGCACTTAACATTCCTAACAGCATTGTATAAGGTTTCTAATTTCTTCATGTTAGTCAATACTTTTTATTGTCCATTTTCAAAAAAAACATTTTATCCATCCAATTGACTATAAAGTTATATCACAGTGTGATTTTGATTTATATTTTTGTATTAGCTAATGATGTTAAACCAATTTTCTTGTGTTTATTAGTCATTTACGTATCTTATTTGGTGAAATATTTATTTAAATGTTATTTTAATTGAGTTGTTTTTGATATTGAGTTCTAAAACTTTTTACATATTCTGCATAGAAGTCCCTTATCAGATAAAAGATTTGCCAATATTTTCTTATTTTAATGGTTGTCATTTTACTTTCTTGTTGTTATCATTTGTAATACAGAAGTTTTAAATTGGATGAAGCCCAATTTATCTATTTTATCATTTGGCATTTGTGCTTTTGGAATCAAATCTAAGGAAACTTAGCCTAATTCAGGCTCATAAAGATTTATTTTTATTTTTTCTTCTAAAAGTTTTTTTTAGTTTAGCTTGCATATTTATGTTTATGATCAATATTCAGTTAAGTTCGTGTATCTTGTAAAGTGGAGGTCCAAATTCATTCTTTTTCATGTGGATGTCCAGTTGGTTGGCACTAATTTTGAAAAGTCTGTGCTTTCCCAATTGAATTATCTTAGTACCCTGTCAACTCCAATTGACCATAAATGCTATGTTTTATTACAGCACTTTCCATTCTATTCTATTGATCTATACGTCTTACTTTATGCAATACCACATGGTCTTGATTACTGTATTTTTATTATTAAATTTAAAATTAGGAAATGTGGGTCCTGTAAATTTGTTCTTTATTTTAAAATTATTTCGCTATCACAGGTCCCTTGTAATTCCACGTGTTTTAGCATTAACTCTTCAATTTCTACAAAAGAGCAAGCTGTGATTTTGAAAGGAATTGCATCGAATCATGAATCACTTTGGGGATTATTACTATCTTGACAATATTAAATCTTCCTATTCATGAACATTAAATATATTTTCTTTCCAGGTAGAGAGATATTATTGCATACCTTTCAAGAATATATAGTAGTTTCCAGTGTACAATAATTTTACATCTTTTGTTAAATTTATTTCTGAGTGCTTTTTAAAATGTTTTATTAAATGAAATAATTTCTTAACTTTGTTTTCAAATAGTTTATGTGTAGTGCATAGTAATACAATTGGTTTTATGTTAATATTACATTCTACAACCTACCTCAATTTACCTATTAGGAAAATAGATTTTTAGTAGATTTTTTATGTTTATCTTTGTACAAGGCCATATCCTGAGAAATATAGTCAGTTTTGCTTCTCTCTTTAAATCCGAATAATTTTGTTTCTTTTTCTTGCCTGATTTCCCTGGACAGAACCTCCAATACAATGTTGCATGCAGTGTTGAGAACACGCTTTCCTGTCTTGTTCCTTGCCTTAATAAAGCCTTCAGATTTTTACCATTAAGTGCTTCATCCCTAAATATTTGGACTTTCCGTGGATGGCCTTTATCAGGTTGATGAAGTTCCCTCTATTCCTTTTTCTACAAAGGTAGAAGAATCTGACATATGAAGTTTTAGTCTTAACCACTCAAAAACACAGATATACTGCAATTAGAATTGGTCATTTGAAAACGTAAAAGTATACACATTATAAAAAAAATTTAAAAAGAAAACACCTAATTTTTGTAGCTCATAGAAATAATACTGTTTAGTAACAACATAATCAATTTAATAAAATAATAAGATTTAATTATTAATTTAAGTTGATTAAATTAACATCAATATGTGAAAATAAATAATTATAATAAGATGATTCCAAAATGCAAATTCAGTGAGTCAAAAATAGCCATGAAATTCCTAAATGGAACAACAAATCTGTAGTATGCTTCGAGATATAAAAAGTTATTTTTACATTTATAATAATTAAGGTAGTGTGATATTGTAACACGAATACACAAACCGATCTAGACACAGAACAGACACAAACAAATAGACACAGAATAGAACCCGGAACCGCAGCCATTCAGATATATTGATAAGATTCACCTGAGTTTTATTTAAGATAGCCCTTCAACACAGTGGAGAAAGTATGGTCTTTCATGTAAATGGTGCTGAATCACGCAGATATGCTACAAATCTCACATGACGATAATTTCAAGATGGCATACAGTTACTTATGTGAAAGGTAAACCCATGACAAAAATGGGGTAGATTTTCCAGTCCTGAAGCTAGCAAATCTTTCTTCAATTGGACCTCAAAATCAATAACTGCAAAGAAAGACATGATGAATTGAACGATATTAAATGTCAAAAAAGTATATTCATTAGAAAGCAACGACAGATTGGAGAATCAACACACAGTGAATGAAAATGCATTTATTCAACAAATGCAGATGCCCAGAATACATAGGTAAATTCTACAAATAACTTTTTAAAAGGCAGACAAACCTAATAGAAAAATATCAAAAGGCTTAAAGAGACACTTTGGAAAAGATATCCATGTAATCAACACACCTATGAAAGTAGATTCTTATCACTGATCTATAAATTAAAGTTCCTATACAATAATATAACACCAAATCGCTAATAAAAATGGTAACAATAACAACAAATTTAACAATATTTTTAAAATAAGAAAATTTAAAAATTCTCTTATCAATAATTTTTATTCTGAGAAACTAGAAAAGACGAAATGTCTTTAATCAAACATGATCTAGTGTTATCCAAAAGCCAAGAACAGTCATAGGCTGTCTCCTTTAACTGTCTTAACAACCCTGTGAGACAGGTATATTACTCCAATTCTCCAATTTTATATCAAAGGAACTAGGATTATTTTAACTTTGATTTTAGGTTCAGAAGTACATGTGCAGGTTTGTTAAGCAGGTATACAGATTATTTTGCCACTCAGGTAATAAGCATAGTACCTAACAGTTTGTGGAACTTCACCCTCCTCCCACCCTCCACCCTCAAGTAGGCCTAGGTGTCTGTTGTTACCCTTCGTGTTCATACGTTCTTGATGTTTAGATCCCACTTATAAGTGGGAATACGCAGTATTTGCTTTTCTGTTCCTGTGTGAGTTCACTTAGAATAATGGCCTCCAGCTCCATCCGTGTTTCTGCAAAGCTTATACATTTAAGTCTTTAGTCTATCTTGAGTTAATTTTTGTATAAGGTGTAAGGAAGGGGTTCAGTTTCTGTTTTCTGCATATGGCTAGCCAGTTTTCCCAGCACCATTGATTAAATAGGGAATCCTTTCCCCATTGCTTGTTTTTGTCTGATTTGTCAAAGATCAGATGGTTGTAGATGTGTGGTGTTATTTCTGAGGTCTCTGTTCTGTTCCATTGGTCTATATGTCTGTTTTGGTACCAGTACCATGCTGTTATGGTTGCTGTAGCTTTGTAGTATAAACATGGCTGAAAAGAATATGGTTTCATTATTTTTTATGGTTGTGTAGCATTCTATGCTGTATATGCACCATATTTTCTTTATCTTGTCTACCGCTGATTGGCATTTAGGCTGATTCCATGTATTTGCTATTGTGAATAGTGCTGTGATGAACATACAACTGCCTGTGTCCTTATGGTAGAATGATTTCTATTCCTTTGAGTGTATAACCAATAATGGGATTGCTTTTGATTTGCATTTCTCTAATTATTAGTGAGCATTTTTTCCTATTCTTATTGGCTGGGTGCATGTTTTCTTTTGAAAAAGCACAATACAAAATGTTAAGGCTGTGGAAAAACTGAAAGTCTCTGATACTGCAGCTTGAAATACTATTTGGTAAAACCAACTTCGGGTTACTCTGGAAAACACTCTGGCTCTGTCTAAAGCATCTGAGTTTCCATTGCTTTCAGTTTTAGATATAAAACTAGAGAAATCCATACATATGTGTACCAAAGACACACACTAGAATGTTTACATTGGTGATAATCATGATGGCGAAAAATAGAAACTGCCCGAATGTCCACCATCAGTATGATGGCTTTTTTTTTTTTTTTTTTTTTTTTTTTGAGACGGAGTCTCGCTCTGTCACCCAGGCTAGAGTGCAGTGGCGCGATCTGGGCTCACTGCAAGCTCCGCCTCCCGGGTTCACGCCATTCTCCTGCCTCAGCCTCCCGAGAAGCTGGGACTACAGGCGCCCATCACCACGCCCGGCTAATTTTTTGTATTTTTAGTAGAGATGGGGTTTCACCGTGTTAGCCAGGATGATCTCGATCTCCTGACCTCGTGATCCGCCTGCCTCGGCCTCCCGAAGTGCTGGGATTACAGGCGTGAGCCACCGCGCCCGGCCTATAATGGCATATTTACATTACGGGGTGTGTGATGACAGTGAGAATAAGCAATCTATAACTATCACACCAATATGGGTGAAGCCAGATACAAAAGAGCATATACTGCGGGATTGTATTGCATAATTAACAAACCCAAGCAAAACTACTCTCTGCTGGTGAACCTCAGACAGAGGAATATTGATTAGAAGAGGGCACAAAGGGCCACCTGAGTACTAGATATATTCTATGTCTTGGTTATCTGGGGATGGTTATATAGATGTGTTTTATTCATGAGCATTCATGAAGATGTACAATTGTAACTTGTGCTTTTTTTCTGCACATACCGTATTTTAGCAAAAATAAATTTAAAACAGGAACGAAGTAGGAAACAAAGTTATTCTGAAGAATGTGCAAGACAGTGACCTATCCCCATTATACTTAATTGCTCAAAAGAATGGTTGAGAATGCATTTTGCTGACTCTTTTTTGGACCATTCTAGTAGGCAGATGTTATTGCACACCCCAGAGGAAATTTGGTTTGTGGTTCTCTGACTTACATAGTTCTGTAGTTTTAAAGCCATGCAGTCAAGTTGTCTACTGGGTTGAGTTTGTTTCAAGACATTCATTTTGAGTGAGAAAGAAAATTCTTATGTTAAATAATAATAGAATTCTCAGAGATAATCATGGTTTTTTTTTGGCAAAAGATTTGACCTTCGTTGTATGGGAAACAGATTGTATCCATCACTTCTCTTCTCAGTTTTTAAAAGCAAAAGATGAAAAAGTAGATAATCTCATTAACAAAATGAAAAAAAAAAGAAGTAATAAAAAAGAGGCATGTACAAGTGCCACTGGAGATTGTTTATCTGATTTGTGTCTCAGTAAAAGCTGTTACCATATGCCTGACAGGAATATCAGCCGTGAAGATATTGTTGATTAGGATTAGGATAAAGTCAATTAAAAACGAAAACGGATTTACTGACAAAAATGATCAAGAACTGTGTTCCCAATCATAGACTCAGATAATCTCAGAGTCTCATAGTCACTCCAGTCACTTTGTCACGTATATACTTGATAAACAGGTTGTGAAAGCTTTCTGTATAAAGCATAGTGGCATTTGGAGGTTAACATTCATATACATATTTATAATAATGGTCTATTTATTCAAAACCCATTCTGGATACTAGCATTTTCTCACATTGCAGTTTTTTTTATCCTTGGCAAGGCATTGGGTTCATTTACCTTTATAAATAATTATGGTTTAATGTTTAGAAATAGAGGTATAACTTCTTGACTTATGGTATTCTATGAAATAACAAGAAAGAAGAAACCAAATACAATTTGTATATGTGTGTGTGTGTGTATGTGTGTGTGTGTGTGTGTGTGTATTTAGAGAGAGAGAGAGAGAAAGAAGAACAAAGTAAATTGCTCATCATTTCCATTATTTATCACTTTCCAAATAGAGCTCATTTTGGAAAGATAAAGGAAGTAATAGGAGCTATTTTCAGACCATATGGAACTGCATAATGTATTGGGGTTGTCGCCAGATTCAAGCAAAGTGGTTGCATTTTACAAGCTGGAGAGTCCCTTTCACAAGTAGGATTACAGAATAATTATGCTCATCTTTAGATGTTTCTGAGAGTTTTCATTGGGTCTATATATGATGATAGAAAAGTAGGATGATGATAATCTTTTCCCAAGTTTTAAATACATTATGTGTTTCTGCCTTTTTATTTTTGTTTAAAGATTGTTATGCCAGGCTGTGATATGTTTCCATTTGGTTAAGTCAATAAGGACATTCAATTTTTTCAAGATCATGTGCTTCACAACTTCCAAATCTTATTTTTCAAGAGGAGTTATTTCCTGGATTGGTGGATATTTAAGCTATGCATGAAACAACAACAAACAGAAGTTTTTGTTCTTCTTTCTTTGATACACAAAAGCTCTCTGATAGTCCCCGATTTATTTATTTTCAGTGGACTTGGCTAAACTGTCATGGGCTGAGTTGTACATTCTCCATTCATATGTTGAAATCCTAACACCCAGCACCTCAAAATGTTACTGAATTTAAAGATAGGGCCATTTGAATGGGGTCCTAATCCAATGTGACTCATGTCCTTATAAAAAGAGGAGTCTAAAACACTCAGAGAGACACCAGCGATTCATGTACACAAAGGAAAGACCATGTGATGACACAATAAACCAAAGAGAGAGGCCTCAGAAGAAACTAAACCTGCAGACATTTTATTTCCATGGTTTAAGCCACCAAGTCTGCAATCCTTTCTTATGACAATCCTTGTAAACTAATACACAAACTAACCAGCCTTCGACAACTAAGCAGCCTGCATAGATTAATTGGGCTAGTTCCATTTCTTAATTAGCAAGTTAGGAAACAATATGATTTAGGTTTCTGAGAAGGCTAAGAAGGAATTCTCCTGTGATAAGGATTTTATAAATGTAAGGTCCGTAAGTAAGTATGATGAAATGACGACATTTTGTCTGACCCAAGACCTCCTTCTACTCTATTTAGAAGGCATAGGCAGGGTAAACGTTAGCATCTAAATTTTCTGACATTTTAACATTTATTACTTCTGAATATACCACATCTGCAAACCCAGGGGCATTAGAACGACTAAATGCAATATCTGTTCAACACGCAGATAGGAGCTACATCAGCAAGTGCAGATTTGATGATAAACTTTTTCGTTATTTGTTTCTGGTGCCAAATTGGGAGTGAAGATTTTAGTTGGGGCTCTGTTCCAAAGGTTAGGCCGTGAATTGAACTGCTGCTTTTCTTCACCAATATTAGAGATATCAGTTAAATTAAAATTCAAAACAAACTTGCTAGAGAAATTAAAGAAAATGTTAATATTTCCAAAAAGTTCAAAATGAACGTTCAGGGTTTGAGTTTTATATATATACATAGAGATTAAAATATAATTATACCACTTCTGCTTTTGGATATTGTGCTGGGAATAACCTTTCCTCTGTCTTTCCTCTCCATGTGCTCCTCATTTGCAGCCACCCGAATGAGATTGATGCTCTATGCCTGAATGCTCAGGCTGTACCTAGATTCTCCACACTCTAGAAGAATGCTCTGTAACTAGCAGTTGTCTTCTGTGTTTCTAAGCTATCAAACTGTGCAAAGTCAACAAAATTCCACTGTTTTGAAGAATTAATACAGTTTTTAGCAGCCCTCTACCTACTCTAGGTTAAATACAATGTCTAGGGAAACACTATAATAACATATAAATTGACCATTATTACTGATTTTTAGGGACTATCCATATTCTCAGTGTAATTTCTGACCTGTAATATCCTATATGAAACTGGACTCAACTATTAGATAAAGAAAGACCCTATCCTCCAACTGGTACTCACTCAGACACTGAGCAAAAGGACATTTCAGGTCACTCGGCCCCTTGTACTGATATTTCATCTTTGCAGATAATATTAACTGTATGACTCTATCATGGAATGCTAAGAAAGAAATAATTATATTTTACAAAATATTTTCTATTAAAGTTATTTCATTTTATGCTTTACCAGCTCCAATAAGAAAGCATGATATGATATTTTCATAGGATTATGGACTTGGAAGATTCCTTATTGCATCAGCGGGTTTATAATGATTGCTAATAATTTCATATACCATAAATCTGGCAATTATTAATCTTCAAAGGCACTTCAGGTAAAATCTTTAAAAAATGTATTATTCAAATTTTATGACATAACTTTATTAAAACTTTACCAAAATTTGCTGTTCTCCAAAGAATTCATAGAAACTTTGAAAGAATTAATGGAAGAATGAATGCAAAAATATAGAGTTCTACATGTATTTGTCGTTGTGGGCAATGCTTTCTTGCTGTTCTATAGCTGTTCTAGTTGGTGTCTACCCTGGCTGTAGATTCAGAGAAGAAAAAAATTTGAGGAGAAGTAAAACGGAGCATCTCTCTGAGAGTCTTCTACAAGTTTTTATTCCTCCGCTTTTTTGTGTTTTGTTTTGTTTTTGTTTTATCGTATCTCCTATCAGATGAATTGAATACAGGTTGGAGAATAATACATCTCTTCTCTTGGTAAGACTATAGTAGAAAATAGAAAATTAGATATATTATTTGTCCAAACGTCTGCTTTTGTTTTTGAAGAAAAACAACAATAGCAGAGGAATCATTCAAAACTTTTATTCTTTGGCAACTGCACTGATTATCTTACTTTGCTCAAAGGTTAACACTTGATTTAAGGAGCTTTTGCTCCTAAGTGGAAGAGTAAGAATGTCTTTTAATTTCATTACTAGTATGATATTTACATTATTAACAGACTTAAACTTAGACAATATTATTTTCATATGATGAAACAATTATACATAAAAGAGCAAGCAACTCTTGTTTTTTCTGTTAGAAAAGTCACCATGATCCAGAAATAATAGAAATGAATAGTATAAATTTTCCCTTAAACATAGATCTTTATTCACTTCTTGTATTTGAAATACTTCACCTTTTCCTCAACTTCTTATCCAACAATAAAGTGTTTCTGTTTGAGGAGAATTGCCAGTCTGAAGATATTGTGGGTAATACCTAACTTGCTTTGATTTATGTTTACAAGAGTGTCTCTGTTGCAGACCTTACTTTTCTGCTAGTGTTTAATACATTGTTGACATTTATTGGAGTTAGAAAAATTATTTAATAATATTTATGTTTCAACTTTCAATGCATTTTTATTTTTCATGTTTCTTGTTTCAATAAATAAACTCAGTGATAAGGTTGAGTAAACTCAGAGCAAAGATGTCTTCACTTCGAGAATCAAGAGAAGCAGTTTGCTTTAAAACACAATGCCTTTGTTTTATGACCCTATTAGTTTATTACTTAAATCAGTTACTATAAAATGCAAGACCACTGGGGAAACTTACAGGTCATCTATTCCTGTAATTTCTTGTTGAATGTAAGAAGTGCTGATATACCTGTGTGTATTAAGATTAAATTGTTTTCTGTAAATTCAACAATTATAACAAAATTAACTAATATTTATACATTTCTGTTTCAATAAATTTTCATAAAGATATTTTGTTTCAGTATTTCTTCATGGTAGTAAAAACTTAAAATATGTTTTACTATTTTATTAAAATTGTAAAACACACACATCAATCACTTTTTAATCAACTCTAATTTGGCTACATTCTCAAGTTATTTCCTAGGAGCCCCTCCCTACTGCCTCTCTCTGATGGATTGATATCTGTTTGGAACTATTCATTAGCTCCTAGTCATTCAGTAATGTAGACCTTCTTTTTATTTTCTGGTAGAAGTAAAAAAGAAAACATTTACTGTATTAAAAAAACCCATGAAGTAAACTCCACACAATTTTTTGAAGGTCTTTGACCATACTACTTGCATACCTTAAAAGAGAGTAATGCTTTTTCTTAAAATGCTTCACCTAAAATATACATATATTATTTTTACCTCATATATGTGTCATATTGTATGTTACATATTATATATATTATATATAAAATATACTGTAGCCAATTATATTTTTGCAGTTTTACAATAAGTACCTCCAATGTTTTAATTCTCTTTCCCTCAATCTCTTTATTTTTATTAATCTAGAAATGCTCATAAATTTTACTTGAATGTTTTCTCTTCCGAGCAACTTATTTTAAAATTTTTATTATATTTAAGTACATGTAGTATCCTTTATTAACTATTCTATGTACAAACATGATTGTTCTAAGATATTCAAAATTCCATTAAACTAATTTAATTTTTAAAAAACTATTCAAAAGAGCATTTTCTTTTTGCATTTTCAAGGAATCAAAAAACATTTTTTGATGTTGAAATTACATTGCATATTTCAACTAAAGATATTTGCAAAAGAAAATATAATTTGTACTATAACTAGGAGATAATGCATATGAGAAATATGTAAACACACACAGAGTATTGAAAAAATTAACTCACCTTTAAATGTATGGTGCATTTTTAGTATTTTATTAACTGTAATATTACAACTACTAGATTTTACTAATAGAATTGATTTTCAGGCTTAGCCACATAATGGGTTCCATGATAATGAGCTTAAGAAATTTATCATAAACTCATATTCATATTTCTGTTAATATTGCTCCATACACTTTATATATTATATGAATTGGATCTCTTAATGCCTCATTGCTTCCTTCAGGGTACATTGTAATGATATGAATTCCTTGGGCCTCCAAAGCAAAGGGTCTATAGTCTGAAGTTCCTGTCCATGGGAATGAATTCTACCATTATAACTCCTATGGGAATCAAAAGGGCCACGATTGAGTGAATGCATGTTGAATAAATAATCTCCCTAATGTCAAGATTATAATGACTGTTGAAATCCCCTTGTATGCTACTTGACACTATCTATGACATTTTCTTCATCCATATAATACTTATTATAATCATTTTTGTTCCTTGAGCTTCTCTTTGGCAGCATAAAATATGAATAAATAAGCAATTGATAATCCAAAGTAAGGTTTGCAATATTTTTTAAAGAATACATAAATTTGCTCCTTGATTGTGTCTTCTACAAAATGTTCTCCCAGAAATTTAGAGAATTCCTGATGTATGAGTAAAGATAAGACATGGGATCATGTTCATGTTTTCTAGGCCAGCTTTAAATCTTGGAAGCTACATGATTTTTACAGGATTTTCTGGAAGCACCCGATTCCAGGTTAAGTGTTGCAAATGAAAGAAAATGTTCAGATGTAAGGAAATACGTCTAGCAGTAACTTCACTATTATTCTTATTCTTTTTATATATTTACTGATTACTCAGGCCCAGAAAGAGCCTTGCCCCTTGTCTTGCTGAAAGCAATAGTCTGGAGACTGTTGACTTGGCAAATATATCTCAGTTTTTTTGGAGTGATTCTGACACTTGCTACCCCAGCAGTTACTGAAAATATACAAGCACACAAAATCATACAAAACATAACAGAAATAGTAAACACATAGTTTCTCATGTGAATGGAAGTGTCTCCCAGATTAAAAGATGGATCCTGTACATTTAATAACACAATTTCCAGCTCTGAAATCCTTCTGCTGATTGGCAAAATCATTATTCTGGTATTATCCTAGAAGGGGTTGACTTTTATAAACATTCTCTTTTACAGGCATTTATCTTTCCTTTTCTGAAATACCCATTTTAGCACTTTGTCCCTAAACAAACCAAAGACATAAAAAATCAATTTTTGTTTTAAAAATATAACACAGCCAAGCAATAAATCAATGGTATTTCCAAAGTCCTTTGCATAATTTAAGACCTAAGTCAATAATGGTGGCATAGCTTCAGTTGTTCATGTATTATTATTTGTCTTCAAATTTTTGCCACATGTAAGGTTAAAATTTCACATAAAATCTATGATCTTTCTTATGGAAAAAAAGTAATACTTCTTGAAAAGTAACAATAGTGTAAATTATACTGAAAGCCATTCTACACTAACTTGAGTAAACATTTCTGACATATGTCAAGTGAGCATGTATTATAGCTATAGTGTCTTTAGCATAACAGCAGATAGACTTAGAAAACTATATGTGACACATAATAGGTACTCATTTAATATTTATTAAATGAATAAATAAAATGGAACATTATTCTTCTGTCAGAGAGGGTTTTATCTCTGAAAATGCCTTTGAAATCTTGAAATGTAAAGATTGTTAACTTGTGACTTTCAAAGCTTAATAGGAAGGTAGTTCTGGTGTTTCCCAAGTATGAAACAGAAGTACATTCAAGAATGTTAACTGAAATTGATAACAAATATCAAAGCAAAACTTGAATCGTTACTATTAACTGACAGATCTATCAATATTACATGCTTAAAATATGTGAACAATTTATTAATACATTTTCTAAAGGCTTATATTTTCAAATGTTCAAGAATAGTTTATTATTTAATTATCTTCAATGTAATTAAAGGGTTAAAATATCTGCTCATTTACATGTGAATAGTTGATAATGCGGAAACTATTTTAATGTTCCACCAAAAAAAATCAAATTACCTGGGCATTGCCAAAACACAATTTAATTTTTTTTTGTAAACAGATATTTCAGTAACAACAAAGTTTAAAGTATATTTTCCTTAAAATCTAACATGATATTCAAGCCCATCTTCTAATTTGTTTTGGAGGGCAGGTAGTAGAAGCCACTGTAAATAAAGCTTCCATTCAACCATATGCATTAATAATGTTATTTATTCCAACTGAATTCCAACAGGAGGTAGCAAGGTACAAAAAACAAAAAACTTGCAAGAATCAGGAAATCTGGGTTCAAATATCCAATTTGATGTCTGCAAGATGAATAAGCTAGAAAAGATTGTTTATTTGTCATTAGTTTTATTAAGTTGATTAATTTAAAATTAGGATGGCCAATGGCAGAGAGAGCTACGTTAATGACTTGGGTTGGATTCACCATCATCATTGACTTTCAGATTTGAATGTAAGTTAATTTAAAAATAAATAGATGAATACATACATTAATTTTGTTCTGTAAATTTGAGTTGGTGAATATGTTATTCTAAAGCATATTGTGAATTGACTGTATTTATAGCAAAACAGAAAATATGATGTATCTTTGCTGATGGGATAATCACATGACTTGGTAATAAGAGGTGATACCTCTCATACTAGTAAGATGAGAAATCCCCTAATTATAAATATTTTTATCAGGTATGTTTTATATAAATATCTTATTTCATGGCTGTTTAGGAAATTAAAATTAATAGGGAGTGTCTATGAAAACATGTATTGGTGATTGTGTGTTTACATGTCTTTTTCAGGGGCTTGACTTGAAAATCACTATGCATTTGCTGTAGAAAATATAAAGCCAGGTAAAGTGAGAATTAAAGCAACTGTTAGAAAGGAGAGGGATGAGCTATAAGGAAATACATTACAAAAATTATTCTTATTGTTTTTTATTAATAAAATTTATATTTCTAGTCACCCATTATTCCCTTGCCAAGATTATTATTCTAGCTATTTATACAACTTATTTCATTTTTAAGTCTAATAACCGCGTATACCTTTTGGCCAGTTTTCTAACAGCTACATTTTCAGGAAACTGTTAAATTATCATATGATGAACAAATGAATTGTTAAAATATACAATAAAACAATGCCATACGTAATATTCCTACAAAAATATGGGGTTCCGAATGCTACTAGTTTACATTAGGCAAGAAAAATGACTTAAAATTGTTTGAACTAACTTAGAGCACACACTGAATTTATAAATAATTATATATTTTTCTGTGAACCAGACTAGAGAGTTTTGGAAATGCAACTTAGTTTACAAAACAGAAGAATTTATTGTAAAGTGAGAATACTTTGCAGAAACCCAGCTATCTATTAAAGGTGATATTTGTACTTAACTACCAGGTAAAATTTGCCTCTAAAGGAGGGCAGACACACTTCAGGATAATTCCCCAAGGCAAGAAGAAAATACTATAATTTCTATTGTATTTGTTTCTGGCTTTTTTCAACTTTTAGTTTTGAAACAATTTTAGACATATGAAATAGTACAAAAAAACAAAATACAGAGTTGCCATACATCTTTGGCAAAGTTCCTCTTAATGTTAACATCTTACATGTAACCGCAGTACAGTTATCAAAACTACATGTTTGTGAGTACAGATCTCTTAGCTAACTACTTTATTTGAATTGCCTCAGCTTTTCACTTATATTCTGTTATAGAAACTTGCTATAGGTTTCTCCTTAACTTCTTCTAGTGGATGAAGACTTCCTATACGTTCCTTGTCTTTCATGACTTTGATACTTAGGAAAAGTTGGTGTTTTGAGTATTATGTAAAAATGCCACTTAATTTGGGTTTGGTTGATTTTGTAATGATTCAATTGAGATTGAGCATCTGGAAAAAGAATAACACAGAAGTGATATACACTCTTGGTACATCTCATCAGAGGGTATATTATTTCAATGTGGTTTACTATTTGCGATGTTAGCATTGATCATTGGACTGGAATAATGCCTACCAGGATTTTTCCACTGTAAAATTATTATTGTTCTCTTTATATTACTAAACATTTTGAAGAGTATACTGAAATCATGTAATTATCTTGTCTCCCCTTTGCATCCATCAGCAAATCTATCCTGCAGCAAGTATTACCGATATTTTCTATTTTCCTCATTCTGACTACGTGTATTGATTGGAATGCCTCCATAAGAAACAGTTACCCCTTTTCTCCCACTTATTTCGTCAGTCATTTATTTATACTAGTATGGACTTATGAATATTTACATAATTCTTGAAATTTCAATCCACATATGACTTTACGATAGAAATCAGAAATGCATCAACTTTTGTAAACCCTAATGAGAATGTACATTGGGACCCTCATTAGTACAAACTCTGAACAATCTGTTGCATAGCAAAAAGAGAATTGTTGACAGCAGATAGAGTTCACCATGTGATGAAGCTGGTAGTGGCACTATCATTCATTCATTAACTTATTTGCTCTTTTCAGATATATTTATTGAGAACCTACTGTGTGCCAGACCATGTTATAGGATTGGGGGGTACCCATTAAATAAAACAGATGAATTTTGCCACACAGAGAAGTCTAGCATAGAGTAAGCAAAGAAAAGAATATTAGATAAGGAGGTTACAGAAGTCATCAGAAACGAGACTATTCAGGACCTAGATTTTACTATAATTTTGCTTGTAAGGCCCAGGCAGATATTTAGTAAGGGACAGTTAATATTTTAAAATACAAATATATATATATATTATATATATATGAGAAACATATATAGTATATAGATATAGCATATATATTATATATACTGTATATATAGATTTATAGCAGTACATGTATGTGTGTGTTTGTGTGTGTATATATATATAGAGAGAGAGCAGTACAAAGTTGGAAGCATGGAGATTTGAGTAATCTAAGAAATCACGTGATTTGAACTAGGAAGCTATTAGCTAAGATGGTCAGATTCAGAATATCTTCGGAAGTTTAAATTCTCAAATTATCTGACAGATTGAATATAGGGTATAAAAGAACAGTCAAGAAGGTAGACTTCAAAGTATTGAAACTGCGCAAGGGGGTGAATGTTGCATTTACTATTTTGGGAGGGAAAAGTTGGAAAACAGAGCTTATTAGAAATCCAGTTAGAATTCTAATAAACACCTGTATACATAAGTCTAGATTTTAGCCACGATGAGCCTGGGGTTGCAAACTTTGAATTCATTTGTGTATAAGAAGCATTCAGTTCCTCTAGGAGAGAACGTTGGGTGGAGTAAATTTAAAGGATAAGCGATTGGAAAGTTAAGGTATTGGTGCACTGTAAGGTTGACATTGGGGCATTGAGAAAGGGAATCCAGCAGATAAATTAGGGTAAAATAGAAAATGACATAGAAGTCGCTAGATTTGTGCATGCTTTTGTGTCAAACCAGAAGAGATTCTGAAATCTAGAGAAGGCTCCGTGTGTAATTATTTCAAGACATGAGGCCGCTCCATGTATATTCATCCACTCTCTGTGTTTTGCTTTATTTTAATCTTTGATAAAAGTAAGGTTGCTAAAGAAGGAACAAGGCAAATGAAAGATTAAAATGTTGAGAGTATACCATTGAGATTAACTGAGACGCCATTAGACTTACTAACGATGCTGTTGAAGAACCTTTGAAACCCATTATTAGAATAAAGTGGTTACCTGGAATGAGTCTATTCAGGGCCTAGATGTTGTTATAGCTTTGTTTAAATTATAATACAGTGGCCTAAAAACAAGGAGAATAACATTTCAAGAAAAGGCAGCTCTCTCAGGTGTTGCTAATATGTCCAATGAGATGAAAAATGTGAATTTACCATTGGATCTGGTGATGTTGAATTCAATGCTGACTTTGACAAGAGCAGTTTCAATGAAGTAATGGGAAGAAAAGCCCTTCTGGAATGAGTTTAATAAATAATGGGAAAAGGGGAGTTAAGAGATAGTGAGGGCAGGTGTGGTGGCTCACAGCTGTAATCCCAGTGCTTTGGGAGGCCGAAGCAGGAGGATCACTTGAATCCAGCAGTTCAAGGCTGCAGTGAGCTATGATCACACCACTGCACTCTATTCTGGGGAACAGAATGAGGCCTCATCTCTAGAAAAACATAAAATAAATTAAAAAGTAATAGTGAGTACTGATTCATATGAGTGTTTTTGCTACAATGGAAGGTAAACAAATGGAGTTAATGCTGAATGATTAGGTGGGGTCTAAAGAAAGTACTTAATGGTAAAATACTATTTTTATTAAGTGAAAGTGTAAATAGTTGAATTAATGAGTGAATAAGCACTTAAAAGTATTTTTTCTTTATTCTAATAATGGGTGTCAAAGGTTCAACAGCATCAGTAGGTCCAAGACCAAAATTCAGGTTCTAATAAATTCTCAGTTAATTTCAATACTATACTCTCAATATTTTAATCTTCCATTTACCTTTTTCTTTCTTTGGAAACCTTACTTTTATTAAAGATTATAATAAAACAAAACACAGAGAGTGGCTGATTGGGCATGGAGTGGCCTTATGTTTTGAAATAATTACACGTGGAGCCTTCTCTGGCTTTCAGAATTTCTTCTGGTTTTGACAGTAAAGCATGTGCCGATCTAGTTAAGTATATGTGATGCACTCATGGTGTGACCGGCAAAGGTATAGCTGTACATTCTGGAGGAGAAAATTGTTGTAGGAATGATTATTTCATGCTGCTCTTCACCTATGTTGGCTCAGCAGGTATCCACACAAATGAAGTTAGGTACCAATGATCAAGAGGTTCTACATGAGAAACGTGGTATATAAATGTATCTATATACCATTTTGTTATGAATAATTAATCTGCTGATATCAGAATTGGTAAAGTCCTCATAGCATTTCAGTTGTAGCTATTTTTATTCATGGTTTGGAAGACTGCATATAGTTATATAGCTTTATTTCATACATCCTCATTAGTAGCATCTATGCAAAGAACTATTTTTACAACATTTTAATAAAGAAAAAAAGGAGCTGGATCAGGAGGAGTGAGTAAATCTGGGTTTGAATCAGAATTCTGCTCCTTATTGGACAGGATATCTTTGGCAAGCCACTTGAACTCAGTCTCAGGTTTCTCAACTAAAAATGGCTATATTATAAATATATAGGCACTTACCACTAATTTCCTAAGTAGTTAGATAATGGAAGCAATTTGCAACCATAAATGTAAGATATGAAAATACTTTATACTTACTTAACACCTTACTCTGCTTTAGCATGTTCATGTATGTGTTGTCATTTGATTACACAAATTTTTAGACTAAGCAGGAAGAAACTTTTGCTCCAAAGTTACTTATTTAAAAAAAGTAAGAAATAAGAGAAGTTACAAAATAGTTAAAAAGGTCCGAAGTGAATAAAATATTAATTTGTGTGTTTGTTGAATGCCTAAAACAAATCCAAATCTATGGGGGCGTTCACATGTACAAATTAATTTTAATGAACACTGTGAAATCACTATTATAGGTAAAATGTTAGTGATAAATATAAATTTATTAATCATTTCAAAATTCTCCTTTAAAATGAGTGAACTGAGTCATAGAGAAATATAGCAACTTGTTTTCTAATATAAAAGTGAATGCCTGTGAACTAATATTTACTGAGTTTTTGACTATTTTTTAAGTCCTACATTCAAGCGAATTCTTTATTAATCTACATAATTAACCTCAGAATATCACTATATTTTCCTATTTTTCATGCAAGAAACTACAGATGGTCCCCAACTTAAGATAGTTCAATTTGGGATTTTTTTGATATTAAAATAGGTTTACTAAGGTACTAAATGCATTTCAACTTACAATAGTTTGAATTTATGATGTGTAATTATAAGGAAGTAATCCCATCTTAAGGTGATAAGCATCTGTAGATGTAAAAGATATTAAATAATGTAGCCAAGATAATGCCTTTATAAGTGAAGTTGATTTCAAAACCTGCTTTTTGGCTCAGATTTGTTTCATAACACATCACTGCATTAGTTGTGTCATAATAAAAATACACATACTAGTAACAAATCCCAAATAACAACTTCGGTCTGAATAAGTCGAGTATTCATTTCCTCTTAATTGATTCACTTAAACTCATTTCCTGGGTAGATATTAAAATGTATGAAGGATTTTTAGGTTTTGATGGGTGTAAAACTGATGAAACTCATAAACACGTATATTATAAATACTCTAATATAGATAAACATAGAGTGAGAAAAGAGAAGCATATACTGAGTGCTAGTCAAGAGACAAAATCTCGATTCATTTATAAGTGAATAGTGAGGACTTCAAGGAAATATGCTATATACATTGCCTTTATATTCCCAGCAAATGGATAAACATAGAAAGAGTGATCTGAAAGTAATGTGTATTCAGAGACGCTATGGCTAACCAATAAGTCACAGATAACGGACGCAATGTCAAGAAATGAGCTTGGAAGACGCAGCACACTGTGAAGGGCATTGAGTGTGATGCTGAAGTATTTAGGTTTAATTCTGGAATCAATGAGGAGTTATCGAAGGCATGGGAGAGACGTTCAAGCAGGAAAATGGCATCATTTCATTATTAGAAAAAATTACAAATTGAATTAAAGCTATAAGGAAGTTATATCAAATATGGAAAGTCTAATAGTTTTCAATGCCAAGATTCATTACAAGACTATGTAAAGAAAATTCTGTGCTTTTTTTTTTTTTTTGAGACGGAGTCTCTCTCTGTTCCCCAGGCTGGAGGGCAGTGGCGCCATCTGGGCTCACTGCAAGCTCCGCCTCCTGGGTTCACGCCATTCTCCTGCCTCAGCCTCCCGAGTAGCTGGGACTACAGGCGCCCGCCACCGCGCCCGACTAAATTTTTTTTTGTGTTTTTAGTAGAGACGGGGTTTCACCATGTTAACCAGGATGGTCTCGCTCTCCTGACCTAGTGATCCGCCGGCCTCGGCCTCCCAAAGTGCTGGGATTACAGGCGTGAGCCACCACGCCTGGCCAGATTCTGTATTTTTATGTTCTGATTAATATTTACAAAGTGAAAACTCATTTATTTTGTAAGGTATTGATGATCTTCTTTCTTTATCCATAAATTATATCTTTAGGTATTGTGAGAAGCAAATCAATATTATCCAAAGCTTATTGTGCCAACATTTTTTAGTGAAGAGGTACAGTACGTTTTTATTTATACTGAAACACATTAAAATATGAAATAACATCTTTAAACATTTTTTACTTATATGTACATATATTTATGAGTTATCAAATTTTCTAAGAAAAGGAATTTATCATTTTGTAGAAAGGCTTGCTCATTTTTCAATTGTGTTCTAGGTTAAAAAAAAAAGAAAGAAGAGAAAGTGTGTATCTAAGGTCTATCTTAATATTTGGTCATTTTTATACTGTAGTTTCTTTATCTCTTCTATTTCTCAAACCAATCAGAACTACTAAAAGTTCTGTAATTCTGTATTAACTCTGTGAAGTAAATGGATTTCTTAAAAACCACATATTTAAAATAAATGGTATAGTACTGACTATTCTAAGCACAGTCAGTGTATGGTTATTTAGTTATTAAATCTACTCATTTCAAGGCAGGGAAGGTACTAATAGATATAATTTGACTTTCAGATTGATGGGTAAAATCTTCAAATTAAAACATATAAAGCCATAAATGACTCTTTACGTCAACATATATGATTATTATATATTCATATAGGTATAAATTGTATTTTTATTAACAGTAAATAAAAATACACTTGAAAAATTATTTAAATACACTATTTCCAAATGTATTTTTTTCTTACACTGTGACAACATTATTTTTTGCTGGCAATTCAGAGACCTTTCTTCTTTTTTCAATGTCCCTCTTCTGCTAAAGTTAAATAACAATGAGATGGGATTCAATTTTACTGATAAATTCTTCTCCACACAGATAATCGTTTTTCAGTCTTGATCGTCTTTAGGGTATTATGAATAATCCGTGCACCTCTTCATTTAAAATTTATTCTGAGCACTATGCGAGGGTCTAGGGATGTAAAGACAAGTAAAGAAGTTCATAGTCTGTTGGTAGAGGGAGACCCTGCAAATGATCAAGTTATTAAAATCCTGCTAGATAAGAGCTGCTATAGAGGTAACCGAGAGTGCACAACTGACATTTAGCCTAATCCTTCCACCGTAACAAATCCCCAATTTACTACCTTCACAGACCTCAAACAATTGCACATTAACCTTAGCCCAAATGTCTTGCCCTGTAACATTCTGTCTATAAATTATCCAAACAGAAAACCAGAACATGTCCTGAGATGCATCCATATGCAAAACCTTTCTATTCACCCATGATATGTAAAGATAAATATTTAATTTAAATGTATTTTTGAATCCATCTGATTGTGGGTTGTTTCCATACCTGTCTAGAACATAGCTGTGTTATCCTAATGATAATTTTTTCTGTCCTGCTCTTTGCCCTATCACTATATGTTGAATTCTGTTCATCGCTCCCCCAGTTCCAATCCCTTCTCTTCTTCTTGATCACATCTTAATATTAACCATTTTACATAATTTTCTTACTACGGTGTTAATTTTTCTCTCTAAGATACTATGTAGTAATTGTTCCTCCAGCTATTTTCTCTCACTAGTCATATCTCAAGTATTTCTCTACTCATAAGATGCATTGCAATTAGAAACATATGCCTTTCATATTTTCATATTTTCTTTGCTCTTCAAAATCTTTTCCAGTTGCTTAATATAATTTTCTATTTTCACAGCATTTTTATATTTATCTGATAATACCTATATAAATGGTATTTCTTTAAATATCATTAAAGAAATACCATTAAAACACATGAATGGAAAGTAAACACATTTAATCAGCTAACAAAGTGATAACAACTGCCACAATTTGTTACATTTTGTTCACTCCTTTATTATTTTCAAACACAAATACATGCTAATGTTAACAATTGAACAAATTATTTTTTACATATATGTAGCCTGATTTTTCTGAAAAATATGTTGTGAACTTTTCCCAATGGCCCTAAATATTTTGAAATTTTCTATACCTATTTGAATAGTATTTCATCTAATGGATATTCTTAACCAATGTTTGTTCCTTATATTGTGGTGCTGTGATTAATATTCTAGTGTAAAATCCTCAAATTCATCTACAAAAAAATACTTTAGTATATACATCGCCAGAGATGAAGGTGAAGTAATCAAATAACTCAAAAAAAAAAAAAACTCAAAAAGTTTAAAATTAAAGTAATGGGACAGATGCACAAGAAAGTAGACAATTACTACAAAATATAGCATTAATATATGCAGTTTTGATTTAGTACTAATTCCCTGCTATGTGCATTAATTCTGCCTCATGCAATTTTATTTGGTGAGTATTATTTTTTCCATTGTATACATGAGGGAATCCCAGTTTTGGGAAACTATTTTACTCTAAAATTACCTGAAATTATAATTTGAATATGAACAAAGCACAAAATGTTACAGTGTTAACTACAGAAAATGTGTTTTTTTTATTTTGACAAATAAGTATCTTCCATAAACATATATAAAACAGAAAGTTCTGTTTGCTAAATAACACAAGTATGATGATGAAAAATAGAAGTAAAAAAGAAAATTTCACAGAACCGTGGTTACAGAATATTGAAAGGTAACTGCAGAAAAAATATGATGAATATTTTTAAAAGAACTATATGCTTTAATAATAATAGAAGAAATGTGCCTAGCATATATCATTATATTGTTGCATCGTCAAAAATGACAAAGAATAACAATAATAGTTTTGTTGAAATAGGAAGGCTGATCAAATGGCTGTCGTCTTAATTCTTAAGAAGCTTTTAAGGAAAGTTGTTTTTTTTTTTTATTTTTGAGATGGAATTTTGCTCTATCGCCCAGGCTACATAGCGCAGTGGCCCAATCTCAGATCACTGCAACCTTTGCCTCCTGGGTTCAAGCGATTCTCCTGCCTCAGCCTCCCAAGTAGCTGGGATTACAGGCTCCTGCCACTGCACCCAGCTAATTTTTGTATTTTTAGTAGAGATGGTGTTTTACCACGTTGGCCAGGCTTGTCTTGAACTCTTGATCTTGTGATCCACCCTCCCCAGCCTCCCAAAGTGCTGGGATTACAGGCGTGACACACTGAGCCCAGCCAGGAAAGACATTTTTTAAAGGAAAAGAGACAAATGCTAGAGAGATTGAGAGGAGTCCAATAGAAGACAAGAGGTTATAGCAAATTTTACAAAGAAGGAAGTAGAGTCACCGTGAGGTGAGATGTTCCTGAATACGCAAAGACAAACCCTTGAAAGTGTCTTGTTCTGAAGCCAGTAATTATGGCCGAGGGCAGATGTACACAGAGAGGGAAATAGTTAATTAAAAATATATCTATGGCAACACAATACTAAATTTTGATCACACTTCCATCTTCTTGCCTCTTTTTATTTGTACAGGTTAAGTTTCTATAGTCTTTTATTCATCACCAAGCTAAAAGAAAAAAGATCAGCACCTCCTGTACAGCTATTGAAAAGCGTCTGAGGAGAATTAAGGTAGCAGTGACCTTGTAAGGAACAGAAACCCCCAGCATTCTGACACTTCAAAACCCAGCTTATCATCCAGATCTGTCATTGTTCTACTTTGATTTAGATTTAATGCTTCCAAGAAAACAACTCTTCTCACAAACAGAATCACTCCCAATCATTAGCCCATCTTCCCTCGTGAACAATGTGGTGAGGAGGGGTGAGAGGGAAGAGGAGCCTGGATATGCATCTGCAGAAACAAAGGTGGCGGCAAGATGACTCCAGCAGCTTTCTGCAAATGAATATGAATGGATAATTGAGGTTTATAAGACATGCGAAAATAGCTAAAGTGTAAAAAGAAATGACTTAAAAACAACAAAAAATCTGAGAAACTGTCACAGGCAAAAGAAAACTAAATGTAATATGCGATCCTGAAGGGGATCTGAAACTGAAAAGATCATTATACTTTATTTTAAAATAATATATCATCAATATTGTTTTATTCACGTTGACAGATATACCATCACAGTGAAAGATGTTTATACTAGAAACAACTGGGAGTCGTGTAGATGGGAATCCTCTGTATTATTTTCATGAATATTCTATAAACTTAAAGATATTCTAAAATACAAATTGTACTTAAAATTAAAACAATAATAATAAATTATAAGCTGGACATGGTGGCATGCATCTTTAGGCTTATAGGCAAGAAAATCACTTGAACTTGGGAATTTGAGGCCAGCCTGGGCAACGAACTGAGATGCTGCTTCTGAAAAATATAAAAATAATAAGTTAGTATTTTACAGCTTTATTCAGGTATGTTTTACAAATAAATTGTATATATTTAGGATGCACAATGTGATGTTTTGATATATGTATTGTGAAATGATTACCATAATGAAGATATATTTATTATTGTTATTGTAATTATTATTATAGGATTAAAAACAAATGAGTTAAAATATTGTAAATGGTGAGTCTGGGCAAAGGATGTATAGAATTTTTTAAATTATTTTTGCAACTTTCCTGTGCTTGAAATTATTTCAAAATAAAAAGAAAAGTGAAAAATGATAAGCAAACAAGCAAAAAACTCATCACAGAAATATGCTGAGATAATTCAGAAAGTAGATGAAGCCTTAATGACAACAATAGGAAAAAAACAATTCCTTGTGATTCCCAAGAAGATATTGCCACTATGGAGGATTGAGGAGGGTTGGTTGGGAGGACATGTACTATCAAAATGAAATAGGAAGCTAGAGAGACTTCTTAAAGTTTAAAAATGACTACAATGTTTGAAAGAAAAACCAGATGAATATTCATAAAATGTAGAGGAAAGTCACAAAAAATGCCAACGGAATGAGATAATAAGGCATCAGGCATCTGATGTACTACCATTACTAGGCAGTGGGACAAAGAATGAATAGAAGAATATCATCAAAAAGGCAATAGCAAAATATCTCCTGGAGGTGAAGAGAAATTTCGATTTAGTCTCAAATGGTCCATCAAGTATCACTGAATGAATGAAAGGTAAGCCACCCACACTAAGGCACATTATTATTATTATTATTTTAATTATAATTTAAGTTCTGGGTTACATGTGCAGAACGTGCAGTTTTGTTACATAGGTATACACGTGCTATGGTTGTTTGCTGCACCCATCAACCCGTCACCTACATTAGGTATTTCTCCTAATGTTATCCCTCCCTTAGTCCCCCACCCCCCCGACAGGCCCCGGTGTGTGATGTTCCCCTCCTTGTGTCCATGTGTTTTCATTGTTCAACTCCCACTTATGAGTGAGAACATGTGGTGTTTGGTTTTCTGATCTTGTGATAGTTTGCTGAGAATGATAGTTTCCAGCTTCATCCATGTCCTTGCAAAGGACATGAACTCATCCTTTTTTATGGCGGCATAGTATTCCATGGTGTATATGAGGGCACATTATTATAAAAGATAAGGAATGACTTGAAAAGTAGATCATCATAAAAGACTCTAGAATGGATAAAACTAATCACACATAGACACCCCTCACAAGTCACCAAAACCAGTCACCAGTCCAAAAGAATGAAAACAAGACTAAACTAGAGACTTCATCAGGAGTATGGAAAAAAAGGTCAATGACAAGCAGTTTTCATTTTTTAAGAAACAATGTCAACCAAATAGTCTAAAAACAGTATAAGAAAAAAACAATTTTCGTTACATATATATTTGAAAAATAGCACAATGAATAATAAGAAATCACAAAGGAGGAATTGTATACATAAGTGACAGAATATCATGGAAATAGAAAAACTCTAGTAACATCCACAAGACAAGGTAGACTCCCTGCAAAAGAACTCGGCATCAGTTTCACACAAGATTTCTCCTCATTACCATGTGGCATTATGATTTCATTTGCTTTCTTGATTTGAAGGCTAAATCTTGCATGAAAGCATAATAAATTCATTCAACCTATACTTCAATAATTCGAAAACCATAATAAAAGCTGTAATAAAGTATTGTTTATTCTAAATAAGAATAAATATTCAACATAAGAACATTGCTAAGAGATAGATGCTGCAAATTTTGACAAATTTCCCTAATAATATTATCATTAATTTATCTTATGGAACAAAGATATTCAAGTCAATTCTCATAATTAAATTAAATACTGGAAAATGGTATAAAATAATTATAATTTACTGCAAACATACTATAACATTTTCATCAGCTGTTTTAAGAGACATTGGTTATAAAAAATAGTGATATAATTTTACATCTTTGAAAAATTAATTATTAAATTTATCCTATATTTAAGTTCAGTTCATGAAACCCTCTTTTGACTTCCCATGGTACTCTTATCATAATTATGAAGTGTTACCTAATTTTGCCACTGTGTATTTTTATTTATCTTTTTGTTCGGCTGCTTTTTCTTCAAGATTATGGTTTTGGGGAGAAAGCGGCCACAATTCCCAAGCTTAGGCAATTTCTGGGGCAGTATCTAGTTCCTGGAAAATCCCTGAAATATGTGTTAAATCAATGCCTAGCACTTAATTGCCGCCATCACGTGGGGTCAGTTGGACCTTTCTCATGAAATTCCCCTGGGTCTCTAGTTTAGGACTTGCCTCCTTCCTTTGTTGACTCATGCGTGGTTTGTACTGTATATTCCTTTCTCACAATTATTGGGTGAAGTTGTTATGTACTTTCTAGTGAAATATCAATAATTATTAAATAATACATAACAAATCTTAAATTATGTAATGCCAAGAAAAAACCAGAAATTCTCCAAGATGACAAAATAACATTTTGGACTTATTTCATATATGTAATATTTATTTTTTATATAAATATATATATTATATATAGAGAGAGTTTAGAGACAGGGTATAGTGTGTGTGTGTATATAGATATACACATATATATATTTTATATATGTGTGTATATATATTTTATATATGTGTATATATATATACACATATATATTTTACATATGTGTGTATATATATATTTTATATGTGTGTGTGTGTGTGTGTGTGTATATATATATATATATATATATATATATATATTTATTTATTTATTTAGAGAGAGAGACAGGTCTTTGTTGCCCAGGCTGGAGTGCAATGACATGATCATAGCTCACTGCAGCTTTGAACCCCTGAGCTCAAAAGGATCCTCCTGCCTCAGCTTTCTGAGTAGCTAGGACTACAGGTGTGCACTGCCATGCCCAGCTAATTTTTTTTAAATTATATTTTTAGAAACGGTCTTGCTATGTTACCCAGGCTGATCTCAAACTCCTGGCCTCAAGCTCTCCACCTTCCTTTGCTTCCTGAATTGTTGGGATGACAGTTGTGAGCCATTGTGCCCAGCCATAACTCATTTTTGACTGAAGAGGATATAGTCTTTCTGTTCCACTGTCTCTGCTGGGCTTCTCATACACCCTTGGTCATTTAATTGACTGAGTTTTTGGCTCTCCTTCCAGTACAACCGTAAAATAACTAGAGCAGCTTGACCTGCACTACTGTTTTCTGCTTTGTGTAAATATGGATTTAGAAGAGGAGTGAGGTGGGGAGGGCATATACGGCCTTTGTACCTGTGTTGCAGCTCCCTAGCTACATACAAATAACCACCCTTATTGAAACTACCCTTCAATAACCACTACTTGTATACTCACAGATTTTGGGTTTTATACATAAAATCTAGGAACATTTTATCTACCACAAATCCATCTATATCTTAACCATCATAAAATCTTGAGATTTGTCACTGATATCTTTCACGTGTAGATATCCTGTGCAAAATAATTTGCCTTTCTGAGATATCACACTTTCATGTGTATTATCCAGTAATTAGAAAACACAGTTTATAAAACAATAGTGAATCATGTTACTTACATTCTCTCTATATACAATATGCCAGCATCGAATCTTCCAAATTTCAAAGATTCAATTAATTTTTAAATAATTTCATATTGCAATATAATGCATTTTCTTCTTTAGTGAATTTTATATTTCTTTGGATTTTATCAGTTCTAATACATGTGTGGTAATATATATAATTATACATATTTATATAAACACACACACACCTAATAAGTTTCAAAACCCACCTATTGTGTTCTATTTTCGCTTGTGGTATATTTTAAATAGTAGAACTTCACCTGGTAGAGTCATCAAGTTCTCTAAAATTATAATATGACATTAGGTTCTAAAGAGAGAATCAGATGTCATGGATTATACTTTCAGATGCTCGATACCAATTTTTTATGATCTTGGAAAAACGAATCAACTTGTAGAGTCATACAAACACATTTAATGGTTTGAGAATAAGTAACAATTTAATTATGTTTTAAAATGTAAGATATATTAAATAAGCTGTTCATAATCTTATTATTTATTCTTCACTGTATGGATATATTAGAGTTTATTTGAATTTTTATTTATGCAAGTTACCTAAGAATAGTGCTTAGAAGTTCTTGTGGGAATTCAAAAATTGGATTCCTCAGTTGTTTAGGCAAGAAAATACAAATTAGCAGAATTTCTGCAAGGCAGCTGGGACATTTACCCAATTTCAGTAAATGTGGTAGAATTTTCTCTCTATGCTATTCTGCAGACAAAGAGGATTTAGAACTACTTTTGGCTGCACAAGAAGGATATTTCTGTATATTGCAAACAAAATGCAGCCACCACTGAATGAAAAAAATCGTTTCAAAATAAAACACGCATGTTACCTTTTTTTCTACTTGCTTTTCTGTTAAAGAAATAATCATGCTCATTGCTGAAAGTCACCTCCAAATCAACATAAACATACAATTACTACTCTGGGGTGAGAATTTTCTTTTTTTCTATAAGCAGAGTATGAAATGGCTTTAGATGTCAAGAAATAGAATAGCGGAAATGAGGTGATTACTCATTTAAGCCAAATGGAAAACTGTGTCTAATTGTCTAACTGCTCCATTGACTTCAAATAGTCTGCAGACAGTCACAGACTCCTGATACGTTTAATGCACTCCCAAGGAGCTAAACAGACCTTCTGCAGTATTGAATTTCCATGGGAATTCAAAACATGATTCTTATTGCTTCTGTGTTTCTTCTCGTCATCCTCAGTGCTAATTTCTTTCAATCACACATAAATTTTTTGGTTCATAGTTTACCTTGGTTTCTTGGAAACTGGCAGAGAAAACAAAAGCTTAGGAGTAGTAGTATCAAAGTAAAATTAGAATATCTCTTTTTTAGTTTACATCTAAGCAAAACACACTGGCATCATTTTTGGTCTCTCAAATCGAACTGTGACTATTACTAGTACTCGGTATTTATTCAACCATTCAAAAAGATTTTCTTTCATAGATGCTGTTCAACTTCCTAACAGCACTGACCTTCTTACCAGTAAAGAAAATATTTTAAGAAATAACTTGGATGGGCGCTGTCGCTCACGCGTGTAATCCCAGCACTTTGGGAGGCTGAGGGGGGCAGATCACGAGGTCAGGAGATACAGACCAGCCTGGCCAACATGGTGACATACCGCCTCTACTAAAAGTACAAAATTAGCCAGGCATGATGGTGCACGCCTGTAGTCCCAGATACCCAGGAGGCTGAGGCAGAAGACTAGCCGGAACCCGGAAGGTGGAAGTTGCAGTGAGCCGAGATCGTGCCATTGCATTCCAGCCTGGCGACAGAGTGAGACTGTGTCTCAAAAAAAAAAAAAAAAAAAATTAAAAAAAAAAGAAATACTTATCTTCTTTTTCTTTAATGTTCAAATTAGCTGAAGCAAAAATTAAACAGCTATCCAGCAGTTAATACACTAAACAAAACCAATTTAAATAATAGTTATCCTGGCAGAATTGTTGAAAATTCTACATTGTTTTGACTGGCCCTAGAGAAAAATCTGATTCAAAAATAACCAAAAATATTCAATGAAAATATATAATATTCTAAATTGAAATTGCTTAAGTTGTGTAACATTTTCTTATCATGATAAAATAAAAATCTAGAACAAGGAAATCATAATTATTTTCCTTTGAATATGATGTTTTATGTACATTTTATACATATATTTAGACTGTAAAACAATTAGAATAATAAAATAATAAAACTAAGCTCAATTTTTAGATTATGTATCCACTTTGTCTTTTGTTAAAACAGTATTTTTTTGGTTTCAAAGAAAATCTTTTATATAAAAATTGAAGAAAAAAATACTTAGGCAATATTATAAGGCACTTCCTGGATCAGGTTATACCAAAACACACATACCACAATGTATGTTTCTTTGAAAATAATATATGTTTGAAAATAATTTATGGAAATTATATCTCTGTTTTCAGTAAATAATGACAAATGAGTTCATAATTTAATAAAATGAAGCAACACACTTAAAGACACTAAAAATATTTTTGATAGATAATATCAGACACAGATATCAGTACACTGGAATGATTGACTATTTGTAACATATATTACTAGTAGCAGCAGTGAGAGGTAGAGAGTAGATAAACATAACAGAAATATCAAGATTCTTATGACTTAAAATTTAATAAGTCAAAAAGAACAAATGGAATTTTATTTGTATAGTCTTAGAGGAAAGTTGATCGACCAGAATGAAAACTATTCGTACAGAAATTAAGAATGTAAGAAAATAAATTGTGCCGAATATTGTAATTTAAGAGCAAGTATTTATACTAAAATTGATTAGGACATTAGAATTTCTGGATCAAATGTGGACTGTCATATATTATCAGTGGACACCAGTGGAACAATAACCATGTGAAGATTTTGGAGACTCCTGTCTCCTCCAATCCAGATAACCTAAAATATAACAACAGGGAGGGATGTTACTTACAAGACGTAGTAAAACTCACCTGACTAAGAAGTCCTGCAGTTCTGACAATGAGTTTGACTAATGGTAAGAGCTGTGTGAATAGGTAGTGACAAGCAGCTCTGCAAAACCATTAGTTTTTGTTTGTTATATTTATCAAATTGACAAACATTTTTCCAGCAGCAAGCATCTCCATTCCTTTGTATTTCTTTTACCTACCTAGCAAAATCAGTTTATAATTCCAAAGGCAGAAACTATTTCATTCATATCCTGAGCTCTTAGCACGCTTTGGTTTTGTAGTGATGCGGTAAGGGCAGATAATGCATCTGCAAAATGAATGAGCTGCTCTAGGTAGAACATAAAACAGTTCTTTTTACATGATCTACACTATTTAATTGGGTCATAATCATTTTCTCTTAGTTATATTTTATATTAACTTGTATTAAATCAATTTAGCATAAATGTTAAATTATTATGTGTTTAAATATCACCCATCATTTCTGTAAAATTGAAACAAAGTAGAAACAAATTAAGAAAGCAGTTGCTTTTCTTAGGAATCTTTATACTGAAAAATTCCTTAACTTGTTCCTTCTTCCCTTGCTCCCTTTCTTTTCTCCCTTTCTTTCATCTTCCTTCCTTCCTAGCTTCCCTTCCTCCTCTCTTCCTTCCTTCTGGACAAATATGTAGTTTACTTGATCTTGTTTGTAGAGGTTAGGAGAACAAGACAGAAATACAACACTAGTGCTCATTTAGCTTTAATCATTTTGGAAGAGATGTAAGATACAAATATGAATATTATGTAAGATAATTTGAGTGCTATGATTTTCCCTGGGTCTATAAAGACTCACACTTCCTGATTTTCCTTTGTTTACCTAAATCTAGTAGCTAATGAGTTTCACAGAAGACAAAATTCCTACATCAAAATAAAATTTCCCTTTAAATTACCTCAACTAGAAAATCCTTGTAGTTCTCATGCAACCCAATATTCTGAGCCTGTTCCCCCATTTCACCAATCACCTTTACCTCCTTCAGTCCCCAGGCTCCCAGGACCCTTTTAAGAAAGCCTGTGGCCCTTACTTAAAGAGGAATGGACACCGATACATATGTCCAGCAGAAACTGGAAGTGATGTATTACATCTATGTGCCTGTTAATAATTAAATAAATACTTTAAAAAGGTATTGCAACTGCTAAAAATCTAAGAACGCAGTTTGAAATTAAATACTATTAATATTTACTTTGAAGTCATTGTTTTTCTTCTTATAATTCGTATTATGTGGGTTAAGCTAGCAATTGACTTTTGGAGTATTCCAGACATGAGATCATTATACCTCTGGATTTCTATAAAAGTTGTTCACCACTACAACCTACTTGTCTGAAGCCTGGAACAAGGGGATACCTTCACTCAACAAAAGAAAATACCAGTATTCCAGAGCCTCTTTAGACAGAAAATTCTGAATTGATACCTTGCCATGAATTTGGTTGAGAGAAATGCTATGGAGAGGATATTATCTTTATTACATAGTACACATTTACTCTTCTATGTATTATGAGTTCTATCTCTGAGTTCATCTGGTGGTCAGAAATTTGACCATTTCACTGTATTAACCAATTCTTTTACAGACTATCCTTTACATTTTGGTATTTATTTCACGGCTTTTTAATTTTAATATATCTTTTATTAAAGCACATATACTTACAGAATACTGCCCATGAGATGCATGTACGATTAGATGAAATTTCATGTTACTGACATGAAGACCAACAAGAATATTACAGGGTTGCCTCAAAATAATTTTCGTCTTCATTTTCTTAATACAGATCTTTAGAACCTATGAATTTTTGCCTTCATTTTTCAATGGTATTTTTCCTGGGTTCAGGATTTTTGGTTATTTCCGCTTAGAAAGAAGTCAATCCATCGTCTTTTTACTTTCGTGATTTCTATTGAGAAGTTGGCTGTCAATCTTATGCTTGCCCATTTGAAGAAATTATGTCTTCCTTTTTTCATTAACTTTTTCCCTTAGTTTACATATTTTCTTTTAACTTCTGTTTTTCTCTGTTTTCTGTGTCTAACCTAATGTTACTATAATCTAGAGCTATTAATTTCAGATGTCTTATTTTTCAGCCCCAGAATTATTATGTTTCCCTTTACTGTTCCTAATGAGCGCACTCTATATTTTCATCTACTTTGTCCATCCATTTTAAAAATTTTTAATAGTCATTGTAAAATCCTCATCAGCGAATTTCAATTTCTGTTTGATGTGTAGTTCTGTTTTTATTTTCTATTAGTTCTCTCCTCCTTGGCTTTCAGCCTATCATTTAGTGTAGCTAGTAATTTTTGATTATGTTTCAACATTGACATAGTATATAAAAATTGTAGAGTCCCCATAATATTATCACGCTCTAGGCTAACCATTGGTAAACTATAGTTCATGGGCCAAATCTGGCTAACTTGTTTTGTTTTTGTAAATAAAGATTTATTGGAAAACAGCCACACTTTTTCATTTACATATTGTCTATGGCCACTTTCACAATACAATGGCAGACCTGAGAAGCTGCAGGAAGAGACAATATGGACCACTGAGCCAAAAACCCTCTGGCAATAAAACAGTTTCTGCTCAGCTCAATCTAATCAGAGACTTGCTATATCACAGCTGTGTTGAGTCCTAGCAAGTGCATTCTATCTACGTTCTTCCCTCGACTTTTAGGGTGTAAAATAAGATCACAGTGGGTTTTTTAGGGCCCTTTTCCTTAATGATTTTTTCTTTTTTTTTGTCTCAGAAAACTGAAAAAAATGCTCTGTTGTGTTTTCCATAGGCTGTCAACTTAGGTGGTTAGTCTTGGAATCCCAGTATTCTGCACACGTCATTAGGAAAAAAATTAAAAAGCAAAATGAAAAGTAAATTTCACATTCCTGTTATATATGGTAACATTTGATAAAAGTTAACTGCAGGATGTTAGCTGAGAGACAGGGAGTGGTTGGTGGTGGATTAGTTCTCCTTCCTTACCAAATAGCAAAAAAGAACATTTTATAAAACTTAACTGCAGGATGCTAGTTGAGTGATCGGGAGTGATTGGTAGCAGACTAGTTCTCCTTCCTTACCAACTAGAAAAAAAAGAATAAAACAGAAAAAAACATCTCTAAGAAAGCAATGGGAGCTGCTGAAGCAAACCCTGGATGTCTGCAATCCCTGTAGTATCTGCAAAAAATATTTGTCAGTTTTGTTTTTCTCTCAGTTATCCTCACTTGACATGTAATCTGGATGGTCAGCCTCTTGTAATGAACCAGAATTAACAAATTGCTTCATAGTAACATTGGCAGTTCAGCTCACTTATACAAGGTTCTCCACTCTCAGTAGTCTTAATGCCTCAAGTTCTCTTTGCCTCCACAACCCCCATTGCCTTCTTAGCGACGTTTTTTTAAAAATTTTATTCTTTTTTTATAGTTGGCAAGGAAGGAAAGCTAGTCTACCACCAATCACTCCATATCACATAGCTAATACCCTCCAATTAACGTTTATTGGATGTTACTATGTATAACAGTCATGCGAAATTTGCTTTTTATATTAGTTTTCTTTTTTCCCCATAGACCTGCTTTCAACCTCAAAACATTCATTTTCTTCTATATGTTTTGCTTTGTAAGCTACTTCAAATCATTCTTGGGAATTGGACAGCAACAAAGACATTTAATCATTAAAAGGAAGACATTAAAAATGTCTATTCTTGCATTTAGATGGACTTTATAATAACAATTTAAATAGAAAATGAAATTCTTTTCAACAGCAGTATATTTATATTCATTCTTTCACACCTTCTTTCAAAAGCAGTCTGACAATAAAATGGAAGTAAGTGATTCTTTATAAACAGAGCCCTTTAGGAATGTCCTTTGATCCAGTTAACACCTATTTATTCCCTTACCATTCAGTGTACTTACAGTTTTTCCTAAAATTTGTAAATACTTCTCTTTTTTCCACCCTAAATACAATTGTCACTTTCTTAGCCTTAGTCATGTAATTTTCATCTGGAACTTATTTACAAATGACCTTTCCAAAAAAACTGCTATTTTGTAACCCTGCTCCGGTTAGGGTTAGTTGGCTCTTATCATTAAATAAGTTTGGTTGTTAGCACTATGTAAGGTTAAATATGAATAATTAATTGTTTGTCTTAGGCGCTGGCTCTTGGTAGAGACTCGGCAATAGCTAGGCTTTTTCTTATTTGCAAGGCTCTTATATCGCTTGGAACCCGTAGAGTACGCCAACAAACACCACAAGGTGGTGTGGAGAAGCACTGTTTTTAATGAGCGCCTGGTTACAGAAGGGCTGAGGCCTAAAATGGCGTCAGCACCAGTGAGGACAGGGCAGGGGTTTTATAGTCTCCTGTAAACGGGAAGTGATGTAACTGCTACACAGCACCTGGACAGCCTCTCTCTCGGTCTTCAGGGGGTATGTGTCTTCTGGCCAGCTCCCGTCCTTCTTCTGTTATCTTGCTGATGCACACTACTGACACAAATGGTCTTGCGCCTTGGGACTGGGCCTGAGAAGGGAGGAGTTATTCATTCCCTTAAGCTTTCAGGCCCCAGGGAGAATCTTTCACTATTCTTTTGTCAAAGGTATTCCAAGTTCTAATGTTGCCCTTCCTAATTTTATTTCATACATTTTTCTAATGTTTAATTTTACCAAATATTGTTTCATAAAAATGTTTGGTTAATATAATGCAGTATGAAGAGACTCAAATTTATCAAGAAACTAATATGACCCAGGTACTGTGCTAGTTTTTTACATACATTTTCTTTCTATTTAATTCCCTGTGTTGTTACTCATGTTTAATACATGAGAAAATTAAGCTGGAAAAAAGTTAAATAAATCTCCTTTGGTTAGTCCCCAAGTGATCATTATCATACTTTAAAATTTACTGATAATTCTTTAATATACATAAATACTAATGTTTATTTTCCAAATTGTCTTGTAACAGGGATCCTCATGCATTGTATGCATTATGATTGATGATATCTGTTATCTTTTACTTTTATCTATTGCTGCATAAAAAATCCTTCTAAACTTCAGTGGCTTAAAACAGAAACATACTGCTTTTCTCTCAGACTTCAGTGGATTGACTGGACTCTGACGGGTAGTTCTTATTTGGAATTTCTTATGAGGATGCAGTCAGATGGTGGTTGGACTGGAGCAGCGGTGTGCTAGAGTCAGTTTTTGCTAGTGCAAAAGACAACTTTGTGCATGTATTTCTAGTTTTGCCTCCGGTGATGTCACATTGATAGCTAGAAACAGCCAGGGTAGTGGTAGTTCAATGAAGATTGAAATTGCCATGAATCAAGGCTCTATATCCACAGCCCACCTTTGGAAACTGGATCTATCAGCAAATCACTGGACTGAAATCATTTGAAGGCTAAGTATTGCCAAATTCTCTTTCTAGAAGTGTGTAATTGCATATGCCATCCACGTACTTACCAACAATGTACGGAAATGTCTGTCTCCTCATGGCCTGACAGACATATTATATTACCAATCTTTTGGATTTTTGTAAATCTAAGAGGTAAGAAATTGCATTTCAGCACAGTGTCCACTTGCATTTTTTCTTACTATGAGTCAGGTAGAGCATCTCTTCATTTACAGTCTTTTGCATTCTTTTTCTATCAATTATCTATTGATACCTGTTATTCATTTTTCTGTAACGTTTTTATTCTTCTAAGTACAGCATAGAATATTATATCTTATTATTTATAATACAATGATATTATTGTATCATAAATACTTTTTTTTCTGGTTGGTAAGGAAGAAGAACTAGTCTACCACCAATCACTCCATGTCACTGGAGCAGTGGTGTGCTAGAGTCAACTTTTGCTGGTGCAAGAGACAACTCTGCATCTATTTCTAGTTTTGCCTTCAATGACGTCACGTTGATAGCTAGAAACAACCAGCGTACTGTCCTTTCACCTCCTTTTTAAAAATTAAATGTTTGCATTGCCACAGATGGATATGCTTGCTTTGTTCCTGATTGGGGAAGGTATTCAGTCTTTCACCATTAAGTATGATGTTAACTGTTAAACATTTGTAGATGCCTTTAATCAACTTTGAATAGTTTCCCTCTATTGCTATTTTGCTGAAACTGTACATCGTCAATGTGGATGTTTGATTTTGTCAAATGCTCTTTATACATTAATTGATGTTGTGTCTGGAATTGGTGGGTTCTTGGTCTTGCTGACTTCAAGAATGAAGCCGCGGACGCTCGCTGTGAGTGTTACAGTTCTTAAAGATGGTGTATTCGGAGTTTGTTCCTTCTGATGTTCAGATGTGTCCAGAGTTTCTTCCTTCTGGTGGATTTGTGGTCTGCTGGCTCCAGGAGTGAAGCTGCAAAACATCCTGGTGAGTGTTACAGTTCATAAAGGCGGTGCATCCTGGGTTGTTTGTTCCTCCCGGTGGGTTCGTGGTCTCGCTGATTTCAGGAGCGAAAGCTGCAGACCTTTGCAGTGAATGCTACAGCTCATAAAGGTGGCATGCACCCACAGAGTGAGCAGCAGCAAGATTTATTGCGAAGAGTGAAAGAACAAACATTACATATGATTGAAAGGGACCCCAGTGGGTTGCTGCTGCTGGCTAGGGTTGTCTGCTTTTATTCCCTTATTTGGCCCCACCCACATCCTGCTGATTGGTCCATTTTACAGAGTGCTGATTGGTCCATTTTACAGAGTGCTGATTGGTCCGTGTTGACAGAGTGCTGATTGGTGCGTTTATAAACCTTTAGCTAGACATAAAGTGCTGGTTGGTGTGTTTACAATCCTTCAGCTAGACAGAAAAGTTCTCCAAGTCCCCACCGGACTCAGAAGCCCAGCCAGCTTCACATCTCAATGTGATCGTATATTTTTTCTTCTTTAGTCTATTGATAATGAATTTCATTTTGATGAACATGTGTTAAATCATTTCAGAAACTATGTTGGGTGTGTTTTCCAAATGTCAGTCTTCATTTTCTTTATAAACAAGCCACTCCTTCAATTATGTTCCTTAAAGAAAGGGTATGTGTAGGTGAAGAAGAACCTCTCATGTTTTTGTGCTGAGTTTCATGTCCTATTCCACTTCTGCCTGATGTAGGCTGAAAATAATGGAAGACAGTGTCCTTGGAACATGGCTGCTATCTTTGCAAGGATGTGCACAAATTGGGAAAGTGAATTGACAGGAGAATGAATATGTGGCCTTGTCACTCACCCAAATGGAAAATGATTTACTGCAATTGCATTCACTATATAACTGTTTAGAATTGTCTAGCTAGAGGATAGGAGAATGTAAATAGAAGTACAATATATAGTAGATCAAATGTAAAATTCTATGTTGAATATGCCTTCACCAGAGTCCAAGCAAAAGAGCTTGAGGAAACTCTGAAGGTTTTATTTCAGTGTTTCATTTTGTTCCATCGTCCTGTGTTTCTCTTATCTCTGCTGGAATATGTCCATTTTCCCTCCACCTTAATTTAAATCTACATGTAAATTTCTGAAAACTCCTCTCTTTAGGATTAGTTGTTGCTCCATGATCTGTCATTGCTACTGATTAGTTCCTTTCCATAAATCTGAACTGCTCACTCACTCTCAAATGATGACTGGGGTAAGCTAGCAGGGAAATATAAACTAACATTTACAGACTTAGTCCAGATGAGGTGGTAAAAGGAGAAGAAATCTGGTTTGATTCAAGGTCTGAATACTGCCTGAGTTACATAGAAACATGCTTTTACTTTCAATTGTTTATGGATAACTTTGATTACTCAGACACAAACACAAGGACAAGTGTTGATTACATGTGACACGATACTCTGAGAAAAAAGAAGAGAAAAGCACAACTTCCAAAGCATGTTTCTTGTAATGGAATAGACAATTTTAATACAAAATATTCTTTTGGTCTTTTTTTTTTGTTCATTTACAGCCCTAGTTTCTTTGCTTGAGCCTCTCAGTAATAAAGAAAAAGTGATAGTTTTTTAAATCCCTTTTTTATCTAATCAAAAATTTTATAATCTCTCTGTACCACTTAAAGACATGCTTTTTCACTTTTATATATATATTTATTTCGATCAAAATGCATACATTAAAAGAATAAAATTAAGCCAACATACAGAGAATTTCTGTAATTACTTAATACTTTTCTTCAACTTTATAGAAGATGAGACCCTGTTATCTACCATCTTCAAGATTAACAAAACAAGTAAAGTTTTCCTAAAGGGAGTTTTTAGTAACCTCTAAATAAATATTTTTGAACTAGTGATAAGAGTTTGAGAGCACTGGCAGTAGACAGATTATATTGTACATTCATTATGTTGTAATCTTAATATGAGATGAATCATTTAAAGGCTGAGATAAGACTCATTCTAGAGTTTTTCTTTCCACTTAGTATTTCAAATAGCATCATATTAGATATGTGAGAATTCTACTAATACATACTTTTTCTATTGCACTTGTAAAGCAAAAAATCGAAAGCTAGCCCCCCAACTAACTGAATGGACCTCTCCTCTCTGCCAGGGAACTCCAAAGGTAACCTGAAAAACTGGTTCAGGCCATGAGGACAAGAAAGAGTCTGAAATGCCTCATTATGCACCCTCCCCTAGCTTTTGGAATTCAGGAAAAGGCAACCAGCATTTAACATCAACACAGACCTTAAGTCTGATAAGAAACATGGATAATCTATTGTCTCTGAAGCCTGCTATCTGGAGGTTTCATCTGCCTGATAAAATGTTGTTCCCCTTAGTATAACCCAGATATTCCTTTCTATCGATAATAACTCTTTCAATCAATTGCCAATCAGAAAACTTTTAAATTGGCCTATAACCTGGAAGTCACACCGCCACTACTGCCTTTCTGGACCCAACCAATGGATATCTTACATGTATTTGATTGATGTCTCGTGTCTCCCTAAAATGTATAAAGCCAGGCTGTGGATGACCTCCTTGGGCACATGTTCTCAGGATCTCCTGAGGGCTATGTCACAGGCCATGGGTCACTCATATTTGGCTCAGAATAAATCTCTTCAAATACTTTACAGAGATTGACTCTTTTCATCAGCAAACTGATATTTGTTGCATATTGTAAGGAAGGTCTTTTCTGGGAAACAAAAAGAAAAACAAAAAGGATGGGAGGAAACCACTATATGAACCCAGGTGAAGATATGATAATTTTTAAGTCACTCTTTTTTTATTGGTAAGTCAATATTTAAAAATTGCAAATTATATTAATGTTACATGCTTACATGGGGGAATAATAACATCCTGGAACAAGGCTTCTGAAAATAGGTGACACTATTGATTAGTGATGTTTTCCATTTGCCGAAGGTTAAATAATGGCAGCTCATGTGCTATTTATTCACCATCATTAGTTAAAAAAACCTAGGAAATACCTCCTAGATTTAGAGTACAGCATCAGAATAGAACAGATTTGGATTGTAATACCTCATCATTTATTACTTGGATGAATCTAGGCAGATTGCTTTACTTCTGAACCTGGGATTTCCCACCTGTAAAATGTGGAAAAATTAAAACTGACTCAAAAAGTCATTGAGGATAGTAAATGAAAAAGCATGTGTGGTGGTTAACACTGAGTGTCAACTTGATTGGATTGAAGGATGCAAAGTATTGATCATGGGTGTGTCTGTGAGGGTGTTACCAAAGGAGATTAACATTTGAGTCAGTGGGCTGTGAAAGGCAGACTCACCCTTAATCTAGGTGGGCACCATCTGATCAGCTGCCAGCATGGCTAGAATATAAAACAGGCAGAAAAATGTGAAAAGGCTAGACTGACCTAGCCTCCCAGCCTACATCTTTCTCCCGTGCTGGATGCTTCCTGACCTTAAACATTGGACTGAAAGTTCTTCAATTTTTAGACTTGGATTGGGTTTCCTTGCTCCTCAGCTTGCAGACAGCCTATTGTGGGACCTAGTGATGGTGTGAGTTAATACTTAAGAAACATCTATCTATGTGTAATAGGAGATATATATATATGTATAATAGGATATATATATGTATAATAGGATATATACATGTATAATAGGAGATATATATGTATAATAGGATATATATATGTATAATAGGAGATATATATATCTCCTCCTTGTTTGCAGCAAGTTAGTATTCCCCCATGTAAGCATGTAACATTAATACAATTTGCAATTTTTAAATATTGACTTACCAATAAAAAAGGAGTTAACTTAAAAATTATTATATCTTCACCTGGGTTCATATAGTGGTTTCCTCTCATCTTTTTTGTTTTTCTCTTAGTTTCCAAGAAAAGAAACATATAAAAAAATATATATAATATATATCAAATATACATATATAAAAAATATATATATAAAATATATATATAATAGGAGATATATATATATCTCCTATATATCCTATAAAATATAAAATATATATTTTATAGGCTATATAATTACATAATGTAATTATGTAATTATACATAAATACATTATGTAATTATACATAAATTACATAATGTAATTTATAATAGGAGATATATATATCATCTCCTATTATAAAAGAAACATATATATATCTCCTATTAGTTCTATCCTCTATAAAGCCCTGACTAATGCAGCGTGTATATTACTTAACCCAACAAATGACATTATAGTAAGTATTCAATAAATGATGCTTATCATTGCCTATCCATATTAGATTAGAAAACCTACTGAGAGAAATCTTATATACAATTTTTTGGAAAATGAGAGGGAAAATATTTAAATTATAAAGTACGTTTATGTTAAACTTCATAACACATTAAATATTACAGTAATATTCATTTAAAATAAGAAAAGGCAGCTTTGTCATGGAGGACAGAGGTACAAATTCTGACAGCTTGAAGAACATGACAGTAACATAGTACCTTAAGCATTTGTTTATTACTGTTTGTTTTGTTAAGTACTTCTGATATGGTTTGGCCCTGTGTCCCCACCCAAATCGCATTTGAATTGTACTCCCATGGATTCCCACAAATTGTGGGAGGGACTCAGTGGGAGATAATTGAATCATGGGAATGGTTTCCCCCATACTGTCCTTATGATAGTGAGTAACTCTCCTGAGATCTGATGGTTTTAAAAATGGGAGTTTCCCTCCACAAGCTCTCTCTCTCTTTGCCTGCTGCCATCCACTTAAGACATAACTTGCTCCTCCTTGCCTTGCTCCATGATTGTGAAGCCTCTCCCGCCACATGGAACCCTAAGTCCATTAAACCTCTTTTGTTTGTAAATTGTCCAGTCTCTGGTGTAACTTCATCAGCAGCATGAAAATGGACCAATACAACTTCATTTACATTTTTATAATTGTGCTTTAATATAGAGTCTTGGCCAAGTGTAGTGCAAAGATTTCTTATACTTAATGTCTTTTTGTTTTTGCTTAAACTTTGTATAAATTTCATTATGTAAAGCTGATTTAAGTGTGATTTAACAATGAGTGTATAAAATACCTAAACAAATTAAGGCTATGTTGTCATCAGATTCACATTAGATTTACATCTTATAACACAATTTATGTTTTCACATCAGAGGCTTAATAAAATATTACAAAAAAAGATTTTATATTTTTAATCAGGAGAGAAAAAACTCTTCTATAAAGGTATCTTATTCCAGTGACAGACAAATAATGCTTAGAAAGATTTATGACGTAGAAAAAGAACCATTTGTGGTATAGTTCCTTTGACATGTATCAGTATACTATATATTTTATTTTAATATTTTTAGTATTATTTCTATAAAGAAATTAAGGCAATAATGCAGAAAGTGATAACGAATGAACAATAAAATTGTATTAATTCTAGTCAATTCCCTGTCAATTAATACACTATAAAATAGTTTTCATTAAGTTGCATTTATTAAATAACCAGTGTGCTAAGATTTAGTTCAAGGTACATGCAAAGTAATAATCTTTGTCATTTTCTCAAAATATTAATTTCAACCTGACAATAAAATGTTATATCCTAATAAAGCTGTATTGGAGTGTGATCATAAGGATTGCTAAGTTTTAATCATAAAAAATTTTATTGTAAGTTAATTAAGCAGAAATGTTTTTCCATTGTACCTCTCAATGAGAAAATAGATTTAAAGCTAAAGGGACTTTTCTATATATGACATATATTTGTATACCTAATTAGGGGAGTTATGTTATAATAAAATGATTTGCTTCAATTGCTTCATTAAATTGATATGCATGATAATTCAATTAGAATGAAAATACGACAGTATAAAAATATTATAAGATTATCATTTTATAATCACCTAAGCTACAGAAATTTTTTCTTCATATTTTTAATTGTTTCAAAATGAAAATCACATTTGATTTGTTTGCACAAAGTGTAGATTTGTAACAAGTACTGTATCTATTTATCTGTAAGAAAATTTCCTCTTTTGGTGTGTCTTTGCAAGATTACTATATTTATTAAGGAAAGTTTAGTTTTTGATATGGCTTTTCCTGTCTTTTGTCTTTACATGATAGAAAAGCAATACAAAAGTCCTATAAATTCATTTTGTTTATTTATTGTTAAAATTTTGGTGAAAATGTAGTTGTGCATTCCAAGACATTTTCATTTTCTTCCAAAATAAATTGAAAAAATAGTAAAATTGAAATCATTTAAAGTCCATTCTGAAAACATATCTTCCTTTTCCAAGTCACAAAGAATTTTTGCCAAGGAGTTTTAAGTATGCTGTAATTCTTTTGTGCCATAATATTCTGAATTCTGCTATGCTGAACTCTATTAGTCATATGTTCTGCAAGTAAAAATGATTTTCTATTTTACATGATAATATGTGAGAAACAGTCCTTAAATTATTTAATATATGTAATTAATACTTTCTAAATATGAACATTTTAAATGTTCTGTTATCACCAAGATATTGTTTTAAAAGTATTTTCACATCATTAAACTTCCTCAATTTGATATCACAGTTGAATAGTGATGTGTAATTGGGTTAATTCAAAACTAATTCGATTTAAAAACAACTTCTTATAACAAAAGGGAGTTCCCCCTTGGTGATTCTACTACGGTAATTAATTTTTTTCTTCTGCGTGGGTTTTAGCGTATTTGGGCAATCCAAAAATTCAGTGGCTCAAGCATTTTAACATATCTGAACATACTTCCTCCTGCACTGGGAATTGTTTTATCCTAAGGTCCAGATGTCTACATTTATACTAACTAGTATTTTAATATATTTGAGTTTCACATCTAAGAAATATCTTGTCTCTTGTTGTGAAGCATAGAACCTTGACTCTATTAGGAAAGTTTAAATCAGGTCCAAAGATGATTATTGTATATAAACACTACCTCGAATATTTATTATTAGAGATTAAAGGTATTTAATTTTAAATGAAATGCAAAAAAGTCCATTGTCACAAGAAGTATACCTTTTAATTTTAAATAATTCATTTATATTACTTTTCTATTTTTACAAAAGCAAACAAAAATTATCTGTCTCTCTGTCTCTCTCTCTTTAACTCTCTCTCTCATCTTACTATCCATCTATTTTTGTTTTTTAAAACTTTTTATGTTTAATTTTGTGGATACCTAGTGTGTGTGTATGTATGTATGTGTGTGTGTGTGTGTGTGTGTGTGTGTGTGTGTGTGTGTGTGTAGCTAGCTAGCTAGCTAGCTAGCTAGATAGATAGATATTTATGGGGTACATAACTTTCTATCTTTGTAGTGTTTACAAAGGCAAGTAAAATTATCTCTCTGTGGCTGGATGCAGTGGCTCACCTCTGTAATCCAGCAATTTGGGAGGCCAAAGCGAGTGGATCACTCGAGCTCAGGAGTTCCAGACCAGCCTGGGCAACATGGTGAAACCCAGTCTCTACTAAAATGCAAAAATTAGCCGGATGTGGTGGCTCATGCCTGTAATCCCAGCTACTCAGGAGGCTGAGGTGGGAGAATCGCTTGAACCTGGGAGGCGGAGGTTGCACTGAGCCAAGATGTTGCCACTGCACTCCAGCCTGGACAAACAGCGAGACTCTGTCTCAAAAAAACGACAAACAAACAAAAAAAGTTCTCTCTCTGTCTGTCTCTCCTATCTATCTATCTGTCTATCCCTCTATCTACCTACCTATTTATCACCTTTCTGTCTACCCACCCATGTGTCACCTATCAGTACTTAATCTCGAATTCATTAAAACTTTATTTCGTGATTCATTAATGTTGCTTTAATGTTTATGTTTATCATTGTAGTCAATAGTTTGACTATATAGATTTTGTAAATTTTTTATGACTGGCAGTTTCTTTATGAATGACATTGGCCATCAAGTTCATTCTTAACACTTGGAAAATTAATGTGTAAAGATGCAATATACCAAGCCTGTGTTATGGATAACAGTGCATGTGTATGTGTAATATGAGACTGATAACCCAGCTATTTCTACCCTGAATGGAATGGAATGTGGATGAACAGTTTTTTTTCTGAAACGGAGTCTCACTTTTGTCGCCCAGGCTGGAGTGGAATGGTGCAATCTCAGCTCACTGTAACCTCCGCCTCCCTGGTTCAAGCAATTCTCCTGCCTCAGCCTCCTGAGTAGCTGGGATTACAGGCATCCACCACAACTCCCAGCTAATTTTTGTATTTTTAGTAGAGTTGGGGTTTCACCATGTTGGCCAGGCTGTTCTGGAAGTCCTGACCTCGTGGTCCCAAAGTGCTGGGATTATAGGCATGAGCTGGCCCGCCCGGCCGATGAACAATTCTTATTGTTACATAAGTACCAGTAAGGCAGTGAAAATGACCCTGGGTTCTAATTTTTGTTTTTACCATCTTTGCGGCCTTAAGGAAGTGTTTCACTCTCTTTTGGCCCTCAGCGCGGAGAGGCTATTGATCCTGATCTCTTACAACAACAAGAATCTCTACATTTCTCTACACACATACACACACACTCAGTGCTGATTTGTGCATATGGCCAGTCATTTATTTTACACTGTTATTTGGTTTTTCACTTGTCAGCTTCTTTGCTGAAACTATCACGAATTTCCCACCTCCTGCTCTAAGCCTTGCATTTGCTAATATCAGGTCCTGCACATGGCTTTCATTCACTGGCCAGCTTGGCTTCTCGTTTTCTGTCAACAATGACGCTTCCTAACATCCACAGTTATTGAGTTGCCTGAGTATTTTCTTCAGAATGTGCCTATGCCATTCCAAAGAAAGAGACATGTTGACAAATGTTCAGAGGTGTCAATCAGTAAAGTGATAATTGAAAATGCTGAAAGGTGGCAATTGGGATAAGATGCCAATGCCCCAGGCGAAAAGACCCGCCAGTCAATGTGATGTGGCCACTGAAATGTGGAAGCATGTGGAAGCGTGAGTCATTTCTCTAACAAAGAACGCAGCAACATAAAATGGAAGATAAGAAGGTCTGAAAGCAGGGAACTACAAGAGAGATTATATCACACATTAAACTCAAAACAAAAGGCTTGGCACAATTCTATGGGTTTCCTAAAAAGTCTTGTTTTTCTGAAAATCATTTTACATTTTTAGCATTCCCCAGATGACATAGCACAAAATGGTGGTTTCAAAATATTTGTTGATTTACCTAATGAATAATGAATAAAGAAATGAATGAATAAATAAATATGTCACCTGGACAGAAGTCTAAGGAAGAATTACTCAAACAGCAAGTTTCAAGTGATCATATTTTAATATAAACAATAAATGCACACAGTTAATTTGCAAGACAATTCGAATTAAAGAATGCAATTCACAAACTAGCAATCAGTCATGCAGCTTGCAAAACATATTGGTTACCAGTAAAGTATGATTGATAATATAATTCTTCAAGATACTGCATTTAAAATGAATTCTAACAAGATTCCAAATGAAGACTAAATGTACTGGTGAAAGAATCTAACTATTCACGAAAGAATATGAGTGAATTGCCCCCAAAATATACAACAATTATCAAAGGGAAAAAATGAGTAAGTCAAATTGAACAAGATTTGGAAAGAACAAAATTGGTAAATTGGATTAAACTTGAAGAAAATATTTTTAGTGATCTACAGGTAATTACATAGTCCAGTAACTTAGCAAATAGGACATTTGAATTTAATATTAGAAATTCATTGTAAATATTTATTTAGAATAATATATTATAAAATATATATTGCCCTGATCAAATGATTCCCGTGATATTTTTAGAAACGTCAAATAATTTTATGGACGTATTTATATGCCAAATTATTCCTACCTGACTTGTTCTAATTTAGGGGTAGAGAAAATTAAAACAGATAAGCAGGACCACTTACAGAGGTATGAGCATCCAGATATCTGGAAATGCTATTTGTTTTCTGCTTATCCACATTATTCAATATTCAAGTCGCTCATATTTTCAAAACTTCAGTAGAATGTGTTGCTTGCTGCATTGATGGCATTTAGCTTTAGGCACTGCTGTAATAATTTTCTGTATTATTTGTCTTTTAATGGGCACCACAAAATAATTCACACTAATTAGTGTCATTTTAATTTATTGCACCATTTATCAAATCTACTATTTGTTTGACCCAAACTAGGTACTCATGAAACATAATTCTGACTAGGAGTATTACCATTTCCAGCTTAGTCTTATAATTGTGTATATATACAGTCAACTTAAATAAAAAGTTTCAACATTCTACCAGTAGCAGTAGCTGCATTGGAAACAAACAAATAAAATAACAAATTGCAGCCCAGAATTCCTAGAGACACTACCATATTTTATGCTATTTTGAAGAGCCAAAATACTCAAGAAAATACAGCAGAGATATGAACTGTATGTAGCAAAGGAATCTGAGAAGACCACATGCATAGTGCATGAGGGGCTTAGCATAATTCCCAGGCCACTATAGGACCAAGACTTGATAATAGGGATGTAAACTGGTACAATTAAATGTTCTCTTTTGCATATCATCTTATTTTTATGAAAATATATACTTCTTATATAAAAGAAATAATATTTTGTAATATTTGTGAATAATATTTACAAGTAGACATGGAAGAATAATCACACCAACTGCTGTTAGTAGGTTGTTGTTTTCCTTCCATATTAAACTCCACTTTGGTCTATGTATGTCATGAGCCTATTCATTCTGCATGTAAAATCTGTAGTCCTTTAATGCACTTGTAGTTTAAGCATGACCTAATATAACATAATTTTGTTTAAAAATGAGATTTAAAGTTCTCTAATACTTTAGTGAGCTTGTGACTTCCATTTACTTATGCATTACCCCACAATGAGCCTAAAGTTTATTGCCACAGTTTAACTACTAATATGTGCCATTTTCAGATATATATATATATATATATATATATATATATATATTTTTTTTTTTTTTTTTTTTTTTTTTTTTTTTTGAGACGGAGTCTCGCTCTGTCGCCCAGGTCGGACTGCGGACTGCAGTGGCGCAATCTCGGCTCACTGCAAGCTCCGCTTCCCGGGTTCACGCCATTCTCCCGCCTCAGCCTCCCGAGTAGCTGGGACTACAGGCGCCCGCCACTGCGCCCGGCTAATTTTTTGTATTTTTAGTAGAGACGGGGTTTCACCTTGTTAGCCAGGATGGTCTCGATCTCCTGACCTCATGATCCACCCGCCTCGGCCTCCCAAAGTGCTGGGATTACAGGCGTGAGCCACCGCGCCCGGCCTTTTTTTTTTTTTTTTTAATGGGACAACATCTCTATGGTGGACTTTATTAGTTATTTCCTTCCATATTCTTTTTTAAGGGGGCTGTTTTGTTAAATTTTTTTATTATTATACTTTCAGTTTTAGGGTACATGTGCACAACGTGCATGTTAGTTACATATGTATACATGTGCCATGTTGGTGTGCTGCACCCATTAACTCATCATTTAGCATTAGGTATATCTCCTAATGCTATCCCTCCCCCCTCCCCCCTCCCCCCACCCCAAAACAGTCCCCGGTGTATGATGTTCCCCTTCCTGTGTCCATGTGTTCTCATTGTTCAATTCCCACCTATGAGTGAGAACACGTGGTGTTTGGTTTTTTGTCCTTGTGATAGTTTGCTGAGAATGATGGTTTCCAGTTTCATCTATGTCTCTACAAAGGACATGAACTCATCATTTTTTATGGCTGCATAGTATTCCATGGTGTATATGTGCCACATTTTCTTAATCCAGTCTATCATTGTTGGACATTTGGGTTGGTTCCAAGTCCTTGCTATTGTGAATAGTGCCACTATAAACATACGTGTGCATGTGTCTTTATAGCAGCATGATTTATAGTCCTTTGGGTATATACCCAGTAATGGGATGGCTGGGTCAAATGGTATTTCTAGTTCTAGATCCCTGAGGAATTGCCACACTGACTTCCACAGTGGTTGAACTAGTTTACAGTCCCACCAACAGTGTAAAAGTGTTCCTATTTCTCCACATCCACATGCTCTCCAGCAATGAGTGTTATCCAATTAAATGGTTATATTTTAAAAATGGTGTTTAATCTAATGTACATCTATTTGATTATTAGTTTCACTGAACATCTTATTTTGCTATTATCTTTGGTGAAAATTGAACATTTGTGTTGCATTTTTTAAAAGTTTAATTGGGAAGTAGATATTTTGCTTGTGCATTTCAAACATAGGTGTTTACACTATGATTATCAGCTATTTGTTTGCCAAAATTGTTGCAAAAGATAAAAAGAAAATTGAATATTTTATCTTTTAACATGTTCTATTTTTATCAATATTGTAAATATTTTCCTTTGTGATTTCCTCTTATAATTTAATATTTAATTCTTTCATTGTTTGTGTAGGTAAAATGTTCTACATATGTTTTGTTTCTACCTTATTAATTTTATTATTCAAATCACTAGTTTATTTAGTTTGAGGTCTATTCGACCAATGAGAACAGGAAGAAACTTGTCAAAGTCCCAGAACAGTTGTGTTTCTCTTAGTTTATCATTGTTATTCTAACAGGATTCTGGTTTATACATTTTGTTGCCATCCTATTTATTACATAAACATTCCTGAGTGATTAGTCACTGTGGATTGGACATTTTGTCAATTTCAGCTAACCCTATTTGTCTTGATCAAAGCCTTTTTCTTACATCCTTCTTTGTCTGCAACTCATTTGCCAGTTGTGCACTGTTTATGTGTTCTTCAGCCACATCATTGTCAACTTTTGTTTTAAAATTCATGCTAAATTTTGTTTTACATGTGTCTTTGCAATGCAGTGTTTATTTGTGTTTAATATCTCAAATTAATCTGAGCATCAAAGGGGAATTTAGCCAGCTTATGATCATTCTCAGAAGTGATGCGTTTGGTTTTTTGCTTTGTTTGGTGGCATTGATTATTTCACACATCTTGCATGTTTGTTTCCTTTGGATTTTGGTGTAAGATTTTTCCCATCTCCACGGACTGTAGGAAGAGGTGCTGGTGGAACAAGGTCAGCAGCAATGGGGCTACCTCAAAAAGCAGTAAAGGAGGACAGGCTGGTATTACTTACTTATTTGCATTCTTTTGCTTTATTTTATTTGTTTGTTTGTGTTAGGAGAAAGAGCTTATGATTTGCAGTTTGGGGACAAACACTGGGAAAGTGTTTTCCTGCCTCTTGTCTTGATGGCAGGATTACAATAACTTTAGCAAATAAGAATGACATGATGCTTCCACTTTGTTTCTCAATTGTTGAATTACACTATAGGTGAAAATTTCTCCCATATTCTATAAATGGCTTTATTATAAATTCTAAGGGGTGTGGCAGTGTGAGTATTCCTCATTTCTGTTTTCCTATCACCCTTCAGTCTACACAGCAGTATTTCAACTTTCCTTCCCTCTCTTTATATCTCTAGCTCTGAGTTCACAGCCTAACTTCTAGCTGATGCACTTACTATTTACATCATAGAAGTATCTTGAAATCATCAAATAAATGTCTAACTGCCTTGGATTACACAATGAACTTCTCCCTGCACCCTTTTCCTTCTTCCTTCCTGGTTTGGTAAGCATCTTCCCCTAGGGCATAAGGCAGCTCTCCACTTCACTCTGTACCATATCACCTTTAACATTCTCGGAGACCTTACACTTTTGAATTGCATTCTCCAAGTCTGGTCTTTTCAAAGACTCCTGCTTCATTCATTCTATCCTATCAGCTTTTATATAAAATAGAAAAACAGAACAGCTTAAAAATAAAAAAAAGAAGAACTAAACCAAACCTCAACTTCACAACACCCTGCAGCTACTACCTTAAAATATCTCCTACTTTCACACCCAGACTTCTTGTTGACACTATTCTCTCATCTTGACAATTCTGCTCACTCTGTCACACAGTTGAGCATCTGCCTTTTTACTTCTCCAGCACCCGTTCTTTATCCTGGATAAGCCTCCCTCCCCATTTCAATGAAATTACATTTCCTTAATTAAAAGCGTAGTTTTGGAAGAGAGGGACAAACATAACCCCAGCTGTGTCCTTTACCTCTTGTCTCATAAAAGGTGGGGTAACAGATGACCCTAAAACACAAGAGCTTTTTGTAGCAAGGCTTATTCTCTGTGGACCACAGATTGGCTGCTTGTTGCTGCTTTAGGTTGAGCAGAACTGGGAAGATCTGCTTCAAGCTGCAAGTCTGGCTGTCCTGAGATTCTGCTGCACGTGGGGCTCAGGTTTGCTTCTCACATATTCATTCTGTGGCTCAGGCTGAAGGGGCAGCAACTACTCGGAAGGAACTCCTCCAGGCAGGGGGTTGAGATGCAAGAGAGCAAGCTTCCCAGAACACCACGCGCCAAGTTTCTCCCGGTGTCAAGGCCACTGGCAGCCATTTTTTCCTGACATGAGAGAAATCCCACAAGAGAGAATAACACATATACACAAAAGTCAGGAATTAAATACAGTACCCCCTGGCATCAAGATGCTGATTCCAGTTATACCGGAGGCCTAGACAAAATGACAGTTTATTTAACGTTGCTAATACGTCTCTTGGTTCGATTACGATGTTTGGATCAAGTTCTCTCACTGACATCCGTTGACGTAAATACAGTCACACTCTCTTTTACAACATCCTGGGTTTTGATGGCGTCATATTATATTGAAACTGTACTATCTGTCTTAGCAGTGTCTTTCAGTTCAGCCTTTAGTTTTTTTAGTCTCGGAAAAAAATGGCAATATGAATGATACCATCTTCTTAAAAAACTCCTCCTCTGGCTTCCAAAACTGCTCTCATTCTTGCATCTCACGTTCCTCTTCCTCGATTTCATTTGTGGGCTTCTCTATCTAAGGCTGCAAAATTAACATTGATGTACTTTGGGTTTCTGCTTTAGTCAAACCTAATACCTCATTTTAGACACTCTCCCTATCAAATTGTATCCATTTCTGTATTTCTAGTACCATGTAAATGAAGATGTATCTAGAATCAATATTTTCAATCCAAATTTTTTTTCTAAATGTCAGATCCATATGCATAACTTATCTCTGGACATCTGTAGGCATATACTTAACATACTTTTTCATCCATGAAAATTTAATTTTTCATCACGCCAAAATTAAATTCATTTCATCCCTCAAAATGCTTCCACTTCCTTCCCTGCCTCCTTCATGTAATGAAAGTAACCGTCATTCACAAACTTCGGTATGTTTTAGTTATTTTTCTGTTTCAGGTTATTCCCATTTTTTTACATGGATTACTGCAACGGTATCTTCATTCGCTTTACTGACTTCAGTTTAATATATGACAAACTATACTCCATATTGCACTCAGAATTACCTATTATGCCAATAATATTATGACGCTTACCTCTCAAGGAATTCTCCAGTGCCTCCCTTTGCTGTTAGGATGAAGTTCAAACTTCTTACGATGCTTGCTGAGGTCGTTGTGGATGAGTTAGTTTCTGCTGATCTTTACAGTGCTTCCCCCATCACTATTCACCAGCACTCTATCCATGCTTAAGCTCTACTGAATACGCATCAATTTCTTAGATGCAGAATGCTCTATCTTGTCTCAAGTCTTTCAGGAACATTTACCTCTGGTTGCAAAATATCAATTCCCTTTTCCTTCCACCGGCCCTTTTGCCTTGATAATAGTTCATATTGCACTGCAACATTAAAGCCCTCTAGCAAAGAAATACAAAGACTTGTCTTTTTATTGGTTGAAAATAGGAACAAATACCATTCACAGAGATTTAAAAATATATTATTTATCAACCTTTGATGCCCTAACAATTGAAATTTCCACATTTATATATTTCTTTGTGGAAAAATTTGATGTGTAACTCTTCATTCAGGCTACTGCAGATATCATTACCACTAAAGAATTGTTTGAGAATGCCCTCAAACCCTGGTTAAGTCTTCTCATGCTGCTATAACAAAATATGTTTGACCAGGATATTTGTAAACAACAATAATTTATTGTAAACAATAATAATTTATTGCTCACAGCTCTGGAGGCTGGGAAGTCCAAGATCAAGGTGCCAGTAGAGCTGGTGTCTGATAAGAGCTCATGCCCGGATTCAAAGATGGTGCCTTCTAGCTATGCCTTTACGTGATGGAAGGGGTGAACAAGCCTCGTTTATAAGGGAGCAAATCCCAGTTTTGAAGGCAGACGCTTATGACCTAATCACCTCCAAAAGGTGCCTATAATACTATCATCTTGGGGGTTAGTTTGCCAAATGTGTTTTGGGGGGAACGTAGACATTTAGACCATAGTACCTCCCATAAACTAATTTCTTAATATTAGTTACTAGTAAGTTAATTTATATATATATAAACATAAATAGCTTATGATAAACATAAGTTTATGTTATTTTATATATGTATAATTTAAATAACTTATGTTTATCATCAGAGAATCTAGGAGATGGGTACTTTTCCATCTTCTGTACTTTACTCAGTTTTGAGAAAGAGAAAATGAATTTACTCCATTTGTAATTCTCAAGGAAAGAAACATTATGAAGTAATAATTTGGAAAAATGCTTGCAAACATGAAAGCATATTTAAAGTCTATCTGAGTAGAGTTTTTTTCAAAGAAGAGTTCAATTAATCATGCATTATGACATATCAATTACATAGAGTACTAAGAACATATAGCATCGTTTCTTATGTGCTGCTGTAATTGTAGATATTTTACATGTAGATCATCATAAGTATGGTAGCTGTCATTATTTTTGAGAATGTGCCCTCTTCCTATGAGTTATTAAGATTACTGATCGAGACCACTAAGCATATACCCATAGTCCAACAAGTTAGGCTAACTTAACTTGCTGCAGAAAAGGAAAATACATCCCAGGGCAACTGTGGCGACATCTCAAAAAAGAGATTTGGGAGGAGCATTTTATAGAATTCAGGCTTATGCTGAATAATTCTTGGGAGAAATTCAGAAAGATATGCCTGGTTTTGAATTGAATTCTTCTTGTAAGCAGAGGGAATTCAGAAAGTGTTTATCTTGTACATTTTATCTAAGAGGAAGAACCATTAAAACAGGGCTGATGTTATCATTGATTAAAAAAGCAACCATCATCCACGTTAGGTAAAAGTCAAGTGGTTCAATCACTTTTTAATTGTGTTTGTCCTTGTCCTGTTGCAAACATGCTTACAGTATGGCCTTATTTGAATGCTGTTTGTATTCAGTTTGGGAATACCATGTTCTGGTTGCCAGCAGGGCTGTTTTTAATTTTCTCAGAAGTGATCTCAGACCCTCCACACCAACACCGAGTTGGCCATGAGTCTTGCTCAAATCAGTGGATTATGAGTAGAAGTGACATGTGAGTTATGAAAAAAAAAACTTTCAGACCACTGTCTTGCCCACCAAGTCTCTCTTTTTCCTTCACTGTGAAACCTGTGATGCTGCAGACAGGGGTTGTTTCTCCAAGCTGGGTCCTAGCATGATGGTAACAAGGAGCAAAATCATGATCCACATTAAAGGACTTAAAATTCCTGTATTCAACCAACTTTTGCATGAGGAAGCTACTGAAATATAAGGGCTATTGGGGCCTGTTATATTATTGAGCCTAAGCTGTATGATATATATATTTATCAGAACAAGTTCTTATCTAATTATAATCACTCTATGAAAAATTGCCTAATTTACATTTCCTGTTACCTTCAAAATAGTTACTGGCTAGCAACCTGATTTGTCGGTATACTTATTATAGATTCATCTCTTGTGCATAGAATCTGTAAATGATATATAAAACTAGATTTATAACTTATTAATTTATAATGATAAATATGACGAGATTAGTCCTCAACAATGTGTATCTTTTATAAACAAATACCGTTGCCGAGAGGCCAAGAAGAACTCACATTCTTATTACGTGTGCTTACTGATCTTACAGGCAAATTCATAAGGGAAGATAAACCATTATTTTAAAAAAATTGTAACATATAGGATCATTGTACAATAATTTAGATAAATCAATTGTTGATTTGTATTAGGCTAAGGTATAATATCTTTACTATTGAAAGAGTTCAGCAGGAGTGGAATACTCAAAGTTCCATGGTTCCTTCTATCCTGGGCAGCTCATGGTTCGATATTGGCCACAACATTTGCAGTTAAATAGAATATTAGGACTGTGATATAAATTATCACCTATGTATTCACATTTTTATATACATGTGTAAAAATTTGGATGTTCACATCTTAATTTTTCACTTGGTGGTGTGATGACAAAATATAAATTCATGCACTATTGGAAACATATTTTCCTAATGTCTTCATACATGAATTGCTAGTTTTCTTAATGGTGACATTAAATCCTCATAAAATGATTGGGTATCTTTCACCATCTCCTTCCTTTGTGCATACATAAAGTACATCTCCTGGGACCACTGAACATGGATTCTTTGTGAAATGAAGCTTTTCTGTCAGGCAGTTAAAAAAAATTATTACCATCCAAGCAGATGGAACATCAGTAATTTGGTACTAATCAGCTCAACTGGTTTTACAGAATTTCTGCCTTTAATGTTCTGTGCCTTCATTGTGTATGATTTACATCTAAGCTGAAAGGAGCTTCAAAGGCTGGCAGCTATCAATAGCTGGCTGATGCTATCTCCTCATCGTTAGTCTTTCCATCGCCAAGTGGTCTTTGGATCAGGTGACCGAGAATAGCTATTGAAAACAGCACACCTGTAAACTGTTCTTTTTCCACCGTGAGCCCGATTAAGACTTTGCAGAATAAATGGGGCACTGTATGTTTCAGACCACCAAGTGACCACACCATTATTCTATCAGCCATCAAGGATAAGCGAGACAGATAAAGATATAATGCTTGCAGATAGAATCACTTTCATCCAGGAAGAAGGTAACAGACACATAAAGACTGGTTCAGCTATGGATTAAGTATCGGATAGTTTTTTCACCCATGTGTTATCTATAGTTTCAATATGGTAAAGATTTTGTTTTGTTTTCAAAAGTTCTTGAAAAAATATACCAAAGGAAGTCCTTCAAAAATAGTATCACCTAAACTGAATGCTAGGCTTTTGGAAAGTTGCTGTTTTATTTTCTTGGAGTTTCATTTCAAGATGTTGTATTCCCCAATGTGATTACATTGAACAGATGTTCAATAGTTTATCCAGTTTCTTTTAAATGCCTGAATTAAAACATTTTATCCACTCCAAACTTCTCTAATTTCCTTTCAACTCCAAAAGTGGAATTTGCATAAAGTAGGATCCCAAAGGAGTTTTGATGCTGTGATCTAATGCCATGCTGTTTTTGTTTAATTTAGCTACCGTTTCTAAAGCCACGGCAAGAAGCAACTAGGATATTGATTCATAAATGGTAAAAAGTACAATGCTTTTCTTTCCAGTCTTACTTTTGTGAGTACTTCTCTAAAGGATGTAGAGTTAAATTACTTCTAAACAAATACCAAAAATAGCTATGACTTTGTAATGTGATATTAATCTGATAAACAGAGACAAGCTAGCTCCTTCATCCGATAAATGAAATATAATTTATTTTAGAGCTAAGAAATGTTTGTCATTTATATCATAAAGTAAATCTCAACACAAAAGTTACTTACAAAATCATTGCTTTTGCATCACTTTTCACTGTTGATTTAATATCCATAGTTAAATGCCCGTAAAGCACAAAAATTCCACTCTCTTTGAATAAGAAGTATACCTATTCATAATTGGATGCCAAAATGTAGCCCTTAATAGTCCTAAGAAGCAGATGCCAGAAAACTGGCTCCTACAGAGATAACAGCAAGTGTATTTGTTTTGTTTTTATGGGTTAAGAGGCAGGGAAAGGGAATTCATGAAACATACTAAACTTGTCTTGCTTTTTACGATCACGCTGAAATAACCTGTTAGGATTCAACACAGCACTGCTGTGGACAAGTGTTCTTCAATTGTGCATGGTGGTCAGAGAACCTGAATTCATTTTTAATAGACTCCTGCATCCTACACGCTCATAGAGCAGTGCAACATATTTGAATACTACATGAGTGAGTTTTAAAACTTTTTAAATATGAAAAACCTCAAATGTATGTAAAAATAAAGAACACAAGATAATGAACCCAGAGGTACTCATCCCTCTGTATCATAAGCTTTAAATTCCCTGTTCAATTTCATGTCAGCTACATCCTTCATTCCCTTCTTTTAAACCCATATAACTTTAAAAGAAATCCCAATATCATTTCATCCTATTTACATCTATTTTAATGTCTATTTCTAGGTGATAAAGATTTTAACAAAAATAATTCACTATACAATTATTCTGAAAAAAATTACTTACAATCATATAATATCTAGTCAGTGTTTAAATTCCCTTGTTTTCCCTATGGATGCTTTCATTTAACAGATTCTTTGTTTGAATCAGAATTCAAAAAAGCCATATAGTATCCTTGGTTGGTGTGACTCAAGTCTCTTTTATTCTGCAGTTTCCTCCTTGTTGACATGCTTTCCTTTGCCATGCATTTGTGAATGACACTGAGTCATTTATCCCATAGAGTTTGCCACAGTCTAAATTGTTCTGACTTTATTTACTGGTGTCATGTTTATGTTCTCTACCTATTGTTTTTCTGTAAATTAATAGATGCTTGCTCAGAGTAGTGTTTGATTTGATTTGTTTTTTTTTTTTTTTTTTTGAGTGGAGAAGACTGTTTCATCAGTAATTACTTCTATCAGGAAATAGATAATACCTTATTGATGACATGGTGACCATTTTTATTTTTTTGTATTTTTGCCCCTTTGACTTTAGTAACACTACAAAATCTGATGAAAACTTTATGTTTCAGTTTTTGAAGTCTTGCCACAGAAGTGAAAGCTATAAAATAACTAGATAATTAATTCAATCTACAATTAGAGGCATATCATGCATTAATCACCATTCCCCTTGAAAGAGAAGAGGGGAAGGATAAAGCATAGTCCTTTCAATTAAGGAGCACACGGTTCAGTGGTATGAAGATACATGTAAACAAAAATTCCAGCATTACATGGTATTTGTGAAAGGTATGAATCCATGCAAGATGATGTGACTCTTTGTCTGTAAAAGAATTGAGTGCAGAAATCTCGTCCAGAGAAAAGGTCTTATGTAGAAATGAAGAAATAGTAGAGCAAGCATATTTCATGTGACTCAATCATAGAGTTAACATGCGATCTACTAAATCAGACATTATCTAGGAAACTCTAGAGAACAACAGTACTTTGTTAAATTGGAAAAAGAGACATGATCAAATATATGGTTTGAAAAGAAAATTCTGCTATGAAAATGCCAGAATGATTACATTGAGAGAGAATTGGCAAAATTGAAAGGAGAAAAGCTACTCAAGAAGCTATTCAATGCAGACATTGATTAGATATGTGTTAAAAGCATATAATTCAGTGGAAGCAGGTGGAATATCTGAATTCAAATTCAAGTTGCTTCTAGGCTTCAGACTCTGCCCAAAGTACAAGTCTTAGACAGACCAAGTTACCCTTTAGCATCTGAGTTGTCCTATCAGTAAAGTGAGGACAACTGTATTTCTCAAGAAGGATCTGGTTTCAATGGACAACAAGCCCAATTCAAACTTGCACAAGAACAGGGGAATTCATTGTGTCTTGTGAAATAATGTTCAAGAGAATACCTGGAGAAACTTGACCCAGGAACTTTCCTTGTCAGCAGGGACTGGCATTTCTCCATCTCAGCTCTGTTCACATCTATGTGAGCCCCACCTTAATGTAGTGATATTTATGGAGCAGACCTCTGGATCTCCAGGATGACATCCTCACCCTCAAGCCCAATAGAAAAGGAAGAGACATTGTTCTCTAAGTGTATCAATACAAGTTTTGGGGTGGATCCCATTGGCGTAAATGGGATTAGTTACACATCCCTGCACCAATCCCCTTGGCTGGTAGACTGGGGTTTACAGATTGACTTAAACTATAGCCACCTTCAACAATATGGTTGAGTTACTCTTTATTACATAAAGAGTGAACTAAGGAACTATCTACTTTAAAAAAAAAATAGGGCATTACCATGAAACAAATGAGGAACAAATACTTGACAATAAAGTTGCAAATGTCCGGTATCAGAAAATAAAAACTGCCTATTAAGTCAGAACCTCATATATTCTGTCATACTCTCTTGGCTTACCCTCTCCCCACCTTTTTTTTTCCCTCTAGCCATTGCTGGCTGGGGCAACCAGGATGCAAAGGCACTGTCTGACAGCTCTTGCCTCAGTTCAGGGACTGCAGTAGATAAGCTATGTGTCATTCCAATCCTGCTTAGGAGAAGAATCACTGCCCATGTGCAAGAGCTGTAGTTAGCTGGCAGACTCCATCTGCTAATTCTTTCCAGGTCCACTTCAGCCTTTTGGCCAGTCACTTTTTAATTTAATTTTATTTATTTATTATTTTTTTTGAGATGGAGTCTTGTTCTGTCACCCAGGCTGGAGTGCAGTGGCACGATCTCGGCTCACTGCAACCTCCACTTCCCAGGCTCAAGCAATTCTCCTGCCTCAGCCTCCCAAGTAGCTGGAACTACAGGCGTGCGGCAGCATCACGTCCAGTTAATTTTTTGTATTTTTAGTAGAGATGGGGTTTCACCATGTTGGCCAGGATGGTCTCGATCTCTTGACCACGTGATCCACCCGCCTCAGCTCTCAAAGTGTTGGGATTACAGGCATGAGCCACTGCGCCCTGGCCAGTCACATTTTTAGCCTTGTGTCCTGCTCAATGATTGGGCAAGGTAGTGCTGTCCAGGTCACTTTTTTTTGAGTCGTTAATAGCAAGGTGGTAACGTAACAACCTAGTCATTTCTGCCCTAATGAGCACGCTGGCTCAGAAGTCCAGGGACTCCTCAGTCTGACAGCCTGTCTTGGCTAACTTCCATTTCCCTTCTTTTACCCCATTTATGTTATTCCTTAACAAATCCTTCACATGCACAATGCCCTCCCCGTGTCTGTTTCCCAAACAGCTCACCTTGAACAGAGATTTTCTGCTCCATATTGGAAGATATACAAGAGCCCACCCAATCATTTCAGTAAGTGCACACCCGGAAATGCAAGAGAGTCAACAATGGCTGTGGTCAGTGATGGATGGAAGTTGTTAAAGGCATTCTTTCCTGCTTTGTGTCTCCGATGGACAACTTGGAGGTGTATTCCACATGGGTTCTCAAAGGGTTCACAGTTTGATATTTAGTTGCACAAAAAATAATCAGCCTACTCTTTCTGGTACTTCAACTTCTGTTTCCAGTGAAAGCATGCAGATGCTAGTCTCTAGCTCAGCTCTTGGAGGAGATCCAAATTAAAATTCTGGCTGATCCAGTTACATAGTTTGTGGGGCCAATGGCAAAATAAAATGCAGGTTCCCTTGCTCAAAAAAAATTCATAATTTAAAGACAGCAACAGCATGCCATTAAACCAAAAAGCCCTTCTAGTGCCCAAGCACAGGTCACCCCCTGTGAAGCTAGCCCCAAACAACATATAAGGTAATATGAATACATTGAGGCATATAGACTTTTGATCTGTATTTTCTCTCGATGTCTACATACCATGTCATTGCTCAGGAAGCAGTAAACTGGGGAAATACTGACCTACCCTTATAGGATTATAAGCATATTATAAATGTGCTTCATAGGGAATCTATCTTCAAAGTAAATTTAAGCTGTGAATGTGATTAGTTTAGTTTTATTAAAATATATTGGAATATTGGACTATGTACAATATTTACCTTTTCACTTTTTGTGTAGTAAGGTAAGGGGAATACTTTTAGGACAAATGCTTCCGCTCTTTTTGTGAGCCTACTATGTGACACTTCTTTGTAGCTGAAACACTGCAAGAAGCTGAGGAGTTCTGTCTAGTCATGTTTTATTTTGCCTTTGGAAATTGGGAGGCTGGTTGGAGCAGGGTTGCGGGCAATAGAGAAGGGGAGGTTAGCAGAAAGGTAAACTCTAGATGGCTGCTATGAAGCCGAGGAAAGGGAGCAAGTCAGCAATGAAGCTGATTCCTGACTCTGAGGATCCAGCTAGGTGGGAGCACATGTAATTTGAAACACTTGGCATACTTAAGCTGGATTTAATGCCTTTGCTTGTGTGGTTGTTTGCTTGCTTGTCATTGCTCAACTTCTATGTTGATAAGCAGAGAATATGGATGCTTCCACACATTCATGTATTTGATCTACTTTGGAAGGTACAGTGAAATAACACAAATTTAGGATGATTTTATGAGGCATCTAGGGTATATCAATGAGATATCTGCCCTCTTATGTTTGTTGCAGCACTGTTTACAATAGCTAAGATTTGGAAGCAACCTAAGTGTCCATCATCAGATAATGGATAAAGAAAATATGATTCATATACACAATGGAGTAGTATTCAGCCATAAAAAAGAATGAGATTCAGTCATTTGCAACATGGTTGGAACTGGAGAGCATTATGTTAAGTGAAATAAGCCAGGCACATAAAGACAAATGTCACATGTTATCACTTATTTTTGGGATTTACATTTCAAAGCAATTGAACTCATGGAGATAGAGAATAGAGGAATGGTGACCAGAGACTGGGAAAGGGAAATGAGGGGCTAGGGGAGGTAAGGATGGTTAATGGGTACAAAAAATAGCAAGAATGAATAAAACCTATTATTTGATAGCACAACGGGGGACTATAGTCAATAATAACTTAATTGTATATTTTAAAATCACATGAAGATTGCAGTTGGATTGTTGGTAACACAAACGATAAATGTTGGAAGGGGTGGACACTCCCTTTATCCTGATCTGAATATTATGCATTGTGTGCCTATATCAAAAATATCTCATGTACCCCATAAATATATACACCTACTAGGCACACGCACAAAATTAAGAATTTAAATTTAATTTTTTAAAAAAGATGATGGGGCCAGGCGCGGTGGCTCATGCCTGTAATCCCAGCACTTTGGGAGGCCGAGGCAGGTAGATCATGAGGTCAAGAGATCGAGACCATTTGGCTAACATGGTAAAACCCCGTCTCTACTAAAAATACAAAAATTAGCTGGGTGTGGTGATGCATGCCTATAGTCCCAGCTACTCAGGAGGCTGAGGCAGGAGAATGACTTGAGCCCAGGGAGGCGGAGGGTGCAGTTAGCCGAGATCGTGCCACTGCACTCTAGCCTGGTGACTGAGCGAGACTCCATCTCAAAAAAAAAAAAAAAAAAAAAAGATGATGGTAGGAATAGTTGAAGAAATGAAACCTCAGGCCAGGCAATAACATTTGGAAGAGAAGTAAAAGACAGTCACAAAAGTAGAGTAGACCAGCAATCCACAAGGCCGGATATTGTATTTGTTGTCTACAAAATATAATTCAGGTATTGGCAGTAATTCAGGTAGAGGAAAGTTTGGGGACGAGTTAAAAAAGGTTGGGAGGGGATTGGCATTCTGAAGAATCAGTGGCAAATATGTTTCAAGAATAAACAGTTAAGTAAAATGGGTGTGAAAGACGAGGTTTTGATAAAAGGCACATTTAAAATTCTGTGTGGAGAAGCTTTGATAGCAATCTTGCCATCAACTTTTTTTTTGGAAATTTAAATAATACAAGCAGTGAGTGGCTTTAACTCCAAGGACTGTGATAGAAGCTGCATTCTGAGAAGTTCAAGTATCAGGTAAGTCCATGAGAAAGAAGAAAATTCTGTGAAGAAACCAGGTTGTCTTCACTGGAAAAGTAAAAACCAAACCAGTAAAAATGTTTGGTAAAAATAATAGCTGTCATATTTGAGGCAATATCAAAGAAGGAAAGAGTGAAATAGAAAACAGCAAAGGAAAAAGAAAAGAAATATTTTAAATTTTAACCAAAGAAATTAAGGATAGAAGCCAGGCTAGAATTATCTGGCCTTGAGATTCTAAGAAGGATTTTGATGCCAGATTGCTTTTTGCAAAAACCGGGTGTGACCTGAGGTCACTGCCCATCCTGTCTTCTCATGTGTCTCTAAGTCCTGAGCCAGAATGTGCTACTATTTTTATGTTGTTCTGCAATCAGCAAATCTTTATTGAGTACTTCTCCTGTATCAAGTGCTATCTAGTTTGAGAATGTAGCATGACATAGCTCCTGCTTCAAGGATTTTACAGCCTCTTGTGGGAGATAAACAAGTAAACAAGCTAGGAATAGTCAGCATGAGAAATGCTATAGTTGGCAAAATGAAACATGCCTTGGGAACACAGAGGCGGGAACAAACCCCATCAGGGGCAATCAGCACAGCTCCTCCCGGAATTAAAGTCTGTGTGAGCTCTGAAGGTTAAGTAGAGCCAGCAAGGTCAGTGGCAGAATCTCTGGGCTGGAGAAAGTATAATTTTACACATCAGGAGATAGTTGTAGGATGCCTTAGAGATGAGACTGTGGCATACTGGGGACTTTATGTGGCTCAGGACTAGAGTCCTTGTGAAAGAAAGATGACAGCATAACATAATGGAAAGATATGAAAACCAGACAGCTTATGCAGGACTTTCCTTACCAGGAGATGGAATTTTAACTTTGTTCTGCACAAAAGAGGTTTTAAACGAGGAAGTGAATAATGAGGTTTGGATTTACAGTGTATTCTGAATATTGAGAAAGATCCATTTTACATGTGTACTGAGAGCATTTAGATGCCATTTGTCTTAAGCCAGGATGCCTGCTCTGAGATAGACAGGGAGAGAGAGCAGGAGACAGATTTGAGAGACAGTGGCAGGGTTCTTACCTATTTGGAAAGGGTTGTTTGTATGCTGTTGTGTTTCCTTTGTTTATAAGAATATAGGAAACAGATACAAGCAGTATGTAGCCTCAAAACTATTTTTTTAGGAATATTGACGGTGCAAACACAGTTTTGTAAAAGGAATTGAGTATGGGAAGATAAAACAGAGGAACATGCGAAAAAAACAATTCTTCAACAGTTTAGTAACTTAGTGGGCTCCTCCTGTTTTTAAATTTTTTTTCATATGTTGAGAAATTCAATACAGCACCCAATATTAATTTCTCACCTATCATTTTGTTTTTATTTACTAATAAAACTCTAAAAATTAGAATAAAACCTTTAGTTTTATAATATTAAGCACACATTTCAATAGACTACATATGTATTTATATATACATACGTGTAAAAATATATTTATATATGTGCATAAAAACCTATATGTCAAGTTTTAAAATTATGTTTCTGGCAAAATTTAAACTTACCTTACTTTTGGGCTAAATACAACATAACTATCATTTCTATGTCAGTAGTGTTGGAAACTGGAAAGCAAATAGTATTTTCCATACATACTTTCTTCAAAATACTGCTAACTGCCATAAAGTTTAAAAAGTTATCTGGTGACTGCACTGTCTAATCTGTAAGAAAATGTACATTTATATACAAATAATGATAATATAATAGCATTTATAGAAGGCTTAGTTTGTGCCAGCTATGCTTCTAACTAAATTACGTATTTTATTTTTCCTTACACCAAACCTATTGCATAGCGCTCGTCGTAACACTTCTCAACAGATTTTATTCATTTATTTTATTAAAGTGTAACCAGTAGCTATGTATCATTGAACAAAATGTAAAAAGAGCTTTGCTCTGTTGAAGTGTATATTCTAGCTGGAAAAGATAGATGATCAATAATAAGACTAAATAATAAATTAATGAATGGGAAAATTGTGTAGACTATTACAAGTGATCAATGCTGTGGAATTTGAATGACAGAATATGTACAGCAGGAATAGGAACTGAGATTGTTTGGGTGAAGCAGAGGTTCAGAGGTGAGTATTAAATAGTGGGTGAAAATGCAATATTTGAGCAAAGATCATTTGGGCATAAGAGAAGTAACGAAGTAGGAATTTAGGAGAAGCACTCTAAGCAGAAGAAAAGGTGGGGGAAAGAGAAGTATTACGGGAAAGGTCTGAACAGAAATGTGATGTTCTCTGACTTATGTTTTTCAAGGATCGTTCTGGCCTAGACAAAACCATAGGGAGGGCAAGGATAGAGGCAGGGAGAACTGTTAGAAGACAATTCAAATAATATCGGCCAGCAGGGATGGTGCTCGGCCTGGGTAGAAGCAGTAGCAATGGTGAGGATGGCTCTGATTCTAGCTGGATTTTAAAGATAGAGCTCACTACGTTTCCCATCAGATTGAGTGTTGGTGTGAAGGTGATCAGTCCAGGATATCTGGAGCACTTGACTCCATGGAATTATTAGTAGGAAGGTACCATGAACATAAACAAGGAAAGCTCTGGGCAAAGCAGGTGGGTAAGCAGAAATCCACCTTTGGACATGGTAAATTTGAGATAATCCACGTGGAGATACATGAGCCAGTGTGTACACTAATCTGAAGTTAGGAAGAAAAACCTGGTTAGATAAATAAATTTGGAAGTATTCAACATACAAATAATATTTAAAACCATGGATTGGGGATAACCAGGGAAGTGAGTGACAGAGCGGGGCTCATAGGATTCTCAATAGAGGCAGTGAAGAAGAAGAATGAAGAAGTGCCCAGTGGTGGTAAATCAGAAATCAGGAGAGTAAGATATCTTTGGAGTCAAATCGTGTAAGTGCTTTATGGAGGGCAGATAATCAACTGACCACACACTGAGAATTTACGATTGGATTTTACACTATGCTGGTCACTGGTGACACTGAGGTGAACAGTTTGGGTGGGATGGTGAAAGCCAAAGCTCGGAAGGAAGTTTTAAGAGAGAATGGGCAGAAGGAAATTGGAGACAGAACTAGAGATAGAAAGAGGCAAACATGGGCAAGGGCTAGCAGGGCAAATGGGTTCAAAAGAAGTTTTCTGGTTGCTTTATATGTTAATGAAGGACAAAGTCATGGTTTCTCTGGATGCTGACAGGAATGGCCCATTAGAGAGCAAAGAAAAGATGACATTGAAATAGCAAAGGATTCCGAAAATTATGCCCTTGTTTAGGGGGAAGAAAGGAGCAGGCACTGAAATGGCAGGGGTCACTGCTGTTGGGTTTTTGGATGGTCCATCTATGGGTTGGATGCAGGGTGACCGTTAACAGTAATGCAGGTGCTTGTAGGTGGATAGATGTGGTGTGTGGCTCTTGAGACAAAGTGATCAGCTGAAAGTGAGCTTGGAAAGAGACTCATTATGTCTGGAGAAAAGAATAGAGTTCAAAGCATTCAATACCTTAGAAAATTGGGGAGAGAATGTTGTAGCAGCCTGGGAAGTAGTATGATTGACATAATTTATGGCAAACTTGTTCATTGCTACTAATGAAGAGTGACGCTAGTTAGTCTAATGCATTTTTTTTTCCACTTCCACAGATATAGTGTGGAGTACGCCGAAGTTTAGGTCAAAATCAAGGTTGTGAATTTGCCAAATGAAAGGAAGCAGGAGGGTGAGGAGGGAAAGGAGGAGAGGGCTTTGGTTGTAAGGGAAAGAGTGGTTATAATAATTTATAATGATACTCAAGCTGGATACAGAGGGGAAAATAGATATCAGGAAAGAAGAGACAGTAAAAAAAAAAAAAAGAGTAGAGCAAACTGGAAGTCCTAGCGGGGTAAAAAAGTTGATGAAATTAGAGTACAAAACAGAGAGCTGGAAAGGGAAGTGGAAATGATCAATGAGAGGGATGAATGAAACTTAGATTGAGGTGGTGGCCGGTATAGGTAATGACAAGTATGGCTATGACCCTGGGAATAATTATTGAGATCTAGATTCATTGATTTTTAGATAGTTAAGCAACTTGGCTAGTTCCAGGATTCAAACCCAGAATGTCTGACCTCATAGCTCACACAGGATTGCCTCCAATTTTCTATCTTCATATTTTCTGTTTTGGCTATAGACACATACCAACTGCCTCCAAACTTCCACTTGCTGGTGTTGGCACCAGGAAAATGCAACGTGTGTTGGTCATAATGAGCTATGGCTTTCCATTTTTTTCTGGGAAATGCTGGAGATTTTTAACCCCAGGAGGGTGTGTCAGTGAATCCTCAGCAGCATCTGCTGCCTCTGGTGTTCGGTCCCAGTGATATTTCACTCCAGCAGCACTTAAAGGAGTTTGCAGTCAGAGTTGGCCAGGAAGATTTTAGAATTTTACTTCTTCACATCTCATGTATTCCTCCTACTTCCAGGAAACGCTTTTGTCTTTCAAGTCACTCTCAATCTTAAAATGCACATATGTTACTCTTGGAGCTGTTTATTTAAGTCTGTATTCTTAATGTAGATCTGTATCACTGACTGATAGTGAATTCCTACAGCACAAGAGCTGTCTGACTTGAAGCCTGAACTTAGCTTTTAAAATCAGGACCCTGAATTTCCGTTCTACAAATTTTATTTTCTTCAAATTTCCATTAAGTTATTTTTGAAATTGTATTGTTCTGGAATGAGGTGATTGAGGTGATTTACCATTCTAGAAAACACTTTGTGTTTTTTGCACACTTTTTAAATTTGTTGGTCGGGAGTGGTGGCTCATGCTTGTAATCCCAGCACTTTGGGAGGCCGACGCGGGTGGATCACGAGGTCAGGAGATTGAGACTATCCTGGCTAACACGGTGAAACCCCATCTCTACTAAAAATACAAAAAAAAAAAAAAAAAAAAAAATTAGCCGGGCGTGGTGGTGGGCGCCTGTAGTCCCAGCTACTCGGGATGCTGAGGCAGGAGAATGGTGTGAACTTGGGAGGCGGAGCTTGCAGTGAGCTGAGATCACGCCACTACACTCCAGCCTGGGCGACAGAGCGAGACTCCGCCTAAAAAAAATTTGTTTCCCTCTTTCCTTTCTCATTTCATGAATCTTTTATATTCTAGGTTATCTGAAAATAACAAATGAAAGAATTATATAAAATCGATATTTTGTTTCCAGAATTTTTCTACATATTTGTTAGTTCTGTCTTTGCCTTACTTCACACTATCAGTTTTTCTTTAATATTTGGTGATCCTTAGTGTTCGCTCATAGTTACAGAATGAAGATTCGATTTCAATGAAGATTGATTTAGATACGTAGATACAAAAAAAGGTTTTCTCTGAAATTTTGACCATGTTCAGCACATTAATTTGTCAAGGGACTTGGAAGAAAAGACTATCAATAAAATATATATATATATATATATATATATATATATATATATAAAATTTGCAAATAAAAAACATATCAAACATTAAAAATCATGCCTTCAAATCATATCTAGAAAATCGAAAAATAAGGGAATTATAGATATTCATAATCTATTCATGATTAGTAATAATTAGAAGAAAATCAATGATAATATTAAAATAACTAATATCAATTGTTTGCATATGATGTGCCACTTATTTTACTAAAATATTTTAAGGGTTGATTCATTTACTTTGCAACCAACTTTTGAGGTAACATCCTTTTCATTCTGTTTTCCTGAGGAGGAGATTGAAGAACATAAAAGTGATCTACCCTGCCCAAGCAACACAACTACTATACATTGCTGCTGGATTATAGCCCGGCTCCGTTTTTTTTTTTTTTTTTTTTTTTTTTTTTTTTTTTTTTTAGATAGAGTCTTGCTTTGTCCCCAGGCTGGAGTGCAGTTGCGTGATCTCGGCTCACTACAACCTCTGCCTCCCGGGTTCGAGCGATTCTCCTGCCTGAGCCTCCCGAGTAGCTGGGATTACAGGCGTGCACTACCATACCCAGCTAATTTTTGCATTTTTAGTAGAGACAGGGTTTCACTATATTGGCCAGGACGGTCTCGATCTCTTGACCTCGTGATCCGCCCGCCTTGGCCTCCAAAAGTGCTAGGATTAGAGGTATAAGCCACTGCGCCCAGCCCCAGTCTTAACAGAGAGCCCATTTTCTTAACTTTGCATGGCATTTTTTGTCTCAGATTCATAAATGTGTGTGTGTGTGTGAATCATATGTCAAAATGTTATCTTTGGATGGTGATATTATGGGTGACATTTTATTATTTGTTATTATTATTTTATTATTTGTGCTTTCAAACTATCTGCAGTATATGTTTAGTAATTTTATAAGTAGAAAAATTTCTAGTGACTTTACACAATCTGGATTAAAAGGCAAAGTAATATGAGAAGGTTAAGAAATAGGGAAATGCTCGACCGGCCAAGGATGAGCGCTTCTAAGATGGTCAAAAGCAAGTCTTCACTGGGAACACTGAGCAGGCAAGCTGCAAGACTAGAAAATAATGCCTCATACTGAGATGGTTATGTTGATATAAGACTTTTAACAAGTCCCAGAATATGTCTGTGAATGAAAGTAGCAGTAAAGAAGTGGTCAAGGCCATTTGATATGCCATCAATAAATGCAGAGTCTTGTTCATATGTAGATATTAACGTCATGAAGATGATGGCAGGGATGGGCATAATGTGGATCGGGTTTATAAAAGAGGGGCACCACCTATGATGTGACAGATGCTGGCACAGGAAGAGAAATTAGAGTTCGGTCAAATCACTTATGTAATCCTAAAAAGATGAGAATTTCATTTTATAGGAGAGCGTGGATGTATAATAGAGTGGTGGGAAAACGATTTGGGGTATTTAGGGGATCAGAAAGAATTAAAACTACAACCTTGCAAATGAGTTAAATGACCATAAGAGTATAAATTAATCTCATGCACTGGAAAATGAAATAGGCACTCTATTTGCTGAGGGATGCTAATGCTACCAGGACTGTGTAAGGTTCAAATATCCTAAATATAATACTGGAACACAGATATTATTCAATTCAACATGTGTGAACTGCAACTTGTAATATTCTACACCATAATTATGGTGTAGAATAAATAATGATGAAATCAGAATATAAATCTAGTTTTCCATGAATTCTTAGTGAGAATATGGGATTCATGGAAAAAATTTAATGTTCTTTCCATTGTGATAGATTGTACTGTGTACTGAGGAACTTTCAGGTAAAGGATGAAACATTATCAAAGCAAAATTGAAAGATCAGAGAAACACTATAGTCAACTGCATAAATTAAAACTTAAAAACAAAACTAGAGTGAGAAGAAACTTAGACGCTAACTTGAAGATCTCCTCTGTTTCAGCTTGTTCCTGAAGGGTCTGGTTTCATGTGAACAAATTTTAAGACCGATGCATTATGGTAAACTCAGTTAGTTAGAACCATGATATTAGAGAGGACAGTGACAATGTCAGCATCCCATATCAGTCAACATACTGAAAGGGGGCCAGGTGGGCATGGCAACATACAAAAACACAAGCCAAAGGTGCCCAGCTTGATCTTTGATTTGTGGTTTTATATGTTGGCATGCTTCTTGGGTTTGTGCCTCTCCTCCCGTGATGTTTCCTTGGGGCAGGCTGTCCGCATGTGCAGTGGCCTGCCAGCCCTTGTGAGGGACCACATGCAGTGTGTTCCCTGAAGTTGTTCACGTGCGCATTTGAGCCGTTTTTCCCTTACCAGTTGAGTGGTCCTAGAAGAAGGTTATATGGCAGTTAAACTCTGCCATTTTGTCTCTTAGTGTGCATGCTTGAGCCCCGCGCCCAACTTCTGAGATCTTATCAGGAAGTTGCTGATACCAGCTTCAGGTGTTTTCTGTCCATTGGGAGATAGCCTTTCCCTGGCGCCAGCTGTGACCAATTATTATTTTAGAGCGTTTATCAACTGTCTGACCATCACCTGATGGTCACCTGACATTCCTGGGTGGCAGGAGTAGGGGTGACCTCTCCTGCCCTGCCCTGCCCTGCTCATGTCTGCCTAACTACCTACTCTAACAATCGGAGTTCAGCTCCATGAAGCAAGAACCATGAAAATGATACTAATTGTACGGGATCAAAGATATCTACATTTCCCTCTTACTTATGAGGTATATCACCCTTTGATACCACTTTGGACCACTTGAAGGTCTTTATTTACTTGCTTTACAATTTTGTAAGTCAACAATGATTTCTGCAGAACATTGAAGGATGTTTTTGTTTTGTTTTGTTATATTTTTCAGGAATCCACTCCAGTGTATCATTACTTTGTATTGGCAAACATTTGGGGATTTTCCACAAACAAAGTCTCCTCTACATTATAAAAATATATACCATTACATTACAAAATATATACCAAGTTAGCTGATTGTTGTTATTATTACTGTTTTACATTTACAAAAGAAAAGATGAGACTGCTGGGGGATTTATTTTACCCCATCTCCCTGGCTCCAAATGTCATTGCATTTTTTAAAAAAGTCAATTTTACAGGATTTAATTTAGGACCTAGCATTTAGACAAGTTACTTACCGTATCTTAAGCCATCAAGAATTGTGATAATCAACTGACTCAATTTAACTGCATCAGCATTTTGTATAAATGTAATAAGAAATAAGTTGAACAACTTCACAATAGAAATCTTCAGCACATAGTAATTGTATAACTATTGATATTATTCCAATCTCTCTCTCATGTACTCCCTTGTGAATATCATTGCTTATATTAGACTTCATAATACTGCTTTTGAAACAAATTGAGTACATGAATGACAATCTTTTCATTTAAAGTTTTAAAATTGTTATTCACAGGGTTTAAAAACAATCCTAAAATTAGGAATTTAATATAGCATTTGTGATTATGATTTATTCAAAAGAAGCTTAACCTTTTCAGTGTCAGGGTACTAGCAAGTCCAACAATGGGTTGTTGTCATCTGAATTATTGGTAATTGGTGGTCAGTTTGGGGCTCACAGCAGTCATGGTAGTTAAGGTGAGTCAAGAAAAAACTAGGAAAGTAATTAAGGATTGTCAAGGGTAAATACATCTGACATAAAAATAGCCTGGGTCTCCTGTTGGGAATGCTACCGTTGTGGAATCTGGCAAGCAGACTCATTACTGAGGGTAATTATCGCCTCCTGCTTTGTAACTATTGTTAATTTTTGAAGGTTTCTTTAGCCAGAGCTTGCCAGGAGTTGTAATGATACCACAAACAAGGTCACTAAGTGGCTAGTCGGAGTTTTCTAAGGTAAGACACACATGCAGAATATCATGTTTAAAAATTCAACTTATTTATTTGCTACATAAGATTTTTCAAGTTCCTGAATGTAACCCAGTATCATTTTTATTTCTGACCTACAGCAATGTGCTAGAATATTTAAATGCTTGAACTGCCTGAAAGATGATTTTAAAGAAATAAAAAGAAAGTATCTTGGAATTTCCCCCATCTTTTTAGTTGTTCGTGTTTGTGGATAGAGATGTAGAGACTAGGACTTAACTGTTTTCTCATGATTCTCTAATCAGCTGATAAAGTGCTTTATATCAACTTATGTCAGCCCTTCTCTACCTGACACTTTACAGTATTCAAACACAAACATTAGACATAATTCAAAACTTCTGGCTGGGAGCAGAGGCTCATGCCTGTAATCCCAGCACTTTGGGAGCCCGAGGTGGGCAGATCACCTGAGGTCAGGAGTTCCACACCCGCCTGGCCAACATGGTGAAACCCCGTCTCTACTAAAAATACAAAAGTAGCTGGGTGTGGTGGTGCATGCCTGTAGTCCCAGCTACTCACGAAGCTGAGGCAGAAGAATTGCTTGAGCCCAGGAGGCGGAGGTTGCAGTGAGCCGAGATTGCACCACTGCCTTCCAGCCTGGATGGCAAAGCCAGACTCCATCTCAAAACAAAAAAACAAAAAACAACAACGACAACAACAGAAAACTTCAGTGTAACTTGGCTTTAATTCAGAGATGCAAACGAATTATCTCAAGCACCTTTTCTCTCTAAATCATTACAGTTTCATAGGAGATGTCAACTAAGGATCCTCCGAAGTTTTGCTTTAGTTCACTGACTTTTAGAAACATACTGGTGATTGCCACATTTTTGTAGCATCTTTTCTGTGTGTATGTGTGTGTGTGTGTGCGCGCGTGAGTGTGCATGTGTGTGTGTGTACACGCGTGTTTAATTTCTATTCATGGGAATTATCAATTTCTTTTACTATATCTCTGGCTTGGTCCCACATATTTCAATCTTTAGCTGTTATGTAAATAAGATACTACAATAAGTATTCAAATTAAAATGTAGCATATGGGTAAACAGGTGTAATATTTTAACAGAGTTTGAGAATTTAGAAAAATATTTTACAGAGCCATCCCCTGCATATTGTATAATTTACCCTGAAAAATATAGAAATTAGTAGAGTGGTACTTGCTAATTTTCTCTTTGAAGATGTATAAAGCTGGCATTTTCCCCTTCTGTTCCCAGAAATTATTGAAAAGCAACAAGGAGAACTACAACCAAAATACCAGGTTTTATTTTTTGAATGAAACTAGGAGAAAATTAGAGCCTCCATCTAAGAACAAGTGCGTAATATTCCAGAATGAGTGAAGAGTCCAGAGAACCTTGTGGAAGGTATCAGAGATGTCTTCAGAGAAAGACTCAAATAGTAGTCATCAAAAAAGATCCAGTCAAATACAAATCTGAAGTGCAAAATCCAAACCATGTATTTACAACAGAGAGAAAGGACTAGATGAACTGATGGCAACAGCCGTTAAAATCCTGTTTAGTTTCAGAAAGAGACTTTGCATATCCAATTAGGAATTACAGAGAAAAATTCATATTCACGAATATATTCTATCTCTATGGAGGGGGAGAAATGTTTTGCATTGAAAATAACAACAGAAATTGTAAAATAAAAACGATTCATACAGATGTCACTCTCACTTGGTTAGAAAAAAGCAAAGAAATGCAAATTTACTCCTAAACTTTGAACCATAAAAACATTCCAGGCAATCAAGAACACTTCCCTGCCTCTACTTCCAGAGACAGAAGGAGAGACAGAGAGAGAGAGTGAGAGACAGAAATGTGAGGAGAAGAAACATGTAGATACACCTAATCCTGCAAAAACTCACCTGCATAAAGTTAAGAAAACAAAACAAGGAAATTACCTATTAATCATTAATCTGAACTTAACTGCCTTTGGATTCCAAGCACAATACAGTAGCTGATTGGAGCCTAATGTTCTACTCCAATAAGAGACTGGGACATCTGCCTAAAAAAACTGGAAAAGATAGAATAGACAATGATATACAGTCTTTGAAATGCAGCAAAAAACTTCATAGACAAGGGAAGTAGAGGAGCTAAGAATCTGGAGAGGTGAAGAATGTTGTTAAGAATCTGGAGAGGCGAAGAATGTTGTTCAGGTTAGTGACCTGCAGAACTTTTCCCAGGGACGGTTTTATCATGGGAGAGAGGATGCAGTGGAGAATCAGAGCTTACAGCCATTTAGAAAAGCAAACGAACAAACAACAACAATAAGCAAAACAAAACAAAAAACAAACAACAACAACAAAAAACAGAACTTTGCCAGAGACCTGTGGGCTTCCAACACCTGGCCGGTTTAACTCTGGGACACTGACCAAACCCCAGAAGGACAGTTTGGTGTTGTACACCCTGCCCTATGGGCAGGTACTAACCAAAAAAGCAGAAAGCTTTTGAAACACTGACTGGAGATTTTCTGCACTCTGGGGAGGCAATGGTTGGAAGTGCCTGAGGTAAGAGGCCTGCAGAATATGTAAGATTCTCTCAGATAAAAGTCCTGGAGGGTTAGGGACAAACCACAGGTAGATAGTATGAGATCAACCTCACTCCACATACCCCTCCAAAAGAAAGTGAAAAAAGGAAGTTAAAAGTTGCATAATCTTGGTGAAAGGCTTTACACAACTTTCACACACGTCGATATTACAAAAAACATATACATGTGGTAATTGTTTCTCTGTTTCTGCATTAATTTGATTAGAATAATGGCCTCTCGCTGCATCCATGTTTCAGCAAAGGACATGATTTCATGCTTTTTATGGCGGCATAGTACTCCATGATGTATGTGTGCCACTTTTTCTTTAATTCACTGTTAATGGGCACCTAGCTCTCACTGAGTGGAAGTTAAACATTGAGTATACATGTGCATCAGATAGCACCAGCAGACACTATGAACTACTAGAGGAGGGAAGGAGACAGGGGGTCATGATCTGAAAAACTATCTATTGGCTACTATGCTCACTGCCTGGATGACAGGATCATCCATATGCCAAACCTTAGCATCATGCAATACATCTATGTAATAAACCTGCAAATGTACCCCCTGAATCTAAAATAAAAGTAGAAAATTTTTAACAAAGTTAAGCATTATGAATATATGTAAAGACTTGAGGCCGGGCATGGTGGCTCATGCCTGTAATCCCAGCACTTTGGGAGGCTGAGGCGGGTGGATCACTCAAGGACAGGAGTTCAAGACCAGCCTTGCCAAAAAGACAAAATCCCAACTCTACTAAAACCTACATGCTGTCGTCATGGTGCATGCCTGTAATCCCATCTACTCAGGAGGCTGAGGCAGAAGAATCACTTGAACCGAGGAAGTGGAGGTTTCAGTGAGCCGAGGTCATGCCACTGCACTCCAGCATGGGTGACAGAGTGAGACTCCGTCAAAACAAAAACAAAAACAAACAAACAAACAAAAGACTTTATATATATATATATATAAAATATATAAGGATAGATAGAAAAAATAGAAATAAAATCTGTCAGAAAGGAAAAATTTTATTATAGACACTTTAGTCATTAAAATGATAAAAAATATTATGAATAATTTTATGCTAAAAAGTGACAATTTGAACTTGACCAATTTCTCAAAATATAACTTTCATTTAAAATGTCACAAAAACAAACAGAGAGTATGATGACTTCTAAATGTACTTTAAAATTTTAAACCAAAAAGCCAGTTGCACAAAAACAGACCCTGTATGACTTGATTTATATGAACGATTTGAAATAGTGAAACTCATGGAAATAGAATGTGGAAGGGTAGTTGCCAGAGGCCGTGCAGAGCATGGTCGGGGGTTGGTGGGGGAGGAAGGGGAGTTGTTCAGCGGGTACCGGGTTTCAGTTTTGAAAGATGAAAAGTTCTAGGGATCTTTGCACAGTGCAGGTATAGCTAACACTAGTGAACTCTAGACTTAAAACCGGTTAAGATAGTAAATGTTATGTGATTTTTACCACAATTAAAATTCAAAGAAACAATATTCACACTATACAAATAATAAAAACCCAGACCCAGAGAGGTACAAGAACAAATAAAGAAGGTACACTTTTCAACTGAATTTTTGGGTCAACGCAACTGTGATTTTCACACCTGAGAAAGATAGTAAAGAAGGAAAATTATAGATCATCCCTGTCAGTATTACGGATGCAAAAATCTAAATTAAATGCTAGCAAATTAAATTCAGTGCTATAGGAAGGATCAGAATTTATTGCGATTTCATCCAAGAAAGCACATTTGATTGAACGATTAATATCCGTGTAATTCATATCAACAGTATAGTCTACGATTATTTAGATAGGTGCAGAGGCAGTTGGTGTAAGTTAAGACCTATTCTATTTCAGCCAACATAGCATACACACCCATCACTATCTCTCCTACTAAATGCAGCCAAATAATTATGAATGGAATGCATGGAGCAGTTATGTGAGCTTCTTGACTCTGATAATTAAATGGTAGCAGACAGATTCAAAAAGAAAAGAAAGAAAAAAATAAAAAATACAACTCAAAGTATAACTAAAGTGCCAGGGAGATTCCCACTTTATTTTCCTCCAGTATCTTCTGACCTAGCCTGGAAGGCAACCCAAAATTGAAAGAGCGTCCTCAGTGTGGACAGAGTTCTTTTTTTTTTTTCTTTTTACTTTTAGCATGTTAAAAAACAATCACATCAAAAAAAGTATACAGGTAAAAAATGTCTTAAATGACATAAGAAACTAGTGCTTGTGTGTATATATATATATTTTTTGCATATATATATCTATATGTGTATATATATATATATATATATCTACAGTATTTACCACTGTTGATATATATATATTTTGGAGCAGCTCAGATACTGCTATTATAAACTAAATTGTATAGCTTGGTTTCCAGTGTGGACAGAGTTCTAAGAGAAATCCTGTCTGGTTTGAGAATAGGAGAGGGTGAACCATATGAATCAGGAAAAAAAAAAAATGTGGAAAATTCCTTGTCTTTGTTTAGTTTCTGTTTTCTTCTGTACTTTGGGAGGGCAGAGAGCAGTTAATCACCATTTAAAATACTGGCAGGAAATAACTGCCAACCCAGAACTTTACATCTAGTGAAAATATTCTCTAGAAATAAATTTGAAAGTTATTGTCAAATGAAGGAAAATTGCTAAGCAACTTTCACTAGCAGATCTTCTCTAAAAGAAATGCTAAAAGAGGTATTTGAGACTGAAGGAAAATGATTCATGAAAGAAACTTAACTTCAGGAATAAAGGAAGACCATGAAAATGGAAAAATATAAACTTTTAAGTATATAGTGAAAAGTTAAAAATATATGTTTAAATCTCTAGAGCAGCCACCAGGAATTTCCCCCAAAACAGATATAATTAAAACAAAAAACTCAACCAAAAATTAAAATGAAGTTCTAAAATAAAATTAATTCAAATAAAAAGAAGAAATCAACAGAGGCAGAAAAATAAAGACAGAAAAACAGAAAACAACAGTATGATACAAATAATTATAAGTGTATCAACAATTACATTGAATGGTCTAAACTCAACACTTAAGATACAGATTGTTGAAACCAATCCTTTTGCTGTCAGGACTTAATTAAACCTTGAACAGTTACCAAGGATTCTAAAGTTCTTTTGTTTAAATGGGCCATATATATTGATATTCACTATACTAGAAATCAAAACTGAGAAATGTTGAAATACATATATATATTTTTAACACGATAAAGCCATGCATATTAACATAAATGACATATTTTTACAAAAAGATAAATATTTTATGAAAAATAATAATATAAACAAAGTTGAAAAGACTGGTACGTTTTGCATTTTGTAAATCTCTTAAAAATCTCACTTAATAGAACACAGCAGATTCTTCTATCTACTTTCGTATTCAGCTATTGCTATATTTATTTTGCTTGTAATAGATGAAAAAAAATCCATCCTAATACTCATATAAATATATAGTTGGAAATGGGAGGACTATTTTAACCAACTTCAGATAATTGTGGATATTCTTTTTCACACCACACCAAAACTTGACAGGTAGTATTTTCTTAAAAGTTGGTTGGATTGTAGAATCTGAAACCGTAACTATGACTTTTTCTCACCTTTGTAATACAAAAATCCATTGTGTAATTTGAATGAATTTCTTAACCATATATAATTTGGTAACATCTTGCATCGGTCATTTGGAAAACATTGGTTCAATGAGTTTTATTCATCTTCCAATTGTTGACACATTGTTATAAAATATCAGATAATTTTATCTATGATCATTCCTTTAGAAGTAACATAGTTCTATTTTCAGTACCTACATACATATATAGGTATGTTTGATACATTGAATTATTTTGATGTATATTTTTTCTCTAAAGTGTTGCTTAAGTGATTTATTCTTTTACTTGCCAGAATAAAGAGATTTTTTCTAATTGTCTTATTTTTTGTTTATTTTAATTTTATAATCAGATAGCATTGTTTTATTTGTTCTACTTTTTGACTTAGTTTTCTTCATGATCTAAAATAGGGTCAATATTTATGAATACAGCAAAGATACTTGAAAAATAACTAATGTTTTTCTTTCTGTCAAGTTTTTTATGTATTTAAGAACTGGTCCTATTTTTTTCTTTTTCTTTTTTTTTTTTTTTGAGATGGAGTCTCACTCTGTCGCCAGGCTGGATTGCAGTGGCATGATGTCCTCTCACTGCAATCTCTGCCTCTCTGGTTCAAGTGATTCTCCTGCCTCAGCCTCCTGAGTAGCTGGGATTACAGGCACGCACCACCACTCCTGGCTAATTTTTATATTTTTAGTAGAGACAGGATTTCACCACGTTGGTCACCATGGTCTCAGTCTCCTTATCTCATGATCCACCCACCTCGGCCTCCCAAAGTCCTGGGATTACAGGCGTGAGCCACCCCGCCCTGCCAAATTGGTCCTATTTTTTCTTCTGCTACATACTACATTATTATGTTGTTATTGTCATGAGTCTAGAGAGGTGAATTAAAGTCTTTATGCACAATTTTGTCTTTTTTCCCCAACATGCATTAATTACTTTACATTTTCAGCTATTCTGGCTGTCAGGCCTTCTGACTTGAACTAAGTATCATTGAACTACACCACTGGCTTACCTGGGTCCCTATCGTGCAGACAACAGATGATGGGACTTCTCAGCCTCCATAATCACATTAGCTAATTTTCTTAATAAATCTCTCTCACAATACACACACACACACACACACATACATTTATATATATATATATATAATATATGAAATATACATAATATCCTATTGGTTCTGTTACTCTGAAGAGCATTCACACAGTTATATACAGAAGGTTTTACCAAATAAGTTTATATGCTAAGGATAACAAAAGCCAGATTGCTCATTCTTGGAGAGGGGACTTACAAACATGGAAAGGTAAAAACTCGAATGACCTCTGTGGTGTTGGATCGGAGTGGTGTTAGTGTGGACTCATGCCTCACATTGCTCTCTCTCTATGTGTGTGTGTGTGAATGTATGTGTCTATGCAAATAGATGTATGCATGTATACGTATTTTCTAGCTTCATGCACTGAAAGAGGCTTCAGCATGAATAAGCACATCTAGCTCTTGGAATTTGGGTTCTAAATAACATCCTCCAGTAAAAGAAACCAGGGCTCCTTTTTCACAGCTGAGACAGGAAAAGAATTATATGTTTCAGGAATATATTGTGTTGTTACAAAACAAGACATGCTTAATGATGATAAAGACGGGTAAGATGAACAATCTCTCTTGAAGACATCTCTTACTGGGCAAATTTTGTAGAATTTCAGTGTCAAAATTAGTTATTCTAAAAGCATATTATAATCCATTAAATGAAACATAAAACCTGGGTCCATTGAGATCAAAATAAATAAATCAAACAATTGAAAATTTCATAAGGGATGGGATATTTACAGAATGTTAAAATAGCTCCCCCCAAATTCTTACTATTTGCAAAGAGAAAAAGTGTAATTTTTCAATAGAGAAGCCGGATAAACATTCTATTATGTGATCAAAGTAAGCATTATCAATGAAGGGAAACTTGAAATCATGTTCTACCTAATAGAATGCAATGGGAAAAAAACATCATTACTTCCTGACAGAGATGCTTAGCTTGGATCTAAATATGAGGCAACACCAACCAAACCAAAACCCAACCAGAGGAATGCTCTACACAATAACTGGCTTGTAATCTTTAAAATGTCAAGATTATGAATGATATGTAAGAACTCTGGGATTTTCCAAGAATGAAAAACTTGAGAGAGATTAAAATTAAATACCATGATTCTTAACGGAATTATTTTGTGAAAAGGACATTATTAGGACATTTGGTGAAATGTGAATGAGGTCTGAGGTTTAGATGGCAATAATTCATCAATGTTAATTTACTGGATTTGTTAGTGGCACTGTGGTCATGCAGGAAAAGATTTTTGTTGGTACAGATTAACATTAAATATTTTCAGGGTGATGGGGAATTGGAAAAAGGACAAGTTAATTGTCCTCAGAAGATCCCACAAAAATGAAAGTTCTTTATCCCATATTTGCAGACTTTTAATATATTTGAGGTTAATTCAAAGTAGAACAAAATATTTTTTAAAATAAAATAAGCTGTTTAAAATAGGCATTATTTTAATTATTTTGATGTTATTTAAATTTTTCCTACTTTGGTCTTTTAAAAATAGCTTTAAAATATTTAATTTGGTAGCATGAACTTCTACATTGAATAAGAAATCTGTGAAAACAAATGAAATACAAAAAAAAATGGATAATATACCTCAAACCAATCAAGACAGTTGTAACTATTGGGATAATAGAATGACATAAATTTGAATTAGTGAAACAGAATGAAAAGAATGACAGAGTTTATTGTTAATGAAAGCCCATTCCTACAAAATTGCAAGACATACAATACTGTATCTTAATTAAAAAAGAAAAAAATTTGCAGAGGGGTGCTTAGTTTTGTTTTTGCCTAGCTGTAACATTTTTTATTTTTAAAAAAGTAAAATTTACTCCAGAACACTAAAGTTTGTATTATTTTCAGAGAATCAAAGTCTCATGAAATTGCTCCAACAATACGCACAGTATGATAGCATAATGTTGGATCAATTCTAGTCGAAGGGTAATGTGTGGTATATGAATATTCAATTACATAAATAACTGTTATGTAAAATAACAATTTATATAAGAAACCTTAGAAACGTTACATGAATGTTTTGGGCTTTTAAAAAAATGAATATATGCATTGGAGCCCTTCGATATTTATATCTAAAGGACTGAAGAACATGTTAGTCAGCATGCTTTGTTTTTAAGGTTCTAAGTTTAAAGTGGGTGTGTGCAAAGAAAATGGAGATTTGGTAGGAAGAGCCTAGATTGGTAAAAGATCTATTTCTTTTCCATCGTTGCTCTACAAATAAGAAGACACATAGGCCCTCATATTAGGCTATCACAGCGCTGAGATATTTGCCAAGTATTTTCTCTTTCACTTTAAGTTTTGTCATCTCTAGAATGGGGCTTGTAATAGTAACTACTTTGCAGGTCTTTGTTCAGGGACTGGGATGTGTAATGACTCAATACTTCTCAGATAATTTTCTACTGATCCCAAACCTTCATCCTAGGGAAACTTTCTATTCTAGTTATTTTCAAAATATCAGTAATTTTGAAAATGAAGTGTTCTTTCGATATTTACCATACTATAATCCATTGCCTCATGGATTTTTTTTTTTCTTTAGAAGGAGTCTTGCCCAGGTGGAGTTCAGTGGCGCGATCTTGGCTCACTGCAAGCTCTGCCTCCCGGGTTTACGCCATTCTCCTGCCTCAGCCTCCCGAGTAGCTAGGACTACAGGCACCTGCCACCAGGCCCAGCTAATTTTAATTTTTTTTTTGTATTTTTAGTGGAGACAGGGTTTAACCGTGTTAGCCAGGATGGTCTCGATCTGCTGACCTCGGGATCTGCCCCACTCGGCCTCCCAAAGTGCTGGGATTACAGGCGTGAGCCACCGCACACGGCCAGATATTTTCTTGTTAAAATATATATTTTAAAGTACCAGAGGAATTTCTTAACTGTCATTTTGCAATTGCAACTTTAGTCCTTTCTGAAGACCATATTTGGGCTTCTGTTGGTCTCTGTAAATAGACTGCATAGACCAGTGGAGCATGAGAAAGTAATGAACAATTTCCAGCAATTTCATAATTTAATGGTAGCTATAACAAAGGATGGATCATTAACCTTTGTCTTCCTAAGAAACCAGGAAATTATGAATTTATATACTACAAATATAGTATATATATGTGTGTGTGTTTGTATATATAGTTTATATTTATAGAAAGATACATGTGCATGTGTGTTTGTGTGTGTGTGTGTGTGTGTAATACATACACAGACATATTTTTTGGTTCTGTAGATATAAATACTGACGTGATGAAGTAAAAAAGTAAGACAATTTGTTTCTGAGTTTTTTTTTTTCCTTTGGAGAAATCTCCCTTTGCTTACTTGCTTCACCAGCTAAGCTCATGTTGAAACTTTTATTTCTAGTTTATTTTTGTCTCAGTTTTTGTTTAGCTTCTCTTCCACTATGATTTTATAATGTAACTCTCTAAGGTGTTTTGATGTAGAATTCACATAAAATGAACTATGACAAATAATTCTATATCTGTGACTATGTTATATAAGTGAATTTTGAGTTCAAATTAAGATGTGACAGGAAAAGGCACGCTTTATATGATAGCAAATAGCTTGGGAAAAATAATACTTTGGCTTTATGCAGGTATTTATGGCCTTTTCCTACCAGACGCTGTCCTTCAGTGTACTCAAGGAAAATCAGTGAGACAAATAGTTGGCTTCTCTGAGCTTGTGACTGCAGCAGTATGGAAATTCTGATGAGAACTGCACAGACTATACCAAAAATAGGTAGTTGTATGCACCACATGTTTTTTGGAAGCAAAGCCACCTATTTATGTATAATTCAGTAGAATGGGGCTGATATGCATCCACTAGTATCTCATACAGTTGTTCACCATTATACTTTGGGCACTGAATTCACTTGGACTTTCTCAACAGAGAATTGCAGTCTACTGGGAAAACTCTCTCCCAATAAATTCTGGGACATTTTTTCTCTTATACTTCATGTCTCTTCTAGTATCAGGTGAAATCCACATAACATTGAATCTCGTACATGAAACTAGGTTATAAAGTCAGCATGTGAAGTGGAAATATATATTATCAAGAACAAATCCAGAGACTGAGGCACTTGCTCTGTGAGGGGCACACAGAAATGAAGACTGCTTGAGAGGACAGCAAATCAAATTGTTCCTCTCACCATCTCCTGCTTCTCTGCAGGGATGGTGTATCTACTGTTTACATGACACTAGATAACTGATAAAGGACCATCATGAAGAGCATCTTATTTAACTTGAATGTGAGCTTTATGCAGAATTATTTCTACTTTAAAAATTAGAAACATAACAAAAACAAAACAAAACAAAAACAAACAAACAAAAAAAACAGATAAAAACAATACTTTGACTAACTGACTTTCCTAAAGTTCCTCCCTTAGGACTCACATCCCATGTTAGCTGAATTTTGGTCTAACTTTTCACTGAGACATAGCAGTGTGTGTTTTCAACGTTGTTTGTTTTTCCTGCTAGACATGACTACCTGAACACACACTGACAGTGAGTCTCTTGTTCCATGTTCATATTGGTGTGTTTCTTCCGGATGTCAGTATCCTTCATGGATTTCAGTTCTTACCTATTCTAGAAAGTTGAGCAGTCCATTCCTCAATGTTGCTGGTTCCTATCTTAGATGGACAGCAAATGCTTCAGGATTATAAGTCACTGTGTCCTGCTTCTGTGGCTATAAAATTGAAAAAGTTACGCGGCTTACCCATTCATTCTCAGCTTGTTTGTTGCATTGGTTTAAATGTCTACAGGCGAGAATCAATATGAGAATAAACAATACCTCTAATCCATTTTGCAATCACTCTATCATTTTAGGCTTAAAATACAGCATAATTTTTTTTTCTCATTTATTTTCCTCCTTAATAAAATCTTGATGGCTCAAGCAATGTGTTATATAACCTTGGAAACAGATTTTTTTTAAAAAAGCTATCCTCAGTCTAACTTCTATCTACAGGCAAAATCATCACTAACTCTTCCTACAGTTTTTTACTATTCTTCTTTTTTTTCCAATAAAATAAACTTTAGAAGTTCTTTTAATGTATGCTTCTATTTCAGATGTTCTGATTAGTTACAATGGCATTTGCCAACATAATTTGCCAAATTGAAAAACAGATACCTGATCACAAGTGAGATATTTGGTAATCTAAATGTTGAGAATGGGAAAACTTTGTTATTGCAAATATTTCAAATATACATCGGATAAGGTAAAGGTAATTGTAAACAACTTACATAATACTAACATTTCTCAGGAGAAATGTGTGCATACACTTTTATCAGGTATGAGGTGTAGAGCAAAGCATTGATTTATGGATTTAAAAAGTTTGTATATTTCATGAATTCTACTTTTTATCAAATTACAAGTGATGGAGTGATGGATTAAAAACTGTTTTTATTTATTGGCAGTACAGGTGTTTATGCAACCTAAGTGTTATTTTGTTTTATTATGTGAGTGTAATACACGAAAATATGGGATAGGTTTTCAAGATAATTAGTATTATTGATTATTTCAAAATATGTAATATGATTAACAATATCTATAGTATATAAGCCCTTCCTCACAAACGTAAAGAATAAGTATATAATTTTATTTGACATTAAAAAAAGAATTTTATTGGTTTATCTCTGCTGAAATTCTTGGAATTCTTGTAAATAAAATGTGCATTTTGCCAATTTTTTAAATCTCAATTTTTGCTTTTTTATTGATTATTGATTTTAGAAAACAACATAGGGTTGTTTGTGTCATAGTTGTTGTTGGGAATTATTAATTGGATTTAATTAATCTTTGCCTGCTCTATTCAGATATAATAAATTCTGGAGAATTTAAGTTAACACTAATTTTAAAATCTTTATTTACCAATAACATCTTGCTATGACATGACTAAAGAGAAAATTTGTTGGAGACACAGAATCTCCACTACAGCCAATTATTGCCTCTAAGATTTTAAGTGTGAGGTGTGTGTATGCATGCAAATGAGCTCATGTGAGTGTACATGTTTAGGGGAAGGAGCAAGACAGGAAGAGATACATTTTATGAAAACAAATCTATAGGTTTAGTGGGTATATGGTTCAGCGAGTTTCTATTTTTACTGTAAATTGTGGAAAGGAACCTCTAATATCAATAAAGCCTCAAACATGTTTGCTGATTCTAGGACATACTGTCAATCACGCACTCACAGGAGAATTTTCCATCTACCTGAAATAATTTAAATTTATCTTATATTTCTCTTTGATGAGAATCATACAAAATGGAATTGATCTGAATTCTTGTGTTTGCAGAGCACAACATATAGCAGAACTATTAAAAAAAATCAAGTACATTTGTAATAGTTGAAATACAAAAGAAGTTGGCCAAGATATCCCCAAATATGCTAAAAAGTCCTCTAATTGTGATGCTGAAAGAAACTTTTCTAAACTATCAAAAATGAAATGCAAATTGTAGTTAGTAGGGCTAAAAAAATTACTAAATTACCTTTTTCTTATCTCTACAAAAAACATTACAAATAATATTTTGTCGTATGAAGTGTGATCAAAGTATATGTAACTAAAAACTAAGGAATCATTTATAGTTTATCAGGCAGTCAATTAATAAAAACATGCTATTTTTCTAGATTTTGTAATTTGAAGTAGTTTCCATCATTAATTATTTATTGTGCGTTTTCTCTTTCTGATCATGCTTACCCATTTTTATTAATGAATTTGTGTCAACTTTCTTAAAAAGAACCCCAAAATGCATAAACGGCAAACATCGTATTTCTGATCTGCACCTGTATATGTTCTTTGATATTATCTCTTTCTCTGTTTCTCTTTTATTTTTTATTTTTGGAAGCAGGGAAGAGGTTATTTTGATGATTTCTTTTCCAAAAATAGAATTGTGAAATTATAAGATTCATGTAACTCTAAAAAATTTCAGCTTATTACAGTGAATCTTTTTAAAAAATAAAAAAAAAAATTAAACAAGCATTGACATCATTAAAGATCATTAAACAAAAAACCCAATAATACAAAGTCACATTGGCATGCCCAAAAAAGAATAAAATACAGTTTTTGGAAACACGATAACAAAGTAACTGAAATAAACTAATTTAAAACAATAATTGATTAAATATCACAAAAGATAAGTTAAACGTTATTTCAAATTAAGGTTTTATGAAAAGAAGCAATGTCAGTAATAGGCAATAAATTTCTTTTTCTTTTTTTTTTTTTTTTTTGAGACGGAGTCTCGCTTTGTCGCCCAGGCTGGAGTGCACTGGTGTGATCTCGACTCACTGCAACCTCCACTTGGGTTCAAGGGATTCTCCTGTCTCAGCCTCCCAAGTAGCTGGGACTACAGGCAAGTGCCACCACGCCCGGCTAATTTTTTGTGTTTTTAGTAAAGACAGGGTTTCACCGTGTTAGTCAGGATGGTCTCGCTCTCCTGTCCTTGTGATTCGCCCGCGTCGAACTCCCAAAGTCCTGGGATTACAGGCATGAGCCACCACGCACAGCTTAGGTAATAAATTTCAAGTAAAATTCAATTCATCAAAAAATTGCAAATACATTTTAAAGTACATCTTATCATGTAAGGATAAAAACATAATCCTAGAAAAGATACCAACATTTTTACAGTAAGGCATATCCATGTGTGTATAATAGCATACACTATCTTTCGTAAAACCTCACATTAAATTTAATATAACCAAATTCTCATGCATTTTGAATTTTTTATTATAAGGTAAATAATATTCTTGACTTCTCTAATATAAATTCATTAAATTACTCTGACTACTCAATTAAAACATAATAAATGTTAAAATTTTTATTTTCACAGTGTGTTTGCTTAAAATTCTAAAAACTTAAAATTATTGTCATTTAAAGGATTTTTCAATACATGCTACTATAGGACATGTTCTAAGTTCTTTCATTCATTTTAGTAGACACCAGGTGATTTGGTTGCATAATCTGTGAAAAACAAAAATATGTTAAAATGAGATTATTTAGAAAAAATAACTCAAATGATTTAATTAAAGATAAGAGCATGAAAACAATTTTAGTTAAAAGAATCTCCTTTTTATCCAGATCTTTATTCCATATTTAAAAACCCCCAACTTAATTCAACCAGGAAAGGAGCACTGGAAAAATGGACCTTTGAAAGTAACCTAGCAAATTTCCAGATAATTCCTATCACATGAGAGATAGAAGATGAGCTCTTTCCAGTAACTATGCTTTGTACATAATTCAGCTGCATTTTGGAAGAGTGTTGTTGGAATTGGACATGCACATTTAAAAATAAAACTTGTGGAGTTCTCTTCCGTTGAAACAGTCTGAACTGTCAGTTTAGCTAACCTTTGTTTGCCTGTCACTGAGTTCTCGTGATTAAATGTGAAGATTATAATCATTAACCATGCCAGGGGTTCAATGTGGGTGGAATTGGATGTGTGGATGACATTCTGTTTATCCAATGAAGTCAAAATCAAACTTCATCTTTTCTAGCTCAGCACCCAGAGGTCTCTAGGTTAGCTACCAAGGGCCAGCAGCTCTTTATTTCCTGACTGTATATGAAATACTGCATTCATTCTGGCTGGGGAATATTTCCCTACACACTGTAATCTCTGCTTTCCTGGGACACTGTGTATTTGACATTATAGGAGAACCTTAAATTAGTAATGTTTTATCTATTTTAAAATATTAAAAGATTTTAATCATTAAACAATTTTAACAAATATGCCTTTTTAATTTTATATCTCATGTTAAGCTTATTGTTATGAATGACAGAAACAAGAATGTTAAATATTGCAGAAATTACTTAGCCACAAGTGATAGTAGCACATATATAGTTTTAACAGGCTAAGTAATAAAGTGATTTTTCCAAGAGTATGCTAGTTTTTAATACTTTTCTCTAGACAGGTATTATTATTAAGAGCTGTGAATGTGATTATATTTGAAAGGAATTTTACTTAATAATTAAAATGCTTAGTAATTTGAATTCAAATAAAATAGTTTTGAAGTTTAAAAATTAAACTCTTGTGGAGAGCAAAAGCAGCCTACATCTTTGGCTTAGATTTAACAATTGAAAGAGTAATGAAGTGAAGGAATATAATGTTGTGATATCTATATTTTTTTACTAGATACAACTTATATTGTTTTCTTGCTTTATAAAAAAATTGAGAGCAGATTATAATTGATATTTCTAAATCCCTATAATAAAGGCTTACTATAAATATGTGAATTTGCTAGTCAGCTTCCTTCAAAAGTTGTGGCTTTTGCAGTTGATCCAGTTAAACCCCATTGAATAACTGACTACCTAAGCTTATAATACCCAGGGAGCATAATTGCTAAGTCTGTCATATTTTAAAGGGAATAAGTAAAGGTTCCCAATAAGCTACATTTAATTTAAAATTATTTTCCTAAATTCCTTTAGGCTTAGTAATTAATACAGTAAATAAAATTAGAAATATCCAAAAATTAAACACTCATAACTTTCCTTCTGATGGATAATCAGTGAAAAGAAACACTAGCATTAAATCATAATTTGTCAACCTCAAGTGACATAGTAAACATGCTGAGAAATAGCAACTTTTATGTGAAAAGTAATCAAATGTTTTGATTATATGATTCCAAAGAGTTTTGGGTTTATAAATTTCACTAAAAAAATTTTACAACACATGTACTGATCGTTAATAAAATTCAAATAAGATATATGTTTTTAATATATGGAATGATGAATTAAGGGAGATAACAGCGTGTTGCCTTGAATTAAAATACGCTTACTCTGTGTTCAGATAATCATCGAAGGGAAAGTGCTTGAAAAAATAATGATAATATTTGAGATAAGGTAAATTACGGCTGTCACACACTAATTAAAACCCATAGATCAATTACAAGATGAGTCAACTTGAACACTGCATTTAGTGGGCTTATCTGCCAATGCTTCACTAGCTGTCCTGCTGTTAAATCTTCTCTGACCTTCTTTCTTGTATTCATGTAAGCGCTAAATGATTTTTCCAGTAGAGCTTGCAGTGGGACTGCCTTCTTCCCTCCAGGTCTTCCACACTCTGTCGGGAAGGTGGTGAAGAGACAGGACTGCAGCCCTCATAAAGGCTCTGCAGGTGCTCCTCAATACTGGCCTTTAGGGTGAACTTGACAGAGGTGTAAGCGTCGAGAAAGAAACTGTGAGAAGTTCCAATAATCAAGACAGATGCTCTTTTATGAAGTGAAATTTCGACCCTAAGACACCATCTCCTGGGGTCACAATCATTCCAACATATTCTTGATGGAAAAGGCTAACATGTCTTCCTCAACCACCATCTGAATGCACTTGGCACATCATAAAAGAGATGAGTAGGAAACACAGGAACATACAAGCAAGAGACAGGGTCAAGTGGGAGATCCTCAAGAAATACTCCTGAGCCCACTGTTTGAAATGGTCACACATGGTTTTAGAGTTAGAAATGAAATAGTAAGAACACTAGCAATTACAGTGATCATGACAGCAATATACAAACATGATTTTTTTTTTCATTGAGTAATTATTTTTTTGAGACAGGGTCTTTCTCTGTCACCCAGTTTGGAGTGCAGTGGTGTGATCTCTGCTCACTGCAGCCTCTGCTTCCCAGACTCAAGTGATTCTCTGCTTCATTCTCCAGAGTAGCTGGGACTACAGGTGTGCACCGCCATGCCTGACTAACTTGTGTATTTTTTGTAGAGACAAGGTTTCACTATGTTGCCCAGGCTGGTCTCGAACTCCTGAGCTCAAAGAGATCTGCCTGCCTCAGCCTCCCAAAGTACTGGAATTACAGGTGTGAGTCACTGCTCCCAGCTCTTCATTGAGTGACTATTATTTTACAGGCATAATTCAAAGTGCCTTACAAGTATTAATGCATTTAATTCCCAAAAAATCCCATCAGATTTTATTTTTCATCTCTGTTTCATAGCCTATAGAACTAAATCACAGAGAGGTTAAGTAACCGCCCAACATTACAGTTAGAAAGAATAATAATCAGTATACAAATGCAAGCAGTTTCTCCCCCGATCCAGCCTCCATAACCATGCCAGAATGCTGCCTCTCCAATACATTTGAACTTTTATCGGGCATTAAAATCAAACAGCATTTGTTGATAAATAACAAACTTCTTTGGTCTGAAAATTTAACACATTCAAACAATATTCTGAAATTTTCATTACAAAACTTCCTTGAAAGCAAATCAACCTGGTTATTAACATTAGTTGTTGGACCCTGGCGGGTGGGTGTGAAGAGTTGAGGAGGGGATGAAAAGATAAAGCAAAACCAAACAAACAAAATGAATAAAAACACTTTGTGTCTACAGTGAAAGCACATGTGTGGTAGGTTTCCATTTTTGTGCAAGAGTTATGTGAAGGGTTGTCACAAAATTAAACGTGGCTCTTTCAGAATGGTACAAAGTCTGATGGATGCTTACCATACAGTTAGCTCTCCTGTGATTTTTGTTTTTTTGCAATGACTATGAGGCCATACAAAGAGCTCATGTATTAACTTGAAAACTCTGGCTTGGAGGGTGATATAGTTTGGCTGTGTCCCCACCCAAATTTCGTCTTGAATTGTAACACCCACATTTCTATTAGTCTAATATCTGGGTCTTTCTGTGATAGGAAAATAGGGGAGTTAAGAAGTGGGTAGTAAGAGTGAAAACTGTGCTCCAGGATATGAATGGGAACACCAGCAAATATTGGAGGTCAAGTCACCTGTAAGTTTCAGGATTGGTAGAAATAAGAACATGAGACTTGTCCTGAGACACAGAAATAGTGATATTGAAAACAGTTAAATACCTCTATGCCATGTGCTCCAACCTATGAGAAAAGCTCCATAAACAACCAACATGTTCATACAGTGGTTCCTTGTAAGGCCCTCTGAATTATGCCAGGAAAATAATAGTCACTCAACAAAGAGCCAGGAGCAGTGACTCACACCTGTAATTCCAGATATTAGACTGGGTTCCATGAGAGGAGCCCAGTGGGAGGGGATTGAATTATGGGGGCGCGTCTTTCCTGTGCTGTTCTCGTGATAGTGAATGAGTCTCGCGAGATATGGTGGTTTTAAAACTGGGAGTTTCCCTGCACAAGCACTTTCTTTGCCTTCTGCCATCCATGTCTTGCTCCTCCTTGCCTTCCACCATGGTTGTGAGGCCTCCCCAGCCATGTGGACCTGTAAGTCCATTAAACCTCTTTTACTTCCCAGTCTCGGTTATGTCTTTATCAGCAGCAAGGACACGGACTAATACAGATGGCTCATCCAGAAGTTAGAAAATTAGAGATGCAGACCTGGCAAAGTAGATCTGAAATGGGACTCCGGAACTAATGACATTGGCTTTCTAGGTTGGAAACACTTACAAACCCAGACATGAGACTCACACCTTAAATGGTCTGTTGGAGCTTTTATCCTGGTTTTCCACAAAAGGACTATGAAGAATACAAATGGCTCCTTCAGAGAGTGGCAGTTAGCAGCTCTTTATTATGAGCGCTCTCTTCGTCCTATTTAGGTAAACTCCATTCTAATTCAAATTAGGTAAACACTTACCAATACTTTAATCGAAACTTGTATTCAGATAAGAACCACTGTATGAACATGTTGGTTGTTTATGGAGCTTTTCTCATATGTTGGAGCACATGGCATGGAGGTATTTCACCGTTTTCAATATCGCCATTTCTGTGTCTCAGGACACGTCTCATGTTCTTATTTCTACAGATCCTGAAACTTACAGGTGATTTGACCTCCAATATTCGCTCATTCATATCCTGCGCACAGTTTTTCACTTTTGTTACCCATTTCTTAACTCCCCTTTTTTCTATCACAGAAAGACCTAGATATTAGACTAAGGGTCATTTTTTCCTTTTTCCATATGCATACTGAACATAGAAAAACTTTTAACATCAGCCTTCATGTGTTCAGCAGGCTTGATAGCATCAACCTTAATTAGACATCCATGTTCCAAAAATGTGAGATTTTATCCAGCCTTCTGCCTAGTTTTCTTCTGTGATTCTCCCCATTTACTCCGTTTTCCTTGTCCCCTCTCTCCTCTTCACACTTTCTCACCACCCATTTCTTTCACCGTTTATAAAGCAGAGCCATTTTTTCCATTTCTCCCTTAACTCATGCCCCAGGGTCTGACCTTTCATTCAAGAACTTTATTGAAGTGTTTTCTAAACAGCCCCCTAATTTTTCCTAAGGAGGAATGCTGATCCTTGTTTTTAAGTTTGTTTGTTTGTTTTTTCCACTCTATTACCTAAACATATTGTAAATTAAACTCAGGCAACAGACTTCATGCCAAAATATATTACATCACCGTACCATTTTCTGAACTTCAACCTTCATCATCTTTCTCGTCTCCCAAATGGTTCCCTTGCTCTAATCTATTCCCAATACACCAACAGTACAATGGTATTTATTTGTTTATTTATTATTACACTTTAAGTTCTAGGGCACATGTGTACAACGTGCAGGTTTGTTACATATGTATACATGTGCCATGTTGGTGTGCTGCACTCATTAACTCATCATTTACATTAGGTGTATCTCCTAATGCTATCCCTCCCTGCTTCTCCTACCCCATGACAGGCCCCGTGGGGAACATCAAGTACAATGGTCTTTCTAAATTGACACAATGATCACTTTAGTCACTCCTCCAAGGGCTTCCTGTCATTTAAACTACAAAGTTCAGCCTCCCGTAAAGCAGACCTGTCCGCAGATGCGGGCTTATTTCTCAACAAAATCTGTCACATCTTACACAACAGTCATCCTACCTGTATCTTCAACAAAGTTGTTGGTGCCTTTGCTTACGGGGGCATATCCCCTGGCATTGGCACTTAGCCCAAGAAACTTTTTCATATAGTGATCATCGATGTCACTCATCTCGAGCCTCCTATCTCCTTTGAATTCAACTTCATGTTAGGTTGAACTGAACCTCTGTCTTTTGTGTCCATTAAATCCTATGTGCGTGTAAAATATAGCAACAACACTCATTTTTACTTATTATTTGCATTTTTCTGCCTTCTGCAGCAACTCAGAGGCATTTGTTTAACTCTAATCTTTAAGATAATATCCAGCATCTATTAGGTACGCAATAAATGTTAAATGAGTAAATGAAAGTTTTAAAATTCAGCTGTTGATAAATAGTAGGAAGAAAATGGGGCACGCCACAGTTGAAGATTAATTTAACACCCCTAAGGAATTGTTAACTGAATATCAATAGATCTTTACTTCATCCTAATATAGAGTTTATATAATGTCATAATGCTACATATTAAAGCATTCTGCTTAGAGTGATCAGAATTTCTAGTGAATCACCACTTTGAAAACTTAAGCTTTATATACCCAGGTATTTCATTTCATTGATATGCATGGAATAGTCATATCTGTGCTGAAATTTTAGACTATTATTTGTAACATGATACTAGGTGTAATAATAGCACAGTATTTGGAATCAGGGTTACCCTGAACAATCCAGGATATCCCATTACCTTCTTTTAGGACTAGCAGGCTTTTCTGAAGAACAGATTGGTACGTTGGGGCATAAGAGACTCAATTCTTGCTTCTACATATTATGCCTGCATAAGTTAGGAACTGAAGTGTAAAAGGAGGGATTGGGAGCAGGTAATTGGTAAGGGGATATTGGAATACCAGTTCAGTTCACATCTCCGTATTTGTCTAAGTCTTAGATTAAGCACAGCATAGCCACGTCTGCCCCATTTAATCCTTTGCCTCTGCCTGAGACAAGCAGTCCAGGCTTTCCCAAAAGTCCCTCGGCACGTGCTCTGCATTTGTGACATTAACTCTCTCCTCTTCCTTCAACTCTTTGTGACTTCTGGGGGTCCTGTTGTGGATCCCACTTAGCCTCCATTAGAGTGTTTTAGTTGAGTGCCTTTCAAACTGTAATGTGGATAAGAATCACCTGGAGATTTCATTACAATGCAGATTATGATTTCACGGTTCTGGGTTTGAGTATGAGATCTTTCATTTCTAACAAGCTCCCAAATGAAGACATTCCTGATCCACAGACCACACTTCGTGCAACAAAACTTTAGATGACAAATCATGAAATATCGTGTCAGTTTGTTTGGATTTTGGACTCTGGTTTCACTATTTACCAGAAAGGAAACCTTAGATAACCTATATAAATGCTCTCAGCTTCAAGGAACTTTTCCTATAAAACAGGCTATTAATACTTCATAGGGTTCATGGAAGGACAAGGGAATAATATAATTAAACATATAATTTCTTTCAAACCAAGATGCTCAATCATATAAACGTCCTTCTTTGCCTTCCTTTTCCCCTTGAACTTTTAGCCTGATTCACATATTGCAAAAGTTTGTCACTCATATTTGGGGCTTTTAGTTTCTGGATTTTAGTTTCGTCTTTGGCACTGTGGTCTAGCCATCAGTTAACCAATTATTTATTAATGATCTTTCTCGCCCACATCGTTGTTCATAGGCAGGCTCTTTTAAGAACATAAAGATCAACCATCATGGAAATTTAATAACTATTATACTCAATTGCTGAAACACACCTTTTCCTCCCTTGATCTATAGTTAGCATTCCTTCAATAATTTTTTTTAATTCATGGAATTCAAAAACTTCAATGATTTTTTTCTACTGGGCTGTCTAATTTTAACATGGTAAGTACTTGGTAAAGTTCAATACCTTTCCCCTTATAAGTTTTTCTTCTAAGCAAGCTAACTGATTTTAGAATAGGAGATGTTAACACCATAAATACATTTGTCAGGATTAGGTTTTCACATTGCTTTGGGGATATTGGAACACTTTCTTAATCACCCTTTAGGTTTTGTTTGAGGCTCTATTTCAGGATTCACAGAAAGGCCTTGGTTTGTGGTTGAATGACATGACGAGGCATTTACTGTCACAAATATAATAGCAGTTATAAGTAAATTGATATCCAGGTAAAAAACAGTGTATTTTTCCAAATCTGTCAACATTATATTTTGTTATGAAGAGAATAACGAAAAGAAATGGAATCTTTGAAAAATAACCTTTGATAGATAACTTAATGTCCTTGAGTTTAAATTTACTCTCTTTTTAAAAAGATGGGAGTATATACAATATTACTCTAACGTTTCTTTAGACATCAGAATTGGATGTTGGTTTGAGTAAAGATATTCTATTTGTGTGTTTTCCTCTCTCCTTCTTTTCTATATAATAAATGCCTATTTTGCTAATGTGTTTAATTACATAAATGGTTTTTCTGATTCCGTTTGGCAGAAAGGGTTGATTTCGATAAGTATTTTATTATTAATATTATTCATAATAATCAATTTTAGCTGATTACTTTTTATGTCTAAACAATTGTTCAAGTGTCAATTAAGGATCCATAGAGCACAGAATAGACATAATCATCATTGTGTCATTTGGTGTATAAACAATTAGATGAATCTGATCTCTAAATTCAACAAGTGGGAAAGTATTATATCAAATAAACTGCAAATAAAAATTACGTGACAGATGTGATTTATGCACAAAGGATTTGGGAGATAACAAATTTTTAAAATTGTCTACAACTGATGCTATATTCCATAAAAACATGTTATTTGTGGTATTTTTTAATCTATTATAGATTTTTTTCTAACTTTTGTTTTGACATTCAATTTTGAAGCTATTCATTTCCACTCAAAAATACAGGCCATCCACCTACAGTGCTAAGTTACTATTTAGTACAATGCCTTATAAACTTGACATCTTCTTATACTTTCTGAACTTCTATGGTTCAGTGGAAAAAAGAAGCATTGCACTAGGTTATTTCAGACATTGTTAGTCTGACATAATATAGGAAGTATTTTTGTGCTACACTTTTATCCTGGCGTAAAATGTGGCATAATTTTTAGGTTCAAGAGCTGTTTTACTCCTATTCAAAACTTTCTTCCAGTGACCTAACCAAAATAGTATGTATTAAAAGCATGTATAAGCTACTACTTTTCTATGAACAATAGCCTTACAATCTGTTTGCCTTGCATAAAACACATACATATGTGCACACCTATGCACCATAAGCTGTGGATCCTTTGTGTGAAGAAGACACCTGTCCACCATGGAGAAGTCCCACTTCCCAGGTTTTACATCTCCAACCCCAGAGTTCAAAGCCAGCTATTCTTCAATGATTGGAATAGTTTGCTAAAAATTAAAAGTGAAATACGCAATTGCAAATAAATATGAAATGTTTTGCTTTCTTTAAATGTGCACCTTTTAAATTTTATCTCTTGGATGTATTAACACACTAATATGAGTTGGCTTTTCAAAGTATTTATTGTCTAAAACATGGTTTCTCAAACTTTCATGATAACAAAGTTTTATGAAAATTTTTTAGATTTTTAAATGAAACGTTAGATATCCCTGCAAATGTGCTAACACTTGAATGAAATGAACCCAGGTTTGCATTTTGGTTCTAAATTTTAGTTGCAAGCAATTTACTTAACGTCGTTAATCACTAGTCTTTTCCTAAGGAAAGGGGAACTGATAGACTTTATCTTTTTCAGCCGATGTAGACATTAAATTAATTAATACATGTAAATTGTTTAACATAGTTTCTTCCACAGAGTAATTGATTAGTACAATAAGAAATTATTATTATTAATCTAGCTTATTTTTATTACATTTGAAACAACAATATCTGAAAGACTTGCCCATATCTTTTCAGGATTCAGTCATTGCAATATTCTTTCTGTATTTCTTACTCTTAAATGAAATACAGTGTTCACCTCTGACACTAACATTCAACAGAACGAGCCCCTGTCAAGAAATTAATCAAAGAAAAAATATATTTGTTATATTTTTTCTCTCTCTCTGTCATGATTCTAGCAAACAAATAGAAACAAGGCTAGGCACATGGGTGGGTGGATAAATATCACTCTTCAAGTAGTGAGATTAATTATGATATATGAATAGTTTTGCTATCCATCATTCACATTTATTGATAGTTGCATGAAGAAATATATCCAACCTAAACTCTTATTCTTGTTGGAATTAAATTATCACAATTTCCAATCTTATATGTGTACTCACCTATTTACTTTTTAGCCAAAGAAAAATCACCCCAAATTTACAATAATGTAACAGCTTAGATATTCTAACAGTAACATTTATACTCAGTAATCACGTAAGAGCATTCTAATTAAAACACATTAGCAACTAACATTCCTTAATCTGGGTATGCAGGTTAAAAGCCACATAGTTTCATTACAACATATACAATAACCAACTCAAAATGGATTAATAACTTTAATAGAATACCTGAAGCTCTAAAACTGCTGAAAGAAAACTAAGGGAAAAACTCCATGACATCATAACATTGGTCTGGGTAACAACTTTTTGGTTATGAATCCAAAAGCACAGGCAACAAAATGAAAAGGAGACAAATAGGATTAGATAAAACTAAAAAGCTTCTGTAGAGCAAAGGAAACAATAAACAGAGTGAGGAGAAAATCTATAGAACGAGAGAAAATATTTTCAATTTATACATCTGACAAGGGGTTAATAACAAAAATATGTAAAGAGTGCAAACAACTCAATAGCAAGAAAACCAATAATCCAAATGAAAAAAAATGTGCAAAGGATCTGCATAGATATTTTTCTTTTCTTTTTTTCTCTCTTTCTTTCTTTCTTTCTCTTTCTTTCTTTGTTTTCTTTCTCTCTCTCTCTCCTTCTTTCTTCTTTCTTTCTTTCTTTCTTTCTTTCTTTCTTTCTTTCTTTCTTTCTTTCTCTCTCTCTTTCTTTCTTTCTTTCCTTCTTTTTTTTGTTTGTTTTTTGAGATGGAGTTTTTGCTTATGTTGCCCAGGCTGGAGTGCAATGGCACGATCTTGGCTCACCGCAACCTCCGCCTCCCAGGTTCAAGCGATTCTCCTGCCTCAGCCTCCCGAGTAGCTGGGATTACAGGCATGCACCTCCATGCCCAGCTAGTTTTGTATTTTTAGTAGAGACGGGGTTTCCCCACGTTGGTCAGGCTGGTCTCAAACTCTCGATCTCAGGTGATCTCGGCCTCCCAAAGTGTTAGGATTACAGGTGTGAGCCACTGTGCCCGGCCCTGCATAGCTATTTTTCAATAGAAGACGTGCAAATGGCCAACAGGTATATGAAAAAAATGTTCAGTATCACTAATCATCAGAGAACTGCTAATGAAAATCACCACAAGATATCACCTTATACTTGGTAGCATGGCTGTTGTAAAAAGACAAACTATAAATATTGGAGACAATATGGAGAAAAGGGAACCCTTGGACACTATTGGTAGGAATCTGAATTAAGATACCCGTAATCTTAAGCATAAACTAATGTCAAAATACCTGTGAATAGAGCTGTCAAAATACCAACATTTCTGATGCCCCATCCCTCTGAAAGAGTCATAGTTGAATGCTGCTAGAGAAACATTTCATAGTCTTTCTGGATGGACTTGCTTCAAATTTATGACCACTGATCTCAAATAGTCTCTCAATGCTATTCAACAATGCATCTCCATTTCTCTAGTAAATTGCCTTTTCTGCTCTCTGGGATGGCTCTCTCATACTTTCTCCTCAACTCTTCAACAGCTCCTCCCAACTGGACTCTCAGCACGGGAATAAAATAACTGAGCTCAGTCAAGAACTACTTCCTCTTCCAATCACCACTTTAAAAATCGTGTACCCATATTCTCAGCTGCCCCACCTGTGCAGATGAAAGAACAGACACTGTTCAAAGGCCAACCTCAGTACCTATGTCTTTGGTACTATTCCCTCCTGCCTTTTATACCCTGATGTTCTTCCTTCAAAACTGAACATCTCCAAAAATGTCCTGTCACACCAGCCTTATTGTCTCATCTCACACTTTCTCTTCAACCTATACCGGTCAGAGTTCCTCTGCCCCCAATGCACAGAGACTGCACCTATAGAGCTTGCCAAAGCTGAAGGTCAATTTTCTGTCCTTGCATTACATTAAGTTTCAACAGCACTTGACATGTTCTTTTTCTTAAAATGTTTATCTCTAAGCTTTCTTGACACCTGGCTCAGAGTCATTGGTAATGTAATCACATTTTCTGTGTTGGTATTTTTTCCCACTGTATCAGTTCACTGAATAGAGCAGCACTCCGCGGCTCTTCCCTCACCCCTGTTCTCTATCTGTGCACTCCCTCCTAAGGCTCCCTTATTTGCCTTGTAACTTTAAATAGCATCCACACACTGACTCTCAAATGTACAGCAATAGCAAAGCCTTATTTCATTACCGGCAGATTCTTATATCCAATCTCCCACTTGCCATCTTCACTAGGATAAGCACTAGGTTTAGACAAAACAGAGATAATGATTTTTTCCTTCTGTTAATTTCCTCCCAATTCCCTCAAGCATTCTTCCTCCCAATAAACATCATGACCATTCACACACCATGACTTCAGAGAAAGCCTTAGGAGAGATACTGTGTCTGTGTCTCACTCACACTCACATTCACTGCCTCTCCTAGTCCTGCACCTCTACCTTCAGAATGCCCTGCGTCAGAGGGTGCTTTCTCAAAGGGCATTTTATGACTTGTTAGACTGAAAAATCCTGCTGGCTGCAGTGCAGGGAGGTGAGGCTGGAAAGGCAGGCAGGAATCAAAGGGTCAGGGCTTTATGTTGAGACAGTAGGGATCCACAGATTTTATGTATTTAGAAGTGAGGTCTCAAAAAAAAAGAAAAGAAAAGAAAAGAAAAGCCACAGCCTGGTCTCTGCCTCCATCCTCTCCATCTGGACAGTGGCCATGGCATGCTATCCTGTTATCCTGTTACCTCCTCCCCAGTTAACCTCTTCTTGTCCATGTTCTACAGAACAACCAAGAGTTATTTTTCTGAAATGTAAATCAGCACTCCCTGATCTAACTTCCTTCCAGTGTTCTTAGAATAAAATCCCAGCTCCTTATCATGACCTGACAGATCCTGAATGGCTTGATGCCTGTTACTGATCTAAGATCCCCCCAGTCATTTTCTCCCTTTTCACCATGTTCAAATCCACCTGGCTTTTATTGGTCTTACAGAAACACAACGTCTTTGCTACTACGGAATTCTGCACAGGCTATTCTTTTCCCTTGAGGCCTCTTCCTGTAAAATCATGCATTACTCTCTCATCATTCGGGTTTCAAGTCAAGGTCCAGCTCCTCAGAGATGTCTTGCCTGCTGTCATCCCTAAATGTCCTCCATAGATAGCCTCTCAGTACTCTGAACCACATTGCTACTATGACCTTATTCTTAGCACTTGCAGTGGGATTATCTTAATTATTTGTGTGTGTATTTGTACGTTATATAGCTTTCTAAATAGAATGAAGCAACATAAATATAGACTGCCTATCTCTTCTAGCACTGTATACTCAATTCTCAGAAGAAATTTCCACTATAGGATATGCTCAAAAAGTATTTGTTAACGGAGAGACTGACTATATCAATTGACTGACATTTACATTTATATAATAATAATAATCTCACCAAATACTCATTTACCAAATAACATATCTGCTGTAAGAATAATTTGAAAAAACAAGTTTATTATATTCAATTCTTAGAAATAATTCAATCTGTTTCTCAATTAATGTATAATCTCATTTTTACACTGACTTTTTACAGTAGCTTCATAGGTCTATTAATATCGTCACTAACTTTTCATACACACACATGTAATTCTTGTAAGTATTCTGTATAATTTTTTTAAGCGTCTTCTAAGAAAAAATATTCTCATTCCTAAAAATAAAATAAAAACCTGGTTTGGATCCAAATAGAATTTCATTATGAGTGAGAACGAGTTTGGAGAAAAACTTAATATTTTTGCATCAGTAAAATGACATAAAATGATGGTAAATTTATGTTTTTTATATTGATAAGCTAATATTTTCAAAAATTAGATTATTTTATCAACACTTATTCCACTCATTTGAGTTGTCTATTTCAAACCACATTAACTTCAATTTCTGTCATTCTGACAATGAAAATCATACGGCATTGTTACAAAAATGTATCACAAAGTGCAAACACTTGCCAATAAAAAAGATTTATAACCTAAGGGAAACGTATATATACAAAATTTAATTCTGAGAGCAAATTAAAAAACACATTTGAATCATCTCTATACTATTCTGGAAAGAAATACTGTCTTTATTGCAACTTTAATCAATTGTAATGGTCTATGTTTCATAATACTGATTTCAACATCTGTCATTTTCTGCAAGTTTTTTATGTTAAAATAATGTAATATTAAGTATTCCAACAGATTTATGATTAATTTTCTTTAACTACGTTATAGTAATATATTTTTCTCTTAACAGTGTAGAGAAAATTTTAATTGAGGAGTTATTAAATGTGAAACTTTGTGAATATGTGGAGGCAAAAATATCTACAACTATTGTTAGAGCTATTTTGTATGGGGTAACTGTGTGAGAGTGTGAGATTTGGTAGGTATGGCAGGAGGGTAGCTATTTTAAGGGAATTATATCACCATGTAAAATTCTGGAACTTAAGAATTATTTTTTAAATGTCCCCAAATATTATTTAGTACATAATATATACACTGTATACTATAAAATTTAGATGAAAACGAGCAGCAAATGATTTTAAATCTGGTGATTTTTTGTTTGGTAAGATTATTATTACTATTGCCTAACTTCAGCTAGTTCAAAGACAGTACTTTTCCACATTTTTGATATACAAGTGTTTTATTGACAAGATTTTATAGGTTAACTAATTCATGAGGATTTCCTCTTCTTAGGACTTTATTCGCTCATATTTTAATTGGAATATGTTAGGAGAAGATAATCATTATTAACAAATTGAGTGAAAAGGTGTTAGGTAAGTTATTTCAGGCCTTAATTTCAAATAAAGTTGTATATAATCTCAGCGTGAAACCAATACAGACTTCACAATTGTAGCTGTATTTCATAATCTTCTACAGCTATCACTGGTTGAATTTGCAGTTGAGAAGTTACCTGTGGGAGACATGCCTGTGCATGCTCATGTGTAGAGTAATCTTTAAATGTATCAAGAAAGAATCAAGTTCTGAATGCAAATGCAAGGTTCCAGAAAAACCCTCTTGCTCTCAGGATGGAGGAATTAGACAGGACTTAGTGATGCAGTTATCACAAACCCAGCAGGAGCACTGATCCCTGGCATCCTTCTCTGAACTTCAACTCTGAAAACATGTTATCCGAGACCTGCCCTATAGGGATCCCCCGCGGATCTCCTCAAACCCACAGTTTTTCTATTATAAATGTAACAACCAAAATAAAGGAGTCATAACAACTTGTTTCTTCACACCCTGTAGCACTACATAAAGATGCTAGGTAGTCCTGAGTGATCATATCACCTCGAGATGTGTTAAACAAAACACCATAGCTTCTTATAGTGTCAGACCTGATGTATGAGAAGCAAACTCCAAAGCACCCACACTCACATGTTGTCTGTGACATACATGTGATAAAAAGGTCATTCTGAAGGGCTTTTGAGATTATTCTATCCCATGTACATTTCACAGTGACCATCAGGTGAGTTCATACCAAGGGTATCAATTATAAGAATCTCTTAGTATTAACCAGGAAATGCAGTTTTGTTCAATCATTTATCAAATTTTACAAATCTGGAACAATCCCAAATCCTCCCAGAAACAGTCTGAACTTTAAAAGCTATGATAGATGTCAAGGAAAAATAGTAATTTTATGAACAATTGTTTTCATTTGCCGTGTTCAGTTTCACATGATAGCATCACTTAAATATCTGAAAAATGTCTAAGATCAAACGCTTCTATCACCTGCTCTAGGGAGACGGAGCTAGAACTCAGGGTCAGAGAATCTGCCCAGTGGTACAACCACAGGCTTCTGTGTGGAGGGCCGCAAATACACCCATGATCTTAACAGCATTTTGAGCATTTTGAGCAAGAGCAGCCCAGCGAACTCTGTGCCTTTATCATTTATTTCTAAGACTTGGTCAGTTATATTAAACCCACTCTTTTCTGTAATCCAAACTACAGTCTGTTGAGTTGAGATGGGAAAGGATGCTATATGCAACTAATTGGTGACTTAAAAATCCATTATGTCTGATTTCCCAACTGATTTTTCTTACGTTATACCTCCCTAAGGTAAGCTGTTATTTCAGGTAAATAAGGCTACTACCAGAGTATTACATTTAGGATTGCCAGATACAAATGAAGTGAACTTTTAAAGCCCTCTGGAGTTAGAAGAAGAAAGTATAGTGTATTTACATAAATAGCAATATTAATATATTTAAAAGTAAGCATCTTTTTGGGTGTTATTTGCTCAGAAACTGTAAATAAACTACTGAGAGATGTCCTAGACTTATCTTGGTGGGTAAATACATATTTTTTGTATATACACACACACACACATATGTATATATATGAAATGTATCCAAAAGCTATATAATAACATAAGAAATATAATAATTCTTATACAATAACCACCACCCTTATAAGACGATTCATGATTTTTTATAATTTGCAAAGTAGGTAAGTTTGCTGTGCTAGATATTAGAGAAGAGTCTTAGTTATATTTATAGAAGTGATTTTATTAAAAAATCAGGACATTTTATGCATATTTTATTATTTACTTTATCAGTCATTTGCTTTGCTATTTTTCTCAAAATGGCATTTTAAAACTTCATCCCATAAATAGTAAATTCTCGTCTTTGTTAAATGATTTGCTAGTCTAGTGCCTGGTTGGCAAAATCAGCTTTGTAAAGCAGGTTTTAAGATACAGGTGGAAAAATTAATAGTAATAATTATTTCACTGTAGCAAAAGCTTTCTCTTCAAAATTAAAATTAAACAAAGTTACTTGTGTAGTCAGGAAGGATGGCAAAGGCAGCACCGCCTCCTGAAACAATAGAGTCATCAGGCACGTTGCTGCCCCCGTCTAATTTGATGTGTCAGGCCCTAATCAGCTCTGTTTCACAGTGCTTTGCTCCATAAAAGCAGATTTGTTTAACCACAACCTCTATTTCAGCATGACTGGAGAAGGAAGAATAACGGAGGAGACCAGGCATATCTCACGTGTTGTGTTGTGGGTATAAAGTGAATCCATCATTTGCTGGAGAGGCAGAGGAAAAGTGACAGGCTCATTCATGCCTTCGAGACATTTTTGGGTCTATTGAAAATTTTAATCTGTGCACTCTGGTTGAACCTCCGCACTCCTTAATTTAGTACACACAGCCATGCGCTAGGTCTGTCTGCCTCAGATAGGGCCGGCTGGCTTCTGTAGGACAGCAACCCCCCTGAGGAGTTTTCTTCTCTAAATTCATCCTGCCTTGAACTTTACACACACATATAAGCTCCATTTACGGGAGGATTCCAGAGTTAATTAAACGCTGAATTTGTTTCTTTAGAAATCGCATATGCCTCGGGGTTAAGGAATAGCGTTTCAGCAACCACGTTAATTTAGGATTAAGCATACTGTACATTTTCTGAATAAATTTTATTTTTATAAGTATACATTGAGAGAGATGGGGAAATTTTCCCCCTCTGTTACCATAAAAGGTTTTAAAAATAGATTTAAAAAGGACACCATATGCCAGGAGATGCTGCAAATCAGCAAATTCAAAACCATCCTTTACGTAAAATGCATTGGAAACAGACAAATAAACTAGAATGCTGGAAAAATTGTTGCTTTGCTGATAAGGCCATGGAACGACTTCCACCGGAGGCTCCCAGCTTTAAGTCCTGTTCACTCTGGATTTGCTCTGTGCACACCACGGTAATAATCGCAGAAGCATAATATTTACAAATATTTGGGTCAAAGATGACAGGTCAGATTTTTATTATCAAACTAGCAAGTCAATACTGACATATACTAGTTTTAGTTCCACTAAAGATACTACATATAACAGCAGACACGTTTGTTCTTAATTTTCCTAAAGGTAGGTGTTTGGCAGAAGATAAAGCCTGAGCAAATAGAGAACAGAAGAAGCCAGGAAACTGGTATTGTCCTCGGTGGATTTACTTTGAAACACTGTACTATAAAAACTTTGCAAGTAATTCAGTACCTTGAGTTCATTTTCATTGATATCTTTGCACATCATGTACAAGAAAGTTGTGTTTTGGCAAAATGATCAATATCTTAAGTCACAGATTTACAAAATGCCAGAGAATATTCTTTGCATTCAAATTAAGAGAGACACAGAACATGAAAAAAAAGTGTATTTAAAGATCTCGGACAACCTCGACCTTTTTGTTTATATGTTTAGTTTAAATTATTAATGACATGTATGTGTTCACTTCAACATGGAATGTTTCTTTCCTTTCCTGTTCTTTTTCTCTGTCTGTAAAGTTTGAAATAAATCAGTAAAGTTTGAAATAAAAACAATTGTTACAGTTTCTGAGGTAGAGAGACAATTAGGTAGCATTTGGCATTTTCTGTAGGTCAGATGAGCGTATGGATTCTTGGAGGTAAAAAGTTCAATTCATGAAGAAGAACAGAGACAACCGAAGGCTACAATGACTACAGTAAAATAAAACAGCCCTAAAGCCCAGCCGAGTAAGCCCTCATCCATAAATCTTATTAATCAGGGCTACTTCGAAATACAATGAGCAAGGGAGAAAATTATGCCCTATTTCAGACTTGCCCAGTTTCTTTATCACTTAGAAGAAAGACAAAAAAAAAAAAAAGAAATTATTAGGACCATGTAAGACAGATAATCAAATCAAGGAACAATGCAACTATTGTCATATGTAGGATAGAAACTACGCATAGTATTTTGAAGAAGCATAAATAGCCTATATTGATATGTCAAATTTTTCCATTTACAGATGTGCGGAATTTCTATTGGTTGTGTGAGATGATCTCATTTTTAGGGAGACGTAGCTGTATGTCATTTATAGCTGTGATTTATATTGCTTGACCTATTGAGGTAAAAATAGTGGTTGTTCTAAGAGTATCCCCTGTCTGAATGCATTGTGCAGAGTGTTCATTCTGGAACACTTGCTGTTTCAGTTCTGATTCATTTTGAGAAGAATTCCTTTTCCGGACTTCTATAAACAGACATTGGCAAAGGAAATTAAATAAAGCAAACTAAGATGATCTAATTGTGAGTGAGTCAAAGCCTCATAAAGCATTATAATTTGGATATTTTATCTTAATGTCCGAGAGGAAGCTGCTATTAAACCACTAGCCTTAAGCAAAGCAACACATATGTAATAATGCAAACGAAGAGAATCAGATTGGCCCATTACTTGATAAAAGTTAATTGTTTTAATGAATATTTTTGGCAACTACAAAACAACATAATTTTATAATACTTCAAACTTATAGATGTAGTGAAATTACTTTTTAATGATGTTTAATTTTAATTTTTTTGTTTTTAAATTGTAAAGCAACTTAAAAGTTCTATAAAACTTCAAAACTATATGCATAGAAGGAAAAAAATAATCCTACCTCAAAAGGCGTACAGATCCCGACATTCATGGATGATAAGATCTTTCCTGATCTGTTTGCTGTCATTCAGTGATGACACACATAGACATTGTTAAATAGACATGGAGAAATATGAAAGTGAAGTTTTTCTGTTTATTTGCATGGGTCTGTTTTTATATTTTCACGAAATATATATCTCAAATATTTATCAGGTCAGCAAGTGTTCTTTGGAAAAAGGAATTCTGCTTTTTCTTCATTTTCTGATTCTTCATTTTATACATCTAGCACAATTTACTCAATCAGATTTTGTTGAATATTAAGGTTATTTCCTTTATTCACATATTGAAAGCAATCTTAGGTTGTTTATTTTCCTTCAAAAAAAAAAGCAGACCCACGATAATTTTCTTAAACTGTACATTTTATGGTATCTAACACAAATTTTCTTAAGTTTCCAAAATTATAAGAGGAATGGTTTTCATAGTTTTAAATTGCATTTTTCAACACTTGCAAGATTAACTTTTACAAATAAATTCACATATGGGAATTTTTATTTTATATAATTATCTACTTATATTTTTTTCTTAGTGATGTTAAGATCTTTTATATAATCATTCATGTATTACTATTGTTTGCTTTTTAATTTTTTGGGGAGCTTAAAAGGTTTGTTTGCCTGTTTTTGCATAAGTATGTTTCAAATGCATGAAATTAGTGTAGTTTAAAAAAATAATTTGTGCTCTTGTACGAGGGTTTACAAAAGCTTCCTTTCAAATCATGGAAATAGGCGATTTATTTATTTAACTATTCTTTTGTTTTGATTGGCTTTGTTTTTAACACTAGCTCATATAAACTAGGTATAATACATTTGGACATAGGGTAAAAGAGAAGAAATTTTATTGTATTAGTAAAAGGTTACTCCAGAGCTACTTACAAAATAATGTATCTTTTTTATTTTTTCATGATGGCATTTTTGGCATATACTAAAATCTGTACATTAATATCTACATTTGCACTTTTTGTTTTATTAAGTTGTTTCTTTTTTTTCTATTTGGGAGTACAACTTTGAAATCATTACAGTTCTTTAAAATATACATTAGTGTTTAATAGAGCAAGTCCTCTCATTATTATTGTTTCTAAAACTCTTAACAAATTTTCTTTCATTAATATCTTTAAAACCATTTTGTCACACTCTTGCTAATCGGGAAAAATAACTAATAGATACTAGGCTTAATGCTTTGGTGATGAAGTAATTTGTACAACAAACCCTTATGATACACGTTTGGCTATGTAACAAGCTTGCGCATCCTGCACATGCACGCCCAAAGTTGAAATAAAAGTTAAAATAATCCTCCAAATAATATTGTATTATATACATTTATGTTTCACTTAGGAATATGTTTCAGTTTTAAAACATTTTGTTTATACAATACAATTTTATAAAACCTTTCCCTATGTACCAAGTTAATTTTTAGATGATATACATATTTATGGTAGATGTGAGTGAAAGCTTTGTATTTGTATGCTTCTTAGTTATTATTGCTAGTTTTTGAAAAATCTTGAATATATTTCTATTAGTCTTAATACACATTAATTGTATTCCCTTGGCTTATTTATATAGTAAATAACATTTGCAAAGATAATTTTTAATAAAATGTTGAAACGTTTCCATGTTCTGTTATTTCAGCTAAAAAATAACTACAATAAAAACAGTGACCCATGTGTCCCAAGCACTCTTCTAAGAGCCAGAAAGACAGCTCTAAAATATCACCTCTGCTATTATAAAGTTTATAGTCTTACTTTATACCATATTTATTTCTATTTTGATAGTTCTGATTTATTCTTTTATTCTTTAATATATTGTTATATATTACTTTTCAAAGGATGAGCTTCAGTATTTATAATGTCTTTTTTTCTGTTACCTATATCATTAGCATCAATATATGCATTTTTTTTCTTATTTTCATCTTATTGGGGCTACTTTTAGTCTAACTTATTGCCTTGAGTGCCTGTTTTTTTTTTTTTTAAATCTTTCAAATTGGTTTGACCATAATTAGACTAAGGTTTATTGAGGTGGCATCTAGAGGGTGTTAAATTTTATGCTTCCTATCTTTTTTTTTCCTATCCAGACCCTATCTATAGCTATAGATAGATAGGGACATAGGTGATGGTAGAGATATAGACTAGATAAATCAGAACTCTGAGAGATTAGAAACTTCAACATCCACAAGAGAGTAAACAAGGGAAGAAAGAAGCCTTATTCTATTTTGAGGTCTTTCTTTGAACATTACAAATAATTTCTCTCCTTCCACTGCCTCCTTTAATTTATATTGGGGTCCCTTAGTTCTGGGTCAATTTGTTAAAATGAGCAGGTTATGAGATGTTGAGTGAGGAGCCCACACGACTGTCCTCCTGAGGTCCCGCACTGCCATCTGAGCAGGAGCAGGCGTCTGTCACGCTGAAGACCTGCGTGCTACTCTGTGGTTTCAGAATCCTGGTAGAGGAGAGCGTTACTTTAAGAAGCAGACACGTGAGCCTCCAGATGCAGCCAAGCATGAAATCAGCTCGGGTGGATAACCTTGAACAGCGACAAAAGAACAATCTCCTTCCAAACTGGGCTAGGAATTTGTATTACTGAACTATGCCAAGTTCGAAGGAGGCAAGTACGGTTGCTTGAAAGTTATGGGAAACAAACAAATAAAAACTAAAGAAATCCAGATCTTTCCAGGTGTAGACAAATGCTCTATTTCTGGATGACAGGTTTGATTTGCTTAAACACATTTCAATGAATTGAAGGTTGGAGTTGAGAGTGTGTCGTGACACATTCCTGTCTTACCAGAATAGGGGGGAGGAAATTGCTGATCCCGGGAGCTAAAGCACCTTTTTTCACACACGTGGTCGGCCTTTGGCACTTTTGTCACATGCACATTGCCTGCCAGCTCCTCCACCCTCCACTGGGTGAGGAGACGCTGCTGCCTTGAGTCAGGACCTGCATTAATGGGGGCGTAAGGTTTTTACTCAGCGGAGGAGACACCCCCACCTAGTGAAGCTAAAACTGAAATCTGATCATGAGGGAGAGGTTGTGTTGGTCTTGCCATTACTATGTGTTCATATCATATGTTAAATTTTACGTATTTCCTTTTCCACTTATCAGATACACTTTATATCAGTGCTTTCCTCCGATGAATTAAGATTGTATTTCTATTTTCAAATTATTTAAAAAATTGGAAATCTTTAGAGAGAAATGTTTTGTACCACTAGTTTGTTCTTACTACCAGATGAGTTTGATGGTGGGGCGGAAAGTGTTTCTTTAGGTTGGAAGTTAGAATGTATTCTCGAAAGTTTAGATTCTCATCTAAACTGATTCATATAAACCAATAGTCTAACAAAGAAAATGTGAATTCACTTACGTGTTTTCATTTAGATGTTACCAACAATTATTCTACAATTTGTAAGAATGTGTGTGTGTATGTATCTCTTGGTGCGTGTGTGTGTGTGTGTGTTTGGTGTATTATTAATTCTATTTCTTAACTATTTTAGGTGTTTGTAAATTAATTTGACTTAGCAAATTCTGGAAGCCATATTCATAGTTTTTATTTAAATCTAGACACATAAAGTCTTTTTTATTAATTTTCTCATGTCACAGTTTTCCACACTCACTCATTATGTCTAAAACCCAGTAGCTTCTAGAGGTAAATTGCTTTTTAGGAGAATATTCGCTAAGTATCTACACTCTATTTTAGTTCCAAAATCTTTTAAGTTGGAAATGTGCATGTGCCTGGGAAAATTGAAATCAAAATTAAATTTTCTGTCAAGGAAAATATAAAATTTGAAATCACAAATGACTCATTCCTTTCTAATGACTATTTTGCATCACTATTATTAATGACGTTTTAGAAGGTTTACACACATTCAAAATGTTAGTATCTTTTGATATTAACAAATGAAGGGAACACTTTCGACAATCAAGCTTTGGGTATTTTTTACATTTATTAAATATGTGATTGAAATTTATTTAATAAGCATTCCTGAATGACAAAAATAATTTAAATGCTGCTACTTTTAGAAAGATTAGAAGACGTGCGGCAGAGGGCTTGGGGTCATGAGTCTGGAGTATTGGACACATATACTAGTTATTCCACTAACTGGTTATGCTACCTTGCAAAATCCTTAATAGGGCTAAGCTATATTAGGGTCAGTTTCCACATGCATAGGCTGTGGTGTTTAGAATGATCTATTTAAAATTTATTTCAAAAATTGTATTGCTGTAATAAATGACAGTTGTTATTGCAAATTCTTCTATTATTATTAATATTATCAACACATTAATGTTAAAACAGTTGAGAAGTATACCTAGCAGGCAACATGTAAGTAACTATGCTGGATCAGAAAAGGATACCTTCAGGCAAACATTGTTTTAAACCTGGCATGTCCTGGTGCCAAGTGTGAGACAAGAGATTTCAATAAACAGCTTCTTCCACTCTTTTCTTGAGGATTCCATAAACAAGTCTCAGAGAGAACACATATTCACCATAGATTTTAAAATGCACGTAAACAACAATAGACAAGATAACTGAAAAGCATTCAAAATGTATGCATATGCAAAGGGGAAATGCGAAGCCAGGTGATACTTTTTATTATTAGAGTTTAAAGAGCCCGTTTGGAAGAGATTAATGGTTCACCATCACTGTGTCTCATTTGGCTCTGTTTTTTGACTAAGTTTTTACTTTCAGAAAATGAAATGATATTTCTGAATACATTTCATCGTAAGAATATTAACAAAGGACACGGTCATTAATGAAAACAGGCAAGGCGATTCACATAGGCAGACTCACCTCATATCCTCGGTCTGATGCTAGGTGCAGAAAATGGCATTCTTCAATTTCCCAAAATAAGAAAATCATCCTTTTATTAATTAATTTGTATCTCTAATGTTTTTTAAATTTAGTAAACCCAAAACTTGAAATACTTGTTAATACAAGTGGCTTAAGATGGAAATTCTTTGCACCATTTACATTTTAGTAAAATTTATACAGAAATCCCCCCAAATGCCCTTGCTATGTAATGCCAAGGTAGTTTCTAGTCTCTCCACTCACCTTAAAAATGAACATTTGTAGTAGCACCTCAAGTAAATTGGCTTCTATTGCACAGCTATGGCTTTGGGTTTTTCTCCTTTGTGTGTTCCTTGCCCCTCCGTTTGCTGCCCCTAAAAGTTTGACCCTCTTTGTTTTCCACCCTATGTCAATGCCCTTGAACTTGCTCCAGATCACCTGGTACAGTGGAGAAAGAAACGGGCCAGTAATGATTCCAATTTCAACCCTTACCCACCAGTGCCCTTTCTTCAGAGCCTCCAATCTCTGCCTCAAAGAGATGTCCTTTTGTAAGTTTTACTTAGAGAATTGCTAACTCCACTAAGCCTATTAAAAATGACTAGAAGTTTTTGCACGCAATATTCTGTTGAAATAATATGAAAAATTATGTTTTGTTTCTCATTTAGTCAAAGTAGAATTGTTTCCAGGAAAATGGTTTATTCTCCATCTGATTCCACCACGGCTATCGCCAGGAATATGGCAGCACCTTTGTTCCAGAGAGAGGAGGACTCCTGTAAGGAAGAGGCAGAAGAGAAAGCTGGAGGTGCTGTTCAGAAGCCACAAGAGGTGGTGACAGGAAATATGAGTCCCTGAGAAGTGGGGCACATGGTATAAGTGACAGTGGTGATTGAGACACCAGCTAAATCTGGTTTGTAAGGATTTTCTGATGACAGTCTGTAACCCTTCAGCCACCTTCTAGGAAGACCGTTTCTGATCTTCAACCTTGGCATAGCCCTGAATTCTTGAGTGACTGACTCAATCCACATTAGCTGTAGTGCCACTGTATGCTAAAGACGTTCCTCCCCGTCAGAATGGGAAAAAACAGGACGTAAGGCAGGGAGCTACCTCTGTTTCTCTTGCTAGAGTGGGGTGTGCTTATCTGTTTCTCTTGCTAGAGTGGGATGTGCTTGGGCTTCCCCATATGGAGAGAGAACACCCCACTTGGAATGCGTAAGGATTTTTCCATGGAAACAATATTGACACAGGGAAAGCGGATCCATACTCCATGGGTTTGGAAAGCTACTCTGTGTTCAATATGTGTTAGGTTGGCTTTTATGGATTTGCCTCAGAAGCTAACCACATTTCCGACACTCCTTCTCTAGGAAAAGGTCAAGTTCAGGGCAATGAGTTAGTAAGCCAACTACTGGAACATGGTGTATTTATATGGAACTGGAGTGAATCTCTTCATTGTGTGTGCGTATGGGAAGGCATGAGCCTCACCAACGGCATTCCTCAGCCAAACCTCGGAAGCTAGAATTCCAGCAGAGCTTCAGGATTATGATGTCGTCCTTCAGAAAACAAAACAAAACAAAACAAACAAAAAACATTCGTCTTTATTTTAGGTGTGTTATGCTTCTATAGATAACAAGTTAAACTAAGTATTTTTTCTGTTTCACATACAAAACCTAACTGATGGGTTTGCTTTTTGATGCTTCATTACTTGAGTCTAGCTAAGTGGTTAAGGGCATGTAAAGTTCATTTCCAGCCCACAGTTCTTTAAGCATTTATTTCCTTGTCAGTGTTACTATGTCAGCAAATATGTGTGGGTGGTAAGGAAGGCCCTGGGAATACTAACCATTTACCGATTAAATAAAAAAACTGCAAAAATAATGTAAATAAGGAAAGGAGCCATCAGCTAATCCCAACATTCTAGGTTAAAAAAATCAAAGGTTTGTAAGTAAAAACATGCCAACATTGCATATGTTTTTTAGCAGATTTCTCACAACCTGAAGATAAACATTGTCCACAGTGAGAGTTAATGGTACTGAATGCCTTATCTTTTAATGTGCTTTAATCTGGTGCGTTGTCCTCAGTGAAAGGAATAAAAAGGCTAGGTTATCAAGAGAGGAAACACAGGCCCTTATGTCTAGCTGCCTTTTACATGAATAGTTGCAAGCGGTATCTTGAGTTCTTGGACTCCGAGGAGTGGATTGTTTGTTGTCTTTGGCATACAGAAACGGGTAAACCAGTCTCCAAACAGTGATTCTTAAAAACTGGAGCAAGAAATGTATCCACTAAAGGGGAATGCGGATGTTTTTGCAAGTATGTTCCTCCACTCCCTCCTGGTGTATCCCCCACATCCCGGGTAACATTGTGACCTGTTTTCTAGTAAGCATAACTTTAAAAGTAGACTATGATTTATAAAAATCACCTCGCCAGGTGAAGGTTTAAGATGGATGAAACAGGTTCCTTTGATCTTAATGAAATCCTTAATGGTAAAGCCAACTCAGTTGTGTGTTTCTGTTAGGGTGTTTTTCTGCATTCATTCATAGTTTCTGAAAAAAAGCAGAGCAATATGGGAAGTATATTAATCATGTTACTGCTCTGGATGGATAATATATCAAACAGTATCATAGTTTCCTGGAAGATTTACTAAGCCTCTTCAATTACTTAACTCTTGTAGAATAATTTACATACTGGCAGAGCAGATTAAAAAAAAACAACACATGAATTAGGTCATTAACTAAGACTATTTCAGAAGCACCTGGATGAAGATAATGTTTTCATCTCCTCAATTCATCATGAAATACTGTTTTCTATGTATCAACCTGTTTTTTAAAAAACGCCTCTACAAATTATTGTTTCACTAAATCTTTTGCATCATCAATACTGTTGATCAAGGGCAAAGATTTATTAAATAATAAATTAATTTTAAGTAAATATTTTAACATTAATGTGCTTGTTTGTGGTATCAGTGTTTAATTCCAATTTGCTGATATGTCAGGCAGCAGTCAAAATTGTATGGTTTTTTTTTTTTTTTTTTAGTGGCTGCAATTCCTTTTTAGCATTTTGCCTCTTTCTCTAAATATTCTAAGCACAACTTGTATATACTGCTCACAGAGATACCCATAGATCAAACTCGCAAAAGTGCATTTGAACAAAGGGCTTAAACACTCAAATAATTAAATTGCAGGCTTTCCTATTGATGTAAAAGACATATTATTTTTGCTTAAACCTAATAGTCAATGGATTATGAAATTTAATACCATTAAATGTACCACCTGGAAAAAAAAGTTGATAATCTATGATGCATGCTCAGGAATAATTCTATACAGCATATATATTGGTCACAGTAACTTTTGGAAACTTTGAAATGTATTGAATATATTCCAAGTGAGTTGTCTTGTTCTTTTTTTTTTTTCTTCCCCACATGGTTTTCAGCTGATAGGCAGCCATTTTGTGCCTATCCCAGTTGGCAAATATAACACAATTTGATCTCTTTCCATTCTTAGAAACAATGAAGCCCTTTGTTTTTGCCTTTCAAGACGATAAATGGAATTGCAGTCATTCCTCCAGTGGCTAATACCTGCCAGCAGATCCTGAAAGATGTCATTGATTTCTAGATGTATCCTGATTTCAAGGTTGGTAAGTTCGGAGAAAATGTGTTTCCTAGAATAGATAAAATATATAGTATATGGTGGTAGATTCCATTCCTAAAACTGTCTAATTTGTCTACTCAAAAGAATGAACTGCCCAGCACTCCCATCCACGTATGGTTATCAATCCTAAGACTATAACGGCATTTGTGAAACATTCACCAAGAGATGGGGAAGTGGAGGCATGGGTATGATATGGAAGCTATGTCTTGATTTTCCTCTATTAAAATTTTCAATAATCAGGCCACATGGGATGGCTCAAGTCTGTAATCCCAATATTTCAGCAGGCCAAAGCAGGAGGATCACATGAGGCCAGGAGTTCAAGACCAGCCTGAGCAACATAATGAGACTCCTTTTCCATAAAAAATACAATAAAAAATTAGCTGGGTGCAGTTGTGTGAGCCTGTAATCCCAGCTACTTGGGAGGCCAAGGCGGGAGGATCACTTGAGCCCAGGAATTTGAGGCTGTAGTGAGATGTGATTGCACCACTTCCCTCTAGCCTGGGCAACAGAGCAAGACCCAGTCTCTAAAAAAAGGAAAAAAAGAAAAAAATCAATAATTAGTTATTAACATATTTCATTTACTTTCATTTTTACTAATAAATTATATATTTGTAAATAAACAAATATTTGTTCTCAGTTCAAACCAGTTGATAAAGAAGAGAAGCATATGTGAAATAAAATCAGAATCATGTAAAACAATACATTAATATTGCTTAATTTCATATATTGTGATATACGAGTATCACAAGATGATGATTATTGCCATTTTATAGGCTTCAGTTTGAAGTGCAATTTTTTTAGAACAGTTTGCAGCAGTTTCTCCTTGATCTTTTGCTTCTTTTTTTTTTTCCTTTTTGAGACAGAGTTTCACTGTTGTTGCCTAGACTGGAGTGCAATGGTACGATCTGGGCTCACTGAAACCTCAGCCTCCCAGATTCAAGCGATTCTCCTGCCTCAGCCTCCCGAGTAGCTGGGACTACAGTTCTGTGCTACCACGCCTGGCTAATTTTTGTATTTTTAGTAGAGACAAGGTGTCACCATGTTGGCCCAGCAGGTCTGAAACTTCTGACCTCAGGTGGTCTGCCCACCTTGGCCTCCCAAAGTGCTGGGATTACAGGCATGAACCACCATGCCTGGCCTAAAATTTTGAACATGCTCTTAGCAAGGGACAAATGGCCCAATAAATAAACTGAAAAATGGAATGTACAGGCATGGCTATCTAAGGGTAGCTCTTCTTTTTACCTTACATTTCATTCATAACTATTAAAATAAGGACATATTTTATAAATTACTAAACATATGCATTTATGGAAACAGCCATATACACCAAGACACCATATGAACAAATACGTAGCCTTTATACTTTTACTGCTAATATGTAACACCTCTAGATGTTTATACCTACTCACCTAATTTTTTTTTAAAAAATAACATTGTTTTTCTCATTATGTTTTTCTGATAAAAATTTTATCTCACATGGTATCCCTAAAATTTCAACTTCTTTGTTTAAAATTCAGTGCAGATTTCTTCAAAAGTGTGGCTACCCGACATAAACATCCTCTACCCAGATTCCATCTGAAGTGCTGAAAGATGAAAAGTATATGGGCTTTGGTGCTTGGCAGAACTGAGTCCTCTTTCCAGCAATGACCTTAGCTCACATACGTTTTCTATTCTGTAAAATAAAGGCAATAAAACAGGAATATTGTGCTGTTTCTCTGAGCTGATATGCTACACAGAGATCGCGGTGCATGGCTTTTTTTTTTTGAGACGGAGTCCCGCTCTGTCGCCCAGGCTGGAGTCAAATTGTCATTATAATTGTTTTGGTTATGACCTCTAAAATGATAACTATTATTTATAACTGTTATAATTAGATAACAATTTGAAAATGTTTATAATAACATTGTTAATTCAAAAAAGTGATTGTTATAGAACCATACTCTAGGTTTCCAATTAAAAAAAACTCTGCATAATGAGAAAATAGTAAATAAAATGTTCCGTAAGTGGCATATTGCTAATGAATATTTTTTAAATAAATAATATTTGTTTAATAAAATATACACAATTATAATGTCTTAAAAGAGATTGTAAAATTGTCACCAATAGTTGATGACTCATGAACAAGGTGTGGAAATTTATCAAAGTATTTATCCAAATAATGCTAAATGACCTGGATCCTGAAAACACACTCAACATAACATATTTTGAAAAAGAGCCAATATTTAATATGAATCTGCTATGACTTTGGAGGACCACTGCACAGAATTATCTCCTAGGACAGAGTACAAAATTGCTCCCCAAAATGCCAAGATTATTCGGTCACTACTCAAAAAGAATGTAAAACTTTATTCTGAGCATTTTGATTGAATAAAATACGAAAATGTGAACACTTTTATGTTTTTTCAATAAGAGAGATGCAGAAAGAAAAAGGTATTTAGTCTTGTGTCCTATCCTTTCTTTTTAGGATAGTAGATTAAATATTTGAGACGGGTAGAAGGGAGAGTCATTGTTTTAATACATTTGTTTCACAGTGACAAGATTTGTCTTGAGACTGGAAATTAGGGAGAAAATATTACTAGTGGATCTTGTAAAAGACTAAGCGTCAGCACTAAGGACAAAGGGGAATCAAAAGTAACACAGGTAACTCTAAGTGTGTTTGGTACATTACAAGGATGTTAATACCATGGATATTAATTTAGCAAGATTCTAATTTTAATTTGGGAAGAGTGGATAGTTGTGAAGATTCTACTTTTATTTTGAATATGGGTTTCAACAGATTATTAAAAAGAAGATAGATATTTCTTGGTCAGTCACACATATATTCACTTTTATATTTTTGACACAAAAATACACTGCCGACCCTTCCCATAATATATACCCAAATGTATGCAGTATCTGTGAAAAATACACCATAAATATTTAATTATGTAGGCCCTGATGCAACCCATGTAAGGAGCGAAAATCTAGGAAAATTCCCTATAACAAATTATAGAATGTTGTATTGATTGCATTATAGCCGTATAAACCTTCTCTTCCTACCAAACATCTAAGATTTAGTTCTTATTCTTATAGGTAAAGCCAGTTATTTATGTGTGTGTGTATATATATATTATGTATATATATATATGCATACAGAGAGACAAATACAGATTTTTTTGTTTATGTAAAAGTAATTTAAAATTTTCAAACAGCAGCAACTCAAATGCTCATAGGATTTACTGTGTTAGACATCAAATAAATTCGTAACTTTTCCTTGTGCTACAGAGATGTAATAGACAGCAGATCATATCATGTTAGAATGATCACATCATTCAAGAGGCAAGTAGGTGACTGAGGGTCTAACAACCTTGCCGGAAATTATATAATGAGAGTGCCATGGGGGCCAGACCTAGATCTTCTAGTTTTCAAATTAAATATCTGCTTCATATAGGCAAAAATGTTAATCCATTTGTGTGTTTTTTCCTAAAAATGAAAGTAGTATATCCCTTTGCTTTTCGTGTCGTTAAAACATAAAAATAATTTAAGATAATGCTTTGTCACCTTGGAAATCAAAAGCCTTTTAAAAGTGTTTTGTATTATGCTTACCAAAAAATGTTAAAAATGCATATGATTTCGAGAATAAATTTTAATCTTATGCTGTCTTGAAAACTACCATACCCCACAATGAATTTGAACATTATTTTAAGGAAAATAATTGTTTTATTGCAGCTTGTCAGGACCTACAAGAACTGACATTTAGCGGCACAAGGTTTAAAGTCCCTTTGTAACTATATTAAGTTCTATGGCTTAGATATTCTAGGGTATTTATGTATATCTCTCTCATTAAAGGCCATTAAATGTGGTACATTTCTTCCGTAAGATTACAATCTACTTGGAGACGAAAAAGTACACATGTAACACAAAATAAGAAGCATTACAGAGTTTTGCACATCAAAAATGGCAAAACTATAAACTCATAGAATGTCTAAATGTTGAAGTTATGGTATTTATTCCTATTTTATTGGTTTGGGGTCAGAAAATGTGTTCAATTTCAAATATGTTCAAAATATAAAACCAAGTGATTCTGTTAGCATTTTCATTTGATTCATTTGATTATCAGCTTAAGAAACAACAGTCTAAATGGTGATTCCTCATTTCACTAATCTGAATGGTTCTGCTTTGGATATTTTGATAAAAATCAACTGTTTTTTATGTTGCTTTCAAAAATTAGATTGGTAAAGATAATGAAAACAAAAATAATAATACCTGAGCATTTCTCCATTTTTTCTCAGCTAGGATGTGGAGCACATGTAACGGCAGCCTCGTCGATATCAGCTTCACGGATGCCATGTTGAGGTGGCTGCAGCTGTCATTCTGTGTCATGTCACTTTGCATGGTGCCTTATAATGGATGCTGACATGAGGTAGCAGGCTGCCCTCACACCTATGAAAGCAAACTTCAAATGAAAGCAGGTGGCTCCTTCTTTGCTGCAGTAACTAGTGTGGCAAATAAAATATTTAATAAATATTTTAATAAATAAATAAATAATACATAAATTTAATTTTTAATATATTTAATGAACAAATTTAATAAATAAAATATTTAATGAATAAATAAAATAAAATCTAATTGTGGAGAAGGATATTATATTGCTAAAATTGAACTGCATCTAGTAATTCCTGATAATAAAAGATAAATGTTATTTGTTCTAACACATGCTTTCTCTTGAATCATGTGACAAAATAGAAATCAGTCTAATTAAATTTGTTTGCTTTTTATATTGCGCTAGGTATCAAAATAGAAAATACACGACAACCAACCTCCATTGCTACCATCATTATTTAAAAATTGTTTTTCACGGTTATTATAACATTGGTGCTTTTATATTTTTGTTCAGTGACACTGAAATGAAAATGATTTAACAGCCAATTCCTGTCACTTTGGTGGAAGTGACAGTAGGTTTTTCTTTTTTGCCACTGATGAATCTGGATTTTTAAATTGTGGCAAAGAGTAGCCAATGCAGATGTTAGCAAAAGTTTTCAGAGAAAATAACTACTTCAACAGAATACAGATTGAAAAATTGCAGATAAATAAGGCCAAATGTAGCTAAACTATTCCTATATTACATTAAATTTCAGGCTAGGTCAGTGAATACCGAAAATAAAACCTAATTATTCCCAGTTGAAAAGTTCAATGTCACCATTATGATCTGACCTACTTTGGAAGCTCTTGAAGTTTCTTTGCTGCAATGATGAGCAGGTCATCTATTTTTTAAAACATTCAGCTGCTGAGTGATACATCATAGTTATGATTATAAAATTGATATTTTATATGATAAATGAAATTAATTATGAAGAAGAGGATATATAATTTAGTGAATCTCTGTTTAGTGGTAGAAGTAAATATATTTTGATGCAATCAAACTAATATTTTAAAAATATAATTAAGTAGGTCAATTAATCTAATAAATTAAATGTAACACTTCACTAGTTTAATAATTAGTTTATACAGCCTTTTAAAATGTAACTATTCGGTATAAAGTTTTATTTTTCTTAGTCCTTATAAAGATATATGTTAGTTTTCATTTTAAGTAAATAAGTTTTATATGAAAAATTAGTCTTACTTCATAGGGACATTTTTAAGTTCAAAATATAGACACAAAAATAAATGTACCAATGTAGTGCTTTGAAATTATTTTCTTGGAGGTTTCACTAAGTTGTCTCAATATGTCTTACTCTTTCTATAGCAAAAGAAATTCATATTCAAGTAGTTTTTATATGTTCTATGTGAAACTATGATGTGGACTTTGGAAAGGATATATTACTATTTTTCATGAATGAAGTAATCAAATTGGGTATATATATATATTTATACCTATATTTCTATACTTTAAAATGTTTTGAACTAGTCTGTCTAGTATGATGTCACAGAAGTTGGGGTTGGATAATGTTAGCTTAGTATTCCTTGTTTGAAACTCAATTGTGAAAGACCCGTTCATTTGCTGTTTATAGTTGAGGTTATATAATTGGCTCTGGCCAATTAAATATTCTATACTTACCTCATAAAAAGATCAGTGAGCATAAACTAACCAAGATAAATAGATGATAAGTAGCTAGCTAGCTAGATAGATAGATAGACAGAGTCCTAGTCTATTTGCGTTGCTATAAAGAATACCTGAGTCTGGGTTATTTATAAAGAACAGAGGTTTATTTGGCTCACAGTTTGCAGGTGGTATAATAAAAACAGTGCCAGTGTCTGCTTTTGGTGAGAACCTCAGGAAGCTTTCAATCATGGTGAAGGCAAAGAGGGAGCAGACATCACATGGTGAAAGAGGGAGGAAGAGACAAGAGAAGGAGGTGCCAGAGTATTTTTAACCTTCAGATTTCATGGGAACCAACAGAATGAGAATTCACTCATTACTGTGAGGATAGTAACAAGCTATTCATGAGGCATCCGCCCTCATGACCCAAACACCTCCCTCCAGGCCCCACCTCCAATTTGGGGGATCAAATTTCAACATGAGATTTAGAGGGGACAAATATCCAAGCCATATCATATAGATACACAATTTCATATACTTCCTACAGAACTACCCAGTGCTATGGTCATGCTAGTCACCATCTCCCAACAATGATTTCTGTCCTTACTTGATTCCTTAAGTACAAACTTAGTAGCCTCTTTTCATTCTTCACCTCAATAACTCTCTTCAACCCTTGAACACCTTAACCACCCCCTCTCCAATGAAATGATCATCTGTCTATTTGGTATCATCCAAATATCTCCCTTACTGTGAAATCTACGTTTGGGATGCCTGATTCACACTTAACAGACATACAGACACTTAACTTACAGACTTACAGACGCTTAACTGCCTAACAGACAGTGTCAGCTCAATCAGTCACAAGTTCATTCATTTGGTCATAAGTTCATCCAACAAACATCATTCTCCCTTAGTTACATTGGCCATTTGCCTAGAAAAACAAATACAAGACAATATCTGTCCTGTACTGAGGGAAACAAGTATGTAAACATTGAATCTAATGAATTTGAAGAATACAATCAGGGAATGTAAAAGTCACTTGTAAATTTGACCTTGAGGGTGGAGGCTCAGGAAAAAGACAAAAATAACTTCAAAGAGAGGATGATTGTGTTGGGCTGAGTCTTAATAAATAAATGCTCACCCTCCCTGAGGTGAGTACTTTTCTTGCTGAAGAAGTGAGTGTGCTCAAGGAGGTGTGAAGTAAGCAAGATGTTGTTTTGAGAGAAGTAGGCATTTCATTTAGGCATACCTAAAGGAAAGTCAGAATGGAGCCAGCCAATGCCCAGAGAAATCTGGGAACGAAGAGGAAGAAGAGTCATATTTTAGAGGCTCTGTTGAGAAATATTAAACAGCTCAATCTGACTCAGAGAAGAATGGAAAGATTACCAATGCTTTTTTCTGGGAAGCATGATGTCCACGTGTTCATTTTATAAAGGCAATTCTTCAGAATATTCCTGTATATTCTACAGGAACTGTATCTGTCCAAAATATATTTCCTTTCCAACTTTGTTTTTCCTAATTTCTTTCAGCATGTTTTTTTGTCTGGGCAGCCTCAGTGGAAACCCAGTTGTCTTTGAGACTAGCCTAGATTTCTCCTTCAACTATCTACGTTAGTTGTCATAGAAAGTCAACTCTACCCTCAAATTTCTCTTTAATCCACTCCTTCCTCTCTATCCCCAGTGAAAATTTCCTATCTTAGCTTGTAAGAATCCCTTACTTAAAAGATTGCACGATTTTTTTTTCTAACTTTACTCATGTCTTAATCCCTTCTAGTTTATCACCTTCCCTGTCACCAAGGTTGCTGTTTTAAATTAATTTTATCACAACACTCTCCTGTTGGCTTATTACTGGACAAAATCCAAACTCATCAGCATGAGTTTGTCAAGATTTGTTTCTCTCTCGGACCTCAAAATTCTGGTTCTTAAACCACAGTTCTGGCCTTGCTAAAAAATGTTCTGGAGTACTATCAGGTGAAAATAAAATTCAACACTTACATGTGCCTGTTTACTCTATGCAAGCATTTGGTATTTGCTATTATGATTACCAAAAGCTATAGATGTTGATGAAACCAAGAGAGGAAATTAAATAGATCAAACATAAAGCTATAATTAATGAACTGGAAAATAGATTAAAGACACATCGACAGAACTGAGTTGTCTGAAACATGTATGAAAATACAGGGTGCACATACAAAAATTACAAACCCCAGAATATAACATATAGAGTGATCGATAGTGATATGGTTTGGCTCTGTGTCCCCACCCAAATCTCATCTGGTAGTTCCCATAATTTCCACCTGTTGCAGGAAGGACCCAGTGGGAGATGATTGAATCATTGGGGCAGATCTTTCCCATGCTGTTCTTGTGATAGTAAATGGGTCTCAGGAGATCTGATGGTTTGAGAAAGGGGAGTTTCTCTGCAGAAGCTCTCTTTTTGCCTGCCACCATCCACGTAAGATGTGACTTGCCCCGCATTGTCTTCTGCCATGATTGTGAGGCCTCCCCAGCCATGTGGAACTGTAAGTCCAATTAAACCTCTTTTATTTATTTATTTATTTGTTTTGTAAATTGCCCAGTCTCCGGTGTTTCTTTATACGCAGCGTGAAAATGGAGTAATACAGATAACACAAGAATTCTTTAAAATTTCTTGACCACAGGCAGTTTTGACAGGAAATGAGCCTTGCAGTATGGTAAGTCACATCTAAATTTCACCTGTATTACCTTATCATCAGTTCATCTTCTCCTTTTTCATGGATAAGCAATATTTAAGGCTGAGTTTCTTCAACTGATGTCAATGAAAAATAATCCATTATCTGTAAATAGTACAGTACTTCTATTTCAGCATATTAGTTTAACTAACAATGAAAAGAGTAGCTCTTGATTTCTGCACAAGGAAAAGTCAAACAGATTATATGCTGAAGATCTAATGACAATTTCATTTGTCTTGATTTTGAGCCTTTGCCTGCTAATTCCATTTGAATTTCCACTCACCTGTATCTACTGAAGTTTTGCTTTGCCAGCTGAAGTGAGAACTGAGAAGCAGCTTTTCCTTAGCACACGTAAGACCTTTAATAGGGAGCAAACACATTATTATCATGTCTCAGTCATTCCAATTTGATTTTCTCAACCACATCTAAGCACTTGGCACTGGACTGCTCTCTGTCCTTGGTACATACGGTCTATTTTTGGAACCAAATCGAATTTAGCTATTTCTAAGTGCTGATCAACAAACCAGTGTCTTTGCATAATGACATTGTATTTGTCCATGTCAAATGAAAAGAAAGAAAAGTTGACTTAGTACAATTTTTCCTAAAGCTAAATGTATTTATTGTTAAGGACTTTAAAGGCTGAGATTATTTCCTTTCTAATTTTTTGTACTGAAATGCCTTTCCTTCCATAAAAAAGGAATAATGAAAAATTTTACTTTGGGTTGGTAGAATCTAGGTTTTTTGGTTGTTTGTTTGTTTGTTTTTGTTTTTAGAATCTTGTTTGAAAAAAGTAAATGTTGCCAACCCAGCTACTCCTCTCCCATTGATTTTGAGTTGTACCATTCTGTGAAATATTTAAGAATTCTTTTAGTATCCATTAACAATGATCCTGATCCTATCATTTACAATAAGCATTTGAGGGCCTTTGCCAAGTTTCTTTTCTTCAGAACAAATAGGACACCATTCCTTTACCTTTAACTTACAGCCCTTTTAAGTGACTTTCCTTGGGCTTGGCATTCACAGGTGCTCTTTCTTTCTCTTACTCAAGGTATCAGAAGCTTTGATTCTAGTTCCACTAACTCATTTTTAATAGGTTGTGCTACAGTAAATACATCAAGAAAATATGTATACGTTATTGTACATACATAAAAATGTGCATTATATGGGTGATCAAATCATGTGTTAATTATTGTCTATTAGTAAGTTTAAATTCCTGTGCTATGGCTCATTGTCATCAAGACTATATTCTTGATGTTAATCATCCCTAAAAGGAGTGGATGGTGATTGGCTAAAGCAATCAGTTCCTTTCACTTGAGGGATTTGAATATAATATTTGCTTAATTAAATATATCTGTGCTTAGAGTGCTCCAAAAATGTCACAATCTGATGGGTAAGACAAATAAGTAGCATAATAAATATGGAAAATGTCATAATGGGCAATATATACACATGGAAGGACAGAGCAGAGAGAGTCAGATATGGCCCATCATCAGTACTGGGAAATCTATGAACATGTATTTATTACTAATGAGGGACAAGTTTCCATCTTGGTTCAAATCAAACTGCTTAAATTTGATCAAATTAAGTACATGTTTTTGTACAATAAATTCTGAATTTAAGATAAGGACTAGGTAAACTTAATTGAGGTTAAGTTATTCTTTTTTTTTTTTTTTTTTTTTTGAGTTGGAGTCTTGCTGTTGTCTTCCAGGCTGGAGTGCAATGGTGTGATTTCAGCTCACTGCAACCCCTGCCTCCCAGGTTCCAGCAATTCTCCTGCCTCAGCTTCCTGAGTAGCTGAGATTACAGTTGCGCACCACCACGCCCGACTAATTTTTATAATTTGAGTGGAGATGGGGTTTCACCATGTTGGCCAGGCTGGTCTCAAACTCCTGACCTCAGGTGATCCACCTGCCTTGGCCTCCGAAAGTGCTGGGATAACAGGAGTGAGCCACTCCACCTGCCTATTCTTAATATACAATAGAATTAAGAAAGATGGAAAAAGATCAAGTAACTGAGACTAGTCTTTCATTCATCTGTTGGGAGTCTAGGATTGTGGAGTTCAGTTAACTTGTTGCACCCTCAGCCTCAGGCATGTATCATTCCTTTCTACTTGTTCGTAATCATGGCACCTCAACCACTCTCTATCTTTGACTCTACTGCCACTCAATATTATTTCTTAGCTGACTCTTCTTATGTCTTGAGTTAAAACTTCCCAAGAGAAATCTAGTTGGCACATTCATTAACCAGGTAAAATAGAAAGCTACCTGTAGTCAGATGTCCAACACCGATCCAATCTGTTGTGGCAAGAATGATGAATCATTGTTATAGAAATGGGCAGGGAACTCTTCAGAGTCAGCTCTCTCAGTCTGACAGGCACCCTAAGGGGGATAGTATAACTGAAGGGGAAGAAATAAAGTTTAAGTATGTCCCAGAACTGTATGTGCTCGACAGAATCTGCTTGCTTTTCCTGCTGAGCACACAGCCAGACTACACTTCTCACACATACTTAACACTAGATGTGGCCATGGTGCTTAAGATCTGGCCAATATAACGTGCCAGAGCTTTTTCTATTCTATGTGAATGCTTACAAAACCTGACCTGCGAAACCTGACCTGCAAACATCATAGTATTTTTTCTCATCTTCTGACTGAATGAACAGGACTTGAAAAACCTAGAGATGAAAGAAATTACAAAACTCAAAGTGCATGATTCTCTAAGTTATCAAGTGGAAGTTTGTGTGCTTGGATTCTGTCATTAATAAGTAACAAAGTTCTTATCATGTTAAAAGAAAGTTGACATTAAGGCATTATTTATTATAGTGATTAGCTTATGTTTATTAATACTTAAATAATTTAGCTTACCTAGGACAGAGTCATCACACCTTATAATAAAGTAATTATTTAGATCAAAATGTTAATCTTTAAGAAATTATACTTATTTGGTCTTACACATTCTTCCAACAAAGGTCTCATTCCAAATGTGTGTCGTGTGATATCATGCATATCATAAATACTATTTTTCCTCTAAAAACAAGCTACAGTGACCTTTAGCAAACTGAGAGACAAATCAGGTCTGTGACCTGCTTTTGTGCATCTGGTGAGCTAATTTTTTTAAATCATTTTTAAAGATTGTGAGAAAAAATAAAAATATAAGACCATATATGTCCTGAAAAACCTAAAATTTGTACAAAATATGTACTATCCTGGTCTTTCATGCACAAAATATTTACCAACTCCAAAGCTAGAGCAATAATTTTGTTACCAAATCTGGTGAAATCAATAGCTAGCTTCATTTAATTAAGAGATCCATTTTGATAAACATAATGGTAGCTTTAAAGATGTCTGAGAGACCCCAGTAGTGTATTTAACAGTTATGCAAGAAATAATATCCCGGTTATTTCAGGAAAAATCATTTTTACAAAATTCTAATTTCACAAGAGTTAATATTGTTATCAAGAAAAGTCTTGAGTGTCTTTTCAGCCATACTATTAATGAATATGATGTGAATAAACTGATATTTCCATGATGTATATTTCAAAATATCAATGATGTTAGCATCATATTCACACAATTTGGAAAAAAACACACTACATGAAAGATATACTTTTACATTTGTTCATGGGAAGAAATCCATTTGTGCCATCAGAAACAGAAACTAAATAATTGTACATTTTCCAACCCTAATGGCAATGTAATTGATGACGACAGATACACAGAACTAAGATACGTAAGAATAGATATATATATATATATACACATATACATATATATATATAATTAGATGGTTAATGTTTAATCAGTAGAAGTATCTTCAAAATTCAAGTATCAGACATGCATGGAGTTCCTTGTAACACAAAGATTCCAATTCAGAGTTCAAAAATACTGAAATGAGGAACAGGATGGAGAGTTTGTTGTTTTTGTTTAGGGTTTCCCCCCATTCTCTGTGGATTAGCTAAATATTGGTATTATTATTTGACATGAATGAGGGCTTTGGAGGAAGGATAAGCAGATAAGAAAGGTGGGGTGTTATCCACGTCCTAAATGTTTAACTGAGTAGCAGATTTTACAAAGTCTGTGATCATTTGGACAGATTGAAGACATCTCATAGAATAAACTTATGACACTGCATTAAGCAGTCACCAGATATTAGCTCCAGGTAGTCTAATAAATTTTCCCCTTTTAAAAGGCATATTTTAAAATTTATTTTCTATTTTTTTAACTTTTATTTGGAATCCAGAGTGTGCATGTGCACGTTTGTTACATGGCAGTATTGAGTGATGCTGTAGTTTGGGGTACGGATGATCCCGTTCCCCAGGTCATGAGCATAAAACTCATTAGGTAGTTTTTCAGCCTAGGCCTCCTCCTTCTCTCCCCTCTCTAACAGTTCCCAGTGTCTATGGATGCCATTTTTATGTCCATGTGTACTCATAGTTTAGCTCCCACTTATAAGTGGGACCATACAGTTTTCAGTTTTCTGTTCTTGTGTCAATTTGCTTAGGATAATGGTCTCCAGCTCCATCCATGTTACTGCATAGGACATGATTTCATTCCTTTTTGGCCACATGGTATTCCATGGTGTCAGTATATCATGTTCTCTTTATCTAATTCACGATGGATACACACCTAGGTAGATTCCATGTCTTTGCTATAAATAATAATTTTTTAAAAGCTTAAAATTTATTTAGAAGGAATTTGAAGGAAATAATTTCATACGATACATATTGCTTTTAATTTTAAAAATCATTTATTATTCTCTATCACTATATATGTATGTGTGTGTGTGTGTATATATATATATGATACATTTTAGTTCCAAATCAGAACACATTCCTTTACTGATTTATTTACACTAATAAAAATAGGCGATGATTAAAATAATGGCAAGCTTTTCTATAATTTTACTTCTTAGTTGTTATTTTCTTGTCAGTTTTCACGGCTGATTTTTTCCCCTGAAATAGACAATTTGTTATGAGACACAAAGCACTTAAAATTTCTATTTAAATACAATTTATTCTGAGTAAATAGCATTAGACTCTGTATTATTCTGAAACAGAATGTTAGCCCGTCGAAACCATATTATGCATATAACAAAAGATTACATTGATATAAATATGTACACATGAGAACATGTATTTCAGAGAGATTTATATTTTATCAATGTGTTGGTGTGATGTTTCAGGACTCCTTAAGTATTGGCAGGCTGCTTTCATACCTCTTGTAATGCTCTATGACCCTGGTTTTGCAGATAGAAGGAGAAGTTTTCATTGAAAATAGGAATGGGTATTGTAAAATGCTACAAATTGACAAGATTTTTGTTTCTTCTATTTCTTATAAAAAGCATTATATGCAAAGCCACTTTTTTGAAGCTAGAATAAGAAAACAACTCCATGGCCTAGTTCCCATGATTTCACAGACAGAGTGGGATTAGTAAAATATTTTAAGATTCTGTAAACCAGCCACAGAACAATGAAGGACAGCATTATTAAAAATAAGTCTCTGGAAAAGGCCTCAAGAGAATTGATATGCCAGAAGTTTACAAATAGAAAATTAGCTTGTCAAGTTTTCAAATGGCCAAGTAGATGTTCACAGTTACGCTTAATTGACTAAGGATGTTCAAGGGGAGGACTTTTTAGATTATACTTAAATGGACATTTTACAGTGGTCTCAGGGTATAGGAAAGAAGAACCACAAGATAGAATTTTCTGTTAAACATAATTAGATATTAATTACATGGAACCCAATGAGTAACACATTTCAGATGATGCTTATTAATTCTTTTAGATCCTTTAGGTTTGTTCACCTAGTTAGCTACAATTTCAGTCTTACACTTCTCTTCACAACCCAGATTTAACCCTGTTATGCTCATATTTATAAGAGTTCTTTGCCACCTACATGACCAAAACAATAGATATTTTCAAGTATAATGTTTCCCAACTTCCTATAGTTCCAAAAGGTCCCATGATCCTTGTTTATCTTTTTCTACTTCCTCTTGGTCTCAGAGTAAGAGACGCTCCTCTTTCTGTCTATAAAATGCCCTAATATCTGCTTTTGATCTAATGTTTTCCCAACTTTTCTTATGAAGGAAGGAATAATGAAGGAAGGAAAGATGGAAGGAGGAGAGAGGGATAGAAGAGGGTGGGAATGGGGGTATGGAGAAGGGAGAGAGAGGGAGGGATAAGGACACCACTCTCTTTTGGATATTTTTTTCTGAAGATTTACTTCTCATCTTATTCTCAGTTTATCATCTAATAGATGATGTCTCTATATTCTCATAACCTATTCTATCCACAGTCAACTAAAATATTGCTCACACCAAAGGATACTATTAATGCTTGCCCATAAAATATTTTCAAGTCTTATGTATGCGTATTCTATGAAACATTTAATAAGTTGATTGTGTGCTAGCACACAAGATTTTTGTGTCAAATCATGGCCAATGGAATCAGCGATTTTACTGATTGTTAAGTTTGATTAATAATCCCAATGCTCATCTGAAGAAGAGAGATCTGGGATACCAAGGGTACCTCCTCAGGTCCTGTCTTCTGTACTAGATATGCACCTCTGGTTCAGGATAACAGATGAGGTTGCTGATGAGATCTATGATTACCTAACACAGCAGGATTATTTAAATTATGAACATCTCTATTTTATACCCAGTTAAGAGTTGTATAGTTTGTGTAACATTCTCTGGGAAGCTGTTTCATATAAATTTTGAATTCTAATTCTTGTAGGTATTTCTTAGCCAGGAACACCTTGCTTAGAATATTTCAGAGATAAGTCCTTTTCCTGGTGAAGAGATTATACCAGGACACCTGCCAATCTGCCCTTTTCTTCCTTGGAAATTGAGTTCCTGATGAAAGGAATGAAAGGGTCATAGGCCAACTGCTTTACTCATTCTTCTAATCTGTTTTCCTTTGTCTCTTTCTTTGTTTCTACAGCATGTCTTTTCTATTTTTTCTTCTATCATTTGGCTATATCTCCAATATCTTTTGTCAGAATTTTTCCTTACCATTTCTTTGCTTCTCATTTCTTTCTTTCTTCTTTCTTTTTTTCTTTTCTTTTTTTTTTTTTTTTTTTGAGACAGAGTCTTGCTCTGTCCCCCAGGCTGGAGTGTAGTGGCGCGATCCCGGCTCACTGCAAGCTCTGCTTCCCGGGTTCACGCCATTCTCCTGCCTCAGCCTCACCAGTAGGTGGGACTACAGGCACCCGCCACTGTGCCCGGCTAATTTTTTGTATTTTTAGTAGAAACGGGATCTCACCGTGTTAGCCAGGATAGGCTCGATCTCCTGACCTCGTGATCCGCCCGCCTAGGCCTCCCAAAGTGCTGGGATTACAGGCGAAAGTCACCCCACCTGGCCTTCTTTACCATTTCTTAAATGTTATTCCATAGGATTCTGTTTTCAGGGTCCCTTCTGTTATTTTCTCTCCTTACACTACATTTTTATAGGTGATATTTACTTTTTTTAATGCTGTTAACTATTACCCTGTACTGTGAGTCAAAATGTATTTTTCTAAACTGTATAGAGAGTTCCTGATCCGCATATAAAAGTAAGAGCTAAACAACTCTATTTAGATATATTAACAGCATCACGAGAGCAACACATTTTAGATGAAAAAGATGGTCTTCCTTCCATTCCCTGATCTGAGCTTTATCAATTTACCATCATTATCAATAACAATGAGAAGATAATAGGCTGTTTTCTAATATGATTATCAATGTCAACTAGTATTCAATGATAAACATTGTTAAGCATAACTTATCTATTGCTTTCTTTTGCCATTTATAATTATCTCTTTTACTATCTCCATAGAATTTAAAGATAGTTATTATTACTTTAATTTTATATAATTTAATATCTCCATGGAATTTAAAGATAGTCATTATTTCAATTTTGTAGAAATAATGTAGAAATTGAGACTCAGACAGTTTAAATGATTTATGCAAAGCCTGTCAAAAAATGGCAGAACAAGAACTTGAACAGAGCTAACTCCAAAGATACATACATTCATGTCTTGCCAACAGAACTACCTACTGATCTGCTCTATATACAACGCGGAGATATTGAGCAGGAAATTGCTAAGGTATCAGCAGCCTAGGTCCCTGAGCTTCGTACATGTTGGTGTGTTTTTGAAAGATTTGGGTGAGCTTCAAGGAAGTAGAGGGTATAAATGCTAACAACGTGTCTTATGGCCTGGGGAGAGGAATAAGCAGGATTAGTGACCACCCTCAACTGAATATGTTAGGTCGAGTTCAAGCTAAGAATTTTTTAGCTTCTCAAACAAAGCAACATGAAATTCCAATGAGTTAAATAAGATTGAAGTTTATTACTCTCCTAGGTCCATCTCTGAGTGTTCAGGATGCTGGAATTTCTCTGCCATTTCTCAACATAATGATTTCAATCTTTGTGTTCATATTAGTAACCCCAGTTTTTGCTGTGTCCCAGCTAACAGGGATGGGGGAAAGTGAAGTGCGGGAAACTTCCTTTTTAAGAATACAAACAAGTGCCCATATTACTTCTACTCACATCTCATCTCTGCAAACTTAATCACTGTTGTTCACTGAAAGGAAAAGGGAGATAATGTATGCTGGGGACAATTATTGTCTCTGCCACACTTTGAATGTATCCCTGAGAGGACATTCAAGAGGTATTAAACAACCTAGAAACACAAACTGACTTGTTCAGACACAGTGACAGGTCCAGACATATGAGCAATTCAAACAACATGTATCTCTCGGGCAAACTTACATTTCAGACTTTATGCTGAAGAAAGTTACCCAGTGAGAACAGCCTGGAAACACTCCCTCTCCCACTCTGCAACCCACAAGCAGTTGTGATTCCATACTTACTCTTTATTGCACACGAATGTTCTGGTCATCCTCACTCACTAATTAAGTGATCACATAATACACGATATTATATACAATGTATATAAAAGAAATACTAATAATGCCGAACGAATTGATCATTCTAGGTGCAATTTATTTTATGTATCTGGGCATGATCCAAATATGATATATATATATATAAACATCTAGACATGTTGTACAAACCATGATTGTTATTTGAAAGATGTTGAAAATCACAGCTAATCAGGTATTTTGAGGCTACTTACAAGAATTTTATGTTTTTCTGACCACTTGTTTATTTAACAAATTTCCATCAATCTTGTATTCATGTTCTATTGCTGCATAAGAAGTTGCTGCAAACCTACCTTAAACTTAGCTTTGAACATCACACATTTAGTGTCTTACAGATTTCAAGGTTCATGTGTCAGTCTTGGCTTAATTGGGTCATATGCTCAGTGCTTCACAAGGCTGTAATCAAGGTGAAGGTCAGAGGGAATTTGCTTTTGGAAGATTGACTGGTAAAGAATCAGCTTCCAAGCTTATTTGGGATGTTGGCAGAATTTATTTCATGAAGTTGTGTGACTGAGATCCTTTTCCTTGCTGGCTGTTGGCTGATGCTCTTAGCTCTTAGAAGCTGCCCCCAGGCTTTAGCCAGTGACTTACTTCACATGCCCCTTCAGCATGAGGTGGCTTACTTATTCAAGGCCAGCAGGAAAATCTCTCCTTCTCAAGTAGGCTCACATGGAATCTCATACAATATAATGAAATCTGTGGGTAACTATCCCATTACCTTGGCCATATAAAATAATCAAAAGAATACCCCATTACCTGTGTTACACTCTGTTAAATAGGAATGAATCATAGGTGCTACCCTGCTACCAACTCTTAAAAAGAGAGGCTTACACCAGAGTGTGGATTATTTTGGGTATTTCAAAATTCTACCTTCCCCACATATTAACAAGTTATTTTATATATATATATATATATATATATATATATATACACACACACACACACACACGTATATGCGTGTGTGTGTGCATATCTCCAACATAATACAGTGCATGAAATTGATTATAATAATTTTGTAAACATGTGGGAATATTACAAAATTGACTTTGTAAGAGAATCTGATTATATACACTTACACCTATATTGAATTATATGTATATGTTCATGTATATATGTGTATTAGGGTTCTCTAGAAGGACGGAATGAATGGAATACATATATATATATATATATAATGTTAACTCACATGATTACAAGCACCCATGATAGGTCTTCTGGAGGCTGAGGAGCAAATAGAGCCGGTCCGAGTTCCAAAACTGAAGAAATTGGAGTCCAGTGTTCCAGGCCAGGAAGCATCCAGCATGGGAGAAAGATGTAGGCTGGGAGGCTAGGCCAGTCTCTCTTTTGACATTTTTCTGCCTGCTTATATTCTAGCCTCAATGGCAGCTGATTAGATGGTGCCCACACAGATTAAGGGTGGGTCTGCCTTTCCCAGCCCACTGACTCAAAGGTTAATCTCCTTTGGCAACACCCTCACAGACACACTCAGGATTAATACTTTGTATCCTTCAATCCAGTCAAATTGACACTTAGTATTAACCATCAGAAGTCCACCCCTTGTCAACTTGAATCCATACACATCTCCTAAGATCATATAGAATCTTCAAATGAAGACAATAATAAGGTCATAATTACACCTAACATAATACAGCTATCCTTCCAACAACCAGAAACGCACCAATCCCCAACCCAAATATTATTACATATAGTTAACAATACTTACGTGTTGATGTGAAGTCAATAAATCTTATATCACATGAGAAAGGAGAAAGGAAATAAAATGAAGATATTTTTTAGTACAATTATATACATGCAGAAACTTTTTTTTTTTTTTACAAAAGAAGGTGGAAATACTAATGACAATTAGAATCCTCCTTTCTGCAGCTGGTCACGTGGTCATAGCTGGTATTGATGACCACCTTGATGATACCCATTCTGTATCCTCTTTGCCTTCAGAAAGCACTTCAGCAGGCCATGGTTTTATTTCCTGGTGGAGTGACCCACACCTTCATTCCTGAAGGGTCTGGGCCATTTGTAGTCCTGGCTGAATTGGGCTGTTGTAGTTTCCCATTGCCTTAATCACAGGTCACGGTAATTCTAAGTGATGTCCTAAGGGATCTCCTGTATTCCATGCATACTCTTCCTTACCTCCATTGTGGAGTAGCAGACTGATTTCATCGTGATAGTCCGGGTCAGTCATCCCAGCCAACACCGTAACTCCCTTCTTAGCCTGTTGACTTAAAGATAAGAGGAGCCCAAAGTGTCCAGGTGGCAATCTTAACTTCCAGTTTAATGGAATTGTTGTTGTGTCTCCTGGTGGCAGCATTCTTCCCGCTGTAACTAAGACCTCTAGGCCAGCAGAATGTAATGTTGCGGGAACAGGAAGCAAAAATTTGGCTAGTGGATCACTGGGGGTGATGGTGAGTGGTGCCACCTCCGCTGTATGGATGTGCATATACATGCGTAAATAGATTTATTAACATGAATATATATATATATATATATATCATGAGAAAGATTATTGAACTAATTTATTTTCTAACTTGAAAGAGTGAAATTATTTATTGTGATTATAGTGAAATACATAAATGTATTCATATTGTGATAGTAACTCAATACATTAGAACAATATTTATTCCTCTGTGAAAGCTGATAAATTAGAAAATATGATGAATGTTGTTAGAAGTCTAATTCTTAATGACATAACCTATGAATAAAAAACAACCCCAAATAAATACAAAATGCAAATAGAAATTGTATGAGGGAGTTTGGAGGAAAAACAATAAAATAATTTTTAAGTTCACATGACATTTTTTCATGAAGTAGGTTCTACGAATGACCCTCCTGTTATAATATGGCACATGTAATTTAATCATGGATAAGCTAAAACACAAACTTGTTTCAAAAATAAAAGACAAATTTGAACATAGTACAATATCTTATTAAATAAGTTAAATTTGTAGTTAAAAAAATAAAAACTTCCCACAAATAAATTTTACTCCCATATGGTTTCACTAGTGAAATCTACCAAACATTTAATGAAAAACAACCAATTCTATAAAAAATCTCAGAATATTGAAATATAAGAATACTTGCCAAATCATTTTCTGAATATATTATTTTGATATCAAAATTTTAAAAATATGAGAATTATGAATGAGGAAAATGGAAATATATATATATATACACACACACTAAGAAAACTTCAGATCAATATTTCTCATAAACATGGATAAAAAATCCTAAGCAACATTTTATCAACTTGAATGGAATAATATATAAAAAGGATATTACATCATGAACAAGTGGATTTTATGTTCAATATGCACAGATATTCTTGTTTTGACTTAACAGTCAAAATTCAATCAATGTAATTCACCATGTTAAACTAAAAAAGAAAAGCTGAATTAATCAACTCGATTTAATATATAGAGAAAAATCAAAATCCATTCCCTAGAAATATGCTGAGCAAAATAGATATATGAGAAAACTTCCATAACCTTAACCTGACAAAGGGCACGTACCACTAAAAAATAATTAAAAAAAAGAGCCTAGAACTAACCATTACCCTTAAATGTGAGAGACTAAAAGATTTCCTCCAAGATCAGGAAAAAGGCAAGAATGTCTACTTTTACCTACATTATTCATCATTGTGTTGGAAGTTCTAGCCAGTGCCACCAGGCAAGAAAAATAAATAAAATGTTTACAAATTGGAAAAGAACAAAATCAGAGTACCTTTATTCACACATAGATAATTATCTATGCAGAAAATGTGATTAAATCTGCAAAAAATTACTAGGACTAATGATTGAGTTCAGCATGGTAGCAGGATACAAGATCAATAACCACAATCAATTGTGTGACTTTATACTTGTAATGAGCAATGGGAAATTGAAATGGTAAAAAGTCCTATTACCACAAGACAGTTTATGTTCCCAACAACCAATTGTTCCTCCAGAATCATCACTTAAAAAAAAAATCTGGCTGCCCCTTGATTTCAGCCTCGTGTGACCTTAGATAGAACCCACCACCAGACTTCATTTGAGATCCAGTTGAGTCAACCTGCACTTTTCACCTAGGCAACAATGAAATGATACATACATGGTGATTCTGTTATTTATTTATGTATTTATTTTTATTTTTTTATTTATTTGAGACAGGGTCTCACTCTGTCACCCATGCTGAAGTGCACTGGCACAATCATGGGTCAATGTAGCCTGAAAATCCTGGGCTCAAGGAATCCTCCCACTTCAACCTTCTAAGTAGCTGGAACCATAGGCACATACCACCATGCCCAGCTAATTTTTATATTTTTTGTAGAGACAGGGTCTCACTATATTGTCTGGGCTGGTATTGAAGTTGTTTTAAGACAGAAAATTTGTGGTATTTTTATGGCAGCAATAGACGACTAATACATCCTATATTTGTTTTTATTTAAGTGGACTTTTGGGTCTTTTTAAATTTTAAGTTCTGGGGTACATGTGCAGGACATTCAGGTTTGTTACATAGGTAAATATGTGTCATGTTGGTTTGCTGCACCTGTCAACCCATCTCCTAGGTATTAAGCCCAGCATGAATTAGCTATTTTTCCTAATGGTCTTCCTCCCCCTACCCCACCACCTGACAGGCCCCAGTGTGTGTTGGTCCCCTCCCTGAGTTCATGTGTTCTCACTGTTAAGCTCCCACTTATAAGTGAGAACATGCATTGTTTGGTTTTCTGTTCCTGCATTAGTTTGCTGAGGATAATGGCTTCCAGATCCATCCGTGTCTCTGCAAAGGACATGATCTCATTCCTTTTTATGGCTGCATAGTATTCCATTGTGTGTGTGTACCACATTTTCTTTATCCAGTCTATCATTGATGGGCATTTCGGTTGATTCCATGTCTTTGCTATTGTGAATAGTGCTGCAATGAACATACTCATGCATGCTTCTTTGTAATAGAATTATTTATAATCTTTGGGTATATACCCAGTAATGGGATTGCTGGGTCAAATGGTATTTCTGGCTCTAGATCTTTGAGGAATTGCTACACTGTCTTCCACAGTGGTTGAACTAATTTACACTCCCATCAACAGAGTAAAAGTGTTTCTATTTCTTCACAACCTCACCAGCATCTGTGATTTCTTGACTTTTTAGTAACTGCCATTCTGACTGGTGTGAGATGGTAACTCATTGTGGTTTTGACTTGCATTTCTCTAAAGATCAGTGAACACATTCTATATTTGATAAAGGACTTGTGTCCAGAAGAATACTTAAAATACTACTAAGAAAACAAATGACCCAGTAAAATATGGGGAAAATATTTGAATGTATATTTTACCAAAGAGATGTTGATAGAAAACAAGCACATGAAAAGATACTCACGATTACTAGTTCTTAGGGATATATGGATAAAGCCAGATGAGACACTATGACACAACCATTAAAATATCCAATATTAAACAGATTGACCGTATCAAGCATTTGCAAGAAAGTGGAGGAACTGCATTTTGTACACTGATTGCAGGGATATAAAGGATAAAACCACTTGGAAAAGAGCTTCATAGTTCTTAATAAGTAAGTCATACATTGACAATATGATGCAACCATGCCACTCCTAGCTCTTTCCATGAGAAAATTGAAAGCATGTTTCCATACAAAGACTTGTACACAAATATTCATCACAGATTTATTTCTAATACCTAAAGTCTGGAAATAATCCAAATGTTCACAAACACATGAAAAGATTAACAAACTGTTATGACAGTAATAGAAAACTAAAAAACTATAATGAACAGGACTTGCATCCAGAATATACAGGCTATTAAAAGGATAATGAAAGCATAAATTAAATGAAGTGAGAGTATAGACAAACCATATATAATTAGATAAGATACAAATATAGATATAGATAAAAATAAGCTGGAATGCATTACTGGAGAGCAAGGGGATCAAAATTATAAATCACTGTTGAGTCATGGAGTGTCAAATGACAACATTTAAGGTATTTCTTATAAGATTTTCAGAAGAAGACAAAATAAAAATTTAGAGAGGAGCTGATGAAAGAAAGAAATCCACAGATCCAGGAGGCAAGATAAATAGCAAACAACATTAGTAACAAAAGTAATAAAATTAGTTACTTTTTTAGATTTCAGAACTATTAGATATCTTTGCTTTCATAAATGGAGTGTTTTTGATTGTGTTATTATGCTTCCTTATTTATATATGGTACAGAGAACACCTACATATAGAAAGAGACAAATAGAAATCAAGCATGTTTATAAATAGAAATTAGTATCGGTCAAGATCGATCTTAAGATCAAATGTGAGTCAAATATCCCTGACTTTCTACTGCACATTTTCCTTTCATTTTACAGTACTACAAGGCACATAGTCTACTGAAACAATATTTCTATGAAAAATTAATGAATGAACTAAACTCTAAGTAGAAATAAAAATGTATTGGCCAAACAGATAACTTAGAAAGAACGCAAAACAATAAAATAAATTCTCTATAAGATATATTTAATCTCTGCCTGCCTCTGTCATATTCACATTCTATTCGACCAATATAATGTTGGGGCTCTTTCACATCAGTGAGGGTTGTCTGTCTGTGTCTGGTACACAGTAGGCAGATGTGATTTCATACTTCGCCTGGGTACTATAGACCTAATTCTTACTATTTATGGCTAGTCCCTAGGAAGACTTTATGTTCTGACTCCTTGTTGCTATATTCTAGACTCACTCAAAAATGTATGGATGGACAAAGACAGAGATGTGTGGATGTGTGTCTCTGGGGAAGTTCCATGGGCAAAACTGTTTCAAGGAACTGCTGTGACTCTGATCTGTTTACTACCTCTCTTGTGGCAGAAATGGCAGACATTTAAAATTTCCACTTGCACATTTTTTCAAATTAAGGCTTCAGAGAAATGTGTAGTTGTGTGTGTGTGTGTGTGTGGTGTTATCATGGTGTGTATCTCCCCATTGTTTAATAGAAACACTAAGATACTAAGTATGCACAATTTTGGGAAATACAAGGATGTCATCAGAATTTTGCAGATTACTATTAGTTTCTGTTTTCTTCTTGAATAGTACACATTATCTCAGGATACAATGTAAAAGTTTGCCCTATGAAGTTCCAGAAAAAAATAGTGAGGTTTATCAAATCCATCTGTTCCCATGAGAAGGAAACATTACACATGGCCAATATTTTCTAGCTCCAAAGAACACTTTACCAGTTCTTTAGCTCTCATTGCAGTTGACTTTTTAAAAATTAATCAGTCTTCATAAGTTAGTGTTTCCCTTCCCTTGATTTTCTCATCCTTTTAGAATTTATGTTTCAATATGTGTTATTTTTATATGAATTTAACAGAGAAAAGAAACAACAATAATGAGAAAGATGGAAGAGGAACAACAGCATAAGAAGGAGGGGAGGCAGGAAGGAGGGCAGAGAAGAAAAAGAGGAAGAAGAGCAAGAAAAATGAATGACGAACGAATTTACAGGAAGAGACAACTTAGAGAGTAGAGACATTGTTGGGATTTTCAAATTAATCCAGAATCTTAAATCAGGCTGGAATGTTAGGCACAGACACACAGAGAGTTGGGTTTTTAGCGGTTCCGATTCTTTGGTTTCTTTATTATATCATCATTTGCAGTATTTTCTGAGAGCAGTAGATTTTCTCTTCCAGTCTCATCTTATTGAAAATTCTTTGTAAATATAATCTATTCTCACTTGTTCACTTTCTGGTGTATCTTCTAATTTGAAATTTGACTTTCGTTCTCAGCGTGCTACTAAAACTCCTTTTTAAAATTTTCCCTCTTACTTGTTGAATCCAACAGCTTTTTCATTTGTTTTCAGCTCTCCAACTTTTTTTAAACTTGATTGTAAAGCTTAGATCCTTTGGTTTTTACAGTAGCACTCTGCTGACTTTATTGCCATTTCCTTCAAGCTAGTTCCCGGGCTCTTTTGCCAGCCCCTTCAAGGCATTCACAAAGTTTTGTCCTCAGTCTTCTACTAGTCCCATTTGTCACAGCAACTTTACCATCCCACATATTTACATAGTTCAAACCACCACATTTATGCTGAAGACAACAAGCCTCTGTTTCCAGGCTCAAGCAGCTCATGTGAGTTTCTGAATCATGCACTCAACTGCCTGCTGAACACAGCCATTTTTATGTTCCGTGTACAGCTCAAGTTTCACAAGTCAAAAAACAAACTCATCCTCTCCTTGAGTAAACCTGCACCTCTTTTCTATACCTCTTATATCTAGTCAAGACCCTGGAGAATAATCCTGCAGGCATTTATCTTCTTACCTCTTTTACCAAATCATTCTTGAAACTTTATGTTACTTCCCAAGTTTTACCAAATTGACTCTTACTCTCTACTCCCATTTGTGATAGCTGCAGCTCATTCTCTGTCTTATTTATGTGCTACTGTTATAGAGTGCTGAATGACATCCTGCATTTGTTCTCTAATCTACCATTTGCACATATACTCAAGATTTATGTAAACTATAAAGCTCACTGCACTACCTACCTATATAAACATTCCACATGCTCTCATAATTAAGAAAAACACAGTTTAAACTTCTCAAAATGGTATATGGTGTCTGGAATTGTCTTCCTTTCTAGCAATCTTACTTCTTGTCAATCTTTCCTTTGGGATTCAAGCTGTAACATCCCAGTCTGTTTATGATGCTCTTGATCACAAAATTCTATTTCCACATGTAGACCATCTCCCATGCTCTACCTTCCCCTTGAGAATTCCTTTTCCTCTAGGATTCCAATTTTTATTTTTAAAATAAATGACTAAAGAAGGTCTCTCCTTATTGCTGGAGACCGCGGCAGGGGTCCCGCCTCTGTGCTGCCATTATGTTGGACCCATTACTGCTGTTAAAACATCGTCATATAATTATGCACCTGTGCCTGCCGAAGGCTGAGAGCTTGCACATAAAGAAAGCTGGAAAGTGTTACTCCTACCCTTACAACAAAAAAAACACAAGACACATCTTAAGTCAGCAACTTTCCATAAAACCATCAGAGAATGAAGTTCTAAGGGTAATCAACTGTCCCAAAATCTGGAGACACACAGACTGCTGCAGGATCTGAGTATTTGTTTACCTGAGATAGATGCCCCTCAATGCCATTTAATCTGGTAAGAAAATTCAGCTAGAAATTTAGAATGCCTTGGTAAAGGCCAAGTACGATCCAGTGAGAGAGTATAGGGAAGTCTGCACCCTTTGGCACGTTTCTATATCAGGCACTCACCGGGAAGATGGGGAAGAATCATGAAAAACTCACCTTTTATTGTGCTGGGTTGGGGAAATAGCAGTGTCTGCCTTAATCTGTCCATACTTATTACTTTATTGGCCTATGAAAAATAAATCAAAACAACAATCTGCAGAAGGACAACAAAAGGAAATAAAAAATAAAAACAACACAAAAAAACCTGCACCATAAGAGCATAGATTGTTAAATCACTCAATTTATTGTTTAAAAATTGAATGCAGAAAACTGTGAGTATGCATTCCAAATTTTATGTCTACCAGAGCCACATGATCTTAAAATGCAAAGGAATTGGAATCCAAAGACTGAAACTTCAATTTAATCATAATTAGCTATATGATACACAAAGAAAGAATAAATGTTTGAGGTGATAGATGTGTTAATTACCCTGATTTGATCATTATCATACACATGTATCAGAATATCACTCTATACCCCATACATACATACAATTAATACATATCAATTAAAAATAAACATTAAAATGATAATTATTATCTGCATATATTTTTTTAGTTACTGCATCACCAAAACTTGCCTTGACTATGAAGCTATGTTAAATTTGTAGGTGGTTGAACAAATTTCATTATTTTGAATATTTATAGCATAAATGAAGCACTAATTTTCCCCTGGGGAACTGACCCTACTAGGAGAAACTGTTGGCTAAGCAATATATCCAAATCTGTCTCTTTCTTTCTTTCCACTCTTGATTTAGCACAAGAAAGCCGATTTCTGGTTTAGTGTTGCCCTGCCATGGGAGGTTACCAAAGGATGTCTAGGGTATTCAACACATCTAGGAAACTACTCAAAGTTGGCGGTCTCACCTGAAACCGCTTTGATTTTTGCAATCTAAATTGTGTGCCATAACTGATGGCGAGTTAAATTATGAAAGCAGAAAGAAACAACTAACCACACATTTTCTATTAGGATGGTTAAGTAGTAGAATGACTTCAGAACTACCCACCTCTGGGTTCCAAACCTGAGTCTGCTTTGATTAAGTCTGCAAGGCTTGCAAAAATAATTAACTTTTCTGAAATTCATTCTCCTCAATTGTGAACGGGGAAAGTAATACTTACATGAAGAATTACGGCGAGAATTAAATATCATTATATTAGCCAACTTCTGGTTTCACCTGTATGTTCCACAAAAATAACCTACTGCTACTATTGTTATGACTAGAGTTTTAACATTTTTAATAAATAAAAATAGATTTATGTTTTTATATTTTATTTGACTAAGTGAATTCTCTACTTCAAATACCTAGAAGTAGATACTAAGAAAATTTGTATTATGAATATTATTTTTCTCGAATTTGCTCTAGTCTTTAATTTAGAAGTGGAAACATACCTGTTTTGACTAGGGCAACCTTGTCTTGGGTAGTACAGGTAAAATAGTTCACAATTCATCAAATGCTGAAGCCCATTAACAGTTCTTTCAAAGAATGACTGTCTAAACTTGCAAACGTGCTGATGCAAGAGTTGATGTGCTTATAATGGACTTGCAGTACATGACATTTTATCAGGCATTCAAAGAGCTAAATTTAGAGCAGCAGCTAGCATAATGGTTCCATAGAGTCAAATAAAATCAGTACTCTGATAGCAACCTGTAAAATTCAAAGACATTTGCAATGTTAATGCATTTGATTTATTTATCTTTTTCCATTCAGCATCATTGTAAGTTTTAAATGGTCAATGTTTAGCATTACATTTCTGGAAAGAAAATGAATCCCTGTCATATACTAAATTTAAAATAAAAAGCTTGTACCTGGTGTCTAGAATTGACCATGTTGGCATTCATTATGGATGAATCAAATGTAATAGACAGACCATTTTCTTTGTCATTTAATTCACTTGAGATGGAGACATTTTTAGATGTGTTTGTATAAGTGAAATTCAGAACCTCATAAATAAGCTCCTGCAAGAACAAGGTAACACGTGGGATAAATACACTATACTTTTAGTCTTACCTCATATACACACATACACACACACACACACACACACCCCATACCCCTCAATTAATCACTGAGAGAGTACCATACAAAAAATAATAGGAGACAGTTGTATAAAATGAGCATGCAAGTGATATTCCTACCTCTTCAAATTTTCTTCCGCGCATATGGAATTTTTTGCTCATCGCTTTCTTCCTGTTGTCTTTGTATACTCTCCCCGTTCTTACCCTTCCTGAATATTCCACAATTTGCAAGACTTGCAAAGGAATAGGTATGCATTATAATCATTTTAATATTAGCCATTACTTGCCTTTCTTGTATTTCTGTATATGCATAACCACTGTATTTAAGTGCTCAAACTTTGTACCTATAGCATCCTTAAGTACACCACTGTAAAAACATTTTTTTTAAATCTAGTTGTTGAATACATAAGTTAGCAAAGGGCAAAAGCCAAATTTAGAAAACATTCTCAGTCTGCAGTTTTTTTTTTTCAACCCAGGAGAACATAAAACTGGTTACGTATGACATGCGAAGACGTAAACTTTTTTTTTGTTAAATACTAAAAATAAAACAAAACACGAAAACTATAACTCTTATACTGAGGATAAAAATGAATTAGTAAATATTTCGCATGGTCTTCATTTAACAGCATCGTTCATTTTTCCTGTGAAAATCGAGGGGTTCCTGTCTGGCCTTTCGAGGTGTTTAGTGGGATCTGATTTGCAGAGAACTCAGGTGATATTGTTCAGCAGTAGCTTTGATAGAATTAACTTTTCTCAAAGCCTTTAATTTACCTGTATAAAAGTTAAGGAAACTAAATCTATAATAATTTAGAATTACGTATGATTAGCAGTAAAAAATACACACAAAAACAGGTTATTGAGGCTTTCCCTAAAATTTTCTTTTGACTAATGAATCCAAATTTTGAGCTTCTCTCTCTATGTATGTGTATATGTCCAAATATAAATAGCATGAAAGAGAAACATGCAATATGCTCTACATATATTTTACACACACACACACACACACATATATAGCTTTGACATACATATACACACACACAGACTTTGATTGTAAATAAACCTAGTGCAGAATATCAATATCTCAAAGATATTTGGATAGATATAAGTATTTACTAATGTAATGTTACATAATTTTAAACTCCCTAACTGTAAGCATATTATATATTATGACCAGAGTATAACAATATTATTAACATTTAATTGAATCTTAACAGTTAAAAATGCATCAGATATTATGCTTTCAAATCATTCTCCCCAAAAAGATAAAGTGAAATTTTTTTATGAATTTCTATACCTTCTGATTATCTAGGCCATGCTAGAACTATTTCCTAAATACATTAATGTTTATGGTGGTAACACATTAATTGAGCACATTTAATCAAAGTGCTATGTGTTACATCCTATTTGCCAGAATTATGTTACATTTCCATCTCAGAAACTTTCGCTACAAATAGGACTAGGACACCACCAATTTCTTCAAGTCCATCAGAATTTCTCTCTGTAGATTAGAATAGGCTGAACTTTCCCAGCATTACAGAGGTGGACACAAAGTTCAGAGAGAAAGGAGCAATAATTATCAGCAAAGCAATCAACAGTGTCTGCTACAACATGTATATATTGAAATATGATTTACATGCATTAATATAATATTCTTTACTCATTAACAATGATGAAGAATGTTTGTGGAAATAGAAATAATGACATTATATGGTTAAATGACAAAATTCTGATTTTAAAATGATCTGTATTATGATCTTGTTGATTCTCATTTGCAAGCCAGATTGTATAGTTAGATGACAGAGACAGGTGACAGATAGATTTTTAAATAAATAGATAGATAATATATATTGATAGTGTGTGGATGGGATCCATAGATAGATGATGGAAGAGAAGAATATATAAAAATATGCACAAGTTCACATTGCAGTTGTATTATAGTGATTTGTAAGTCTTTTTTTGCTTCTCTGCATTTTATATTTCCTTTTAAGAGCAAATATATGACTTGTACCATGTCAAAAGAATCATGCAACTTTCATTCAATTATTACAGCACATTACTTTTTTCACTTATATAATTAGTATATCCTTTCAACACCTTGTGAAAAAAAATTGTTTCATTCACAGTAAAGGGACAAGATATCACTCTTTAGATTCTGTTCTTCACGGGGAACTGATACATTGAGGTGAATGTAACATATGTGAAGACAGGGTTTTTGGTGACATCTTCAGTTTGTTTGCAAATACTAAACTATTGGCAAAACTAAGCAATCTTTGAACAAGAGTGACATCAGGCAATGCTTAAAATGTAAATATTTAATTTCTTTTTAAAAACTCTCATCTTGTTCTTTTATTATAAAAATGTGTGACTTTGGAAAAAGTAATTAAATTAATCGAACACTCTTTATACTAATTTTGTACAGTTTAGGGACTGTTAGACAAATAAGCATTTTAAATTTAAAAGAACATAAGAGTTCAGAGGAGAAACTGAAGTTTGAACACTAGGAAAAATAATAAATCATCTATTACAGGCTATTTTTAAAATCATATTTCCTGTTTGAAAATACAAAGTTAGGCCAGTGGCTCACTCCAATAATCCCAGCACTTTGGGAAACCAAGGTGGGTGGATCCCTTGAGGTCCAGAGTTCAAGAGCAGCCTGGCCAACGTGGTGAAAACCCATCTGTACTAAAAATACAAAAAGTAGCCAGGCATGACGGCACGTGCCTGTAGTCCCAGTTACTGGGATGACTGAGGCACCACAAGATTTGCTTGAACCTGGGAAGTGGAGGCTGCAATGAGCAGAGATCGAGCCACTGCTTTCCAGTCTGGATGACAGAGTGAGACTCTGTCAAAAAAAAAAAAAAAAAAAGAAAGAAAGAAGGAAAGAAAGAGAGGAAGGAAGGAAGGAGGGAAGGAAGGAAGGAAGGAAAGAAGGAGGAGAAAATAAAATACAAAGTTCCATTTTCTTTCACTTTTGATCATGCAGTGATTGTTGCACCTAAAGGACCCAGGTGAGGTTCCTGCTGAGTGTTTTAGCGAAGATTAGATGACAAATTCAGTGAAGTGAATTGAAAAAAGATATGTACACCACAACTGTGGATTTAAACTCCTATTTATTTTCTTTTTTCAGCTCACATACTTTTTGATTGTTGCTTTCAGATGGAATTATAATTAAAGCATTTGAAAGTCAGTGCTATTGAAATAAATATAAAATATTATCCACTGTATGAGTTGAAGAAGTTGCCTCAATTTTACAGTAATTTTACCTAACTCAGATATGAAATACAAAAAAAAAAAAAAAGCTGACATTAGGAAGAGGAAAATAGGCCCCAATTCCTGAGAATAATTTGCATACATACATAATCTAAATAATTAAAAGCACATAGGTGCTAGAGCTGGTATTAAAAATAAGCTTAAAGACAGTGAAAGATGGGCAAATTCAATTTGAGGACATTATAAGTAAAATGTTAGGACTGAATTGGACAGAAGAATGATCATTGGCTTATAGAGTGAATCTGAAAGAAAATCTTTATGTGTGATGTTTTCATATGCATGTTATGACTGAAGTTGGATGGTATTAGGAATGACTGATACCATTGAAATACCACATCTGGTAGCATCATTCAGACCATTATAAATCTGCCTAGTAGAAAGATAGAATAACATTGCAAGAATGTAAACTGACTTTTTTCACACCATATGTTATGTCTTTAAGTTAAGCAATGATAACATCGATTATAGACTTAATCTGTTATTTATTTATCCAGAGTAATATTGTTTCAAACTCACTGCAAGATAATAAGTTGAGAATACATCAATATATTAAAGCAACATAATTTCTATTGGGCAACTCATATAAAATGAGAATTAAATAATAAGTAACAAAAACCTGTCATGTAGCAACAGCCAACAAACAACAGAAGATTTCTCTAAACCAGGGATCTTTAAGTTGGTGTCCATAAATCAAAGGGCATTTTCAAAGACATTTGTTGGAGCACAGGGAGAAAATATTACACATTCTATACATGTCATGAAAGAATAGTTACTAATATATAATATATGAATTGGTAATAATAGATGTATAATATTTATATCCAAATATATAAATATTTCTTAAATTTTTATTGACAGGTAGTTCAGGATAAAGTTGTTTTGAGTCTATTTCTTTAATAAATGGTAAAGGTTATAAGGTTAATATTTCAGTGAGTAATCGGTCTTCAAGTTCTTTCAATAATGCCCATTCACCTTTTTGATTCACAGTCATATGTCCTCCACTGCCATTTTTATGAGCAGAATATGGTTGCAGGAATATTGCAGAACACATGTTAGGAAAAAGCCTTTCTTTGGTCACTAAAATATCTACAAAGATATATCTGTCCACAATTACAAACATACAAAGAAACAAACAAACAAACAAAACCAAACAACAACAACAAAACAAAACCTAGAGAGCTAGGATAATAAAACTTAAGGACAACAATTATTTACAATATAAAGCATTTCAATACAATAATAAAATGTTTTGCAAAAGAACTGATGTGGCGGTGCTTAGTACATAGCATATGCAATCAATTTCCTTCCTTCTCTTGTGCATTCACATCTATAATTCTCATTGAAAGAGCACAGGGAGCAGGATATGTGAGGTGACCAAGCCTGTGAGGAATGGTTGAACAGCTTGGGACAAAGAAGACATCATTGTGGAAGTCAGTGTGGCGATTCCTCAGGGATCTAGAACTAGAAATACCATTTGACCCAGCCATCCCATTACTGGGTATATACCCAAATGAGTATAAATCATGCTGCTATAAAGACACATGCACACGTATGTTTATTGCGGCACTATTCACAATAGCAAAGACTTGGAACCAACCCAAATGTCCAACAATGATAGACTGGATTAAGAAAATGTGGCACATATACACCATGGAATACTATGCAGCCATAAAAAATGATGAGTTCATATCCTTTGTAGGGACATGGATGAAATTGGAAACCATCATTCTCAGTAAACTATCGCAAGAACAAAAAACCAAACACTGCATATTCTCACTCATAGGTGGGAATTGAACAATGAGATCACATGGACACAGGAAGGGGAATATCACACTCTGGGGACTGTGGTGGGGTTGGGGGAGGGGGGAGGGATAGCATTGGGAGATATACCTAATGCTAGATGACACATTAGTGGGTGCAGCGCACCAGCATGGCACATGTATACATATGTAACTAACCTGCACAATGTGCACATGTACCCTAAAACTTAGAGTATAATAAAAAAAAAAAAAAAAAAAAAAGAAGACATCAGTGAAGAGCTTGTCAATGGAAGAAAAGGCTCTGCAGGCTTAGAGGTATTTCTCCAGCCACATCCAGAAGATTTTATCTAAGCTCTTGTATAGAATTATCAGTAGTATATAAATATGATTAAAACATTAATTTGTAAATGTATGTTTATATTAGTTTCTATAATTATTTATGTTAATGTGAACTCTTCAGTAAGTTGGCCCATAACTACTTCAAGAGTGTAAATTAACTTCCTCTGAAGTAGTCAAACTTTCAAATCAAAGAACAGTTTTAATTTTTCTTAGTCAGAACACAATATCCTGAAAATCAGAATAGACAGGAAACAAAAGAAACTATCACAACATTTCTAAAAGTGCAATTTGCTGACCACTTGCTTCCGTAATGTCTTTGATTCTTATTTTTATTTTAGTTTTTCTTTGTACTATTATTTTTCATGTGGCTACTAAAAAAATTTAAAATTCACACATGGCTTTTTTTTAACTTTTATTTTAAGTTCAGGGGTACATATGCAAGTTAGTTACATGGATAAACTTGTGTCATGGGAGTTTGTTGTACAGATTATTTCATCATCCAGGTATTAACCCTAGTACCCATTAGTTATTCTTCCTTATCATCTGCCTCCTCCCACTCTCCAACCTCTGATAGGCTAATGTGTTGCTCTCCTGTATATGTCCATGTGTTCTCATCTTTTAGCTCCCACACATAAGTGAGGACATGCGGTATTTGGTTTCCTATTCCTGCGTTAATTTGCTGAGGATAATGCTCCATCCATGTCCCTGCAAAGGACATGTCCAGCTTCATCCATGTCCCTGCAAAGGACATGATCTTGTCCTTTTTTATGCCTGTATAGTATTATATGGTACATATATACCACATTTTCTTTAGTCTATTATTGATGGGCATTTAGGTTTATTCTATGTCTTTGCTATTGTGAAGAGTGCTGCAATGAACATATGTGAGTATGTGTCTTTATAATAGAATGATTTATAGTCCTTTTGGTATATACCCAGTAATGAGATTGCTGAGTCGAATAGTATTTTTGTCATCAGGTTTTTGAGGAATCACCACACTGTCTTCCTCAATGGTCGAACTAATTTATACTCTCACCAATAGTGTATAAACATTCCTTTTTCTCTGTAACTTCGCCAGCATCTGTTATTCTTTTAATTTTTAATAATAGCCATTCTGAATGGTGTGAAATGGTGTCATTGTGGTTCTGATTTGCATTTCTCCGATGATCACTGATGTTGGGCTTTTCTTCATGATTGTTGGCTGCATGTATGATTATGATTTTTAAATGCAACAGGACTATTCTTAATAACATAGAAAATTCAAGTTTTGTTAAAAAGCATCCTACAAAGAGTTACTGGTAATCTGCATGTCTAACAATCTTCTCAAGATCTTCCTCACCCAGCCGAGTCTTGAGGACCAATATTTATCAACTGGCAGTTGAACAAAGTCTATTCATATTTTATGGTCTACTATTAACAGCTAATATGTCTTCGCTCTGTGTCCCCACTCAAACCTCACCTTGAATTGTAATAATCCCTACCTGACAAAGGGCGGTACCAGCTGGAGATAATTGAACCATGGGAGCAGTTTCGCCCATGCTGTTCTCATGACAGTGAGTTCTCACAAGATCTGATGGTATTATTAGGGGCTTCCCCCTTCACTCAGCACTTATTCTCTCTCCTGCCACCGTGTGAAGAGTTGCCATCTGTAGTGATTATAAGTTTCCTGAGGCCTCCAAAGCCATGGGGAACTGTGAGTCAGTTAAACATCTTTTCTTTATAAATTACCCCAGTCTCAGTTATTTCTTCATAGCAGCATGAGAACAGACTAATACAACAGCCCTCAGTAAAAACTGTGCTAGTAAATTTCAGTAGTTTCTCACTGAAGTCTCTGTTGAAGTCAGTCTTAATCATCAAAACTGTAAACCAAATCTTCCACTTTCAAATGTGTTCTAAAGCAAAATGTTCAAATTTCTAACTATATCAAACATTCAAACCTGCAAAAACGGCATTCTGCTTATAGGAAAATGTTGATCTCTTCTTACGTTTGATACTCTTGCATGAATACAATTTTTTTTTCCTTATTCCCTTCTCCTCCTCTTCTTCCACTAACTTGTTGTTTACATAATAAGTTTTATGTCATGCTAGTAGAGTTGGTATGTAGTTGCATAAAGACATAACAATTGGAATGGTGTTAGCTAGTAAAAATTTAAAATTAGATCAAGATCTTCAAGATCCTCAACCACATATTAAAGCTTCATAATTTTGACATTTGGGAGAAGACATGAGAGAGGTTCTTTATAAAATTCAGTTTCAAGAACCAATTTCAAGGTTGCTATACTTATGCAATTTAGTAAAATGCACATAGTAAAAGTCTGAAGTGTTTTATGGATTTCTCTTTTTCACTTACTTTGCCAAATTAAGAACATGGTAAAAACTTGCCCTTATAGCCATCTAAGTCTCCGCTATAATTTGAATATATCCCACAAAGTTGATGTGTTGGAAAATTAATTCCCAACACAAAATTTGAGAGATGGGACCTTTAAGAGGTATTTAATAATAAATTAATTAATGTTGTCATTGCTGGAGTGAGTTTGTTATTGAAAGAGTGAGTTTATTATAAAAGTGAGTTCAAATCCCTCCTACCTGTGTGATACCTTCTGCCTTGTTACGAGGCTGCAAGAAGGCCCTCACCAGATACAGCCCCTTAATTATGGACATCCTTGTTTCCACAGCCATGAGCCAAATAAATTTTGATTCACTGTGAATTACACAGTCTGTGGTATTCTGTTACAGCAGCACAAAATGAACTAAGATAGAAAATGATCTCTAAAGCGAAAAATGATTTCTAATGCATAAAATGTAATATTTTTATTAGTAATTTACAGTGTTTTAAACGTAAGACGGCTGAGGCAATATGAAACTGATGAAATGAACAGATATAACTCCAGGTAAAGACTAAGAACATTTTCTAACTTTGTCCACTGCCACCCTCCTCCTCATCCACACGTAAATGCACCCATGTATGCGTGATTTTGTAGAATACATATATCAATGAGAATATGTTTATTCCAGTGGAGGAGGAGCTTAAAATCTCACATGTTGATATACAATAAGCATTTCATCTTCTCATAATTATCCACAGAAGTATCACAGAAGCCAGTGACAATGCTTAGAAATGCTACAGAAAATACAACTAAAAATAATTTAATTGTAAAAATCCAAGAATTTCATAGTTAAAATTCTAAAATATTTCAATTTAGGTATATTTTTTACCCTGTGTAGATTACTTCTCTATTACCATATTTGAAAACCAACATTTCAATTTAATCAATCCATGTGCCTATTCAAACATATAATTACACTAAAAGACAAGGGTATCCTTAGCCACAACTGAAGGAATGATCAAATTCGACTCCCTGGCTTTCTCTGCAACTTTCTCATCCTAATTTCTTTAAAAATATATATAAATCCTGTTCAAGTAACTGCAAAATCTTCTCAGTGAGTGCTATGGATCCAGACTTTTCTTTACATTTTTGCAAAATCCTGCTCACTTTTATATATTTTTGTAGGAAGCTCATGAGCTAACTCTTTGGAAAAAGTCTGCAACATCAATTTTACTGTTTTTGTATTTTTCTCTTTCAGAAATATCTGAAAGTTAAATAAGTCATTATGTCTTCACATCCCAAATTTCTTCATTAAAAGGAAGCTAGCAGAAGACAAGTGGAGGCCAGGACATTTTTTTGACTATATTCGATTTGCTCAAATGCTTTTTTCTTCATCTACAAAGATGATTATGTGTTTTTTGTCCTTTATTTTATGAAATGGTTTCATACACTGTTTGATGTTCACATGTTAAGCCAACATTACATTTCTGGGATAATTTCCACTTGATCATGGTATATGAATTTTTAATATGTTACTGCATTCAGTTTGTTGGGGTAAGAGTTTGTTTTTAGGATTTTCACATTTGCATTCAGAGAGGATATTAGTCTAGTTTTTTGTTTGTTTGTTTGTTTGTTTCTTGTAGTCTTTGCCTTTTTTTTTTGGTATCAGAGTAATACTGGCTCCTTAAAATAAGAGCGTTTGCCCTTTTCTTTTACTTTTTTCTTTTTGGCAGAGGTTGGGGTGAGTGTTAATTTATCTTTAAACATTTGAAAGAATTCACCAGTGAAGCCATCATCTGCTCCCGGACTTTCCCTTGTGGTAATATTTTTTATTGCTAAGGCAATATTGTTGCTTGTTATAGATCTACTCAGATTTTCTATTTCCCTTTGAGTCAATTTTGGTAGTTTATGTTTTTCCAGGATTTCTTAAATTCCATATTGTTTATCAAATTACTGATTGTTTGTTGGTGTACAATTACAAGAACAAATATAAGAGAATCACAATTTTTTTATAATGCTTTGTATTTTCTGGGGTCTCTAATAACATCCCTACTTACATTTTAGTAATGTGAATCTGTTCTATTTTTTCTTTTTCAGCCTAACTTATGGTTTGACTTTAAAAAGACATTTCAAAGAACTAATGTTCTTTTTGTGTGTGATATCTATTGCTTTCTCATTCTTTATATCATTTATTTGTTTGTTTGTTTCTATTAAACCTTTTCTATTTCCTCCCCTCTGCTTGCTTTGAGTTTGGTTTGCTCTTCTTAGTCTAGTTTATTTAAATGAAATATTGTTATTGATTTAAGATCTCTTTTCTTTTTTAATATAGTCATGTGCAAATACAAGTTTCTCTTTAACCCATGCTTTAGCTACATCCTGTGCATTTTGTCATGTTTGATCTTTATTCACTTGTAGTGTTTTCTAATTTTCCACCCATTGGTTATATAGGTATATATAGTTTAATAACCACTTAATCAACAATTTTCCACATTTATTTTAATGATTGATTTCTAATTTAGTTCAGTTTTTGTCAGAAAATGTTCTTCATATAATTTTCATTTTTGCAAATATGTTTAGTCTTTTATTGTGATGCTTAGTCTATCCTGGAGAATATTTTATGTACACATGGGAAAAATATGCATTCTACTATTATTAACTTAGGAGTTCTATAGATATCTGTTAAATCTTGTAGGTTTTAGTGTTGTTTAAGTCTTCTAGTTCCTCGTTGATTATATAGTTGCTCAAGCCATTATCAAAGGTGAGGAATTAAAATATCCATTATTTTAATTCTTTTTTCACTTTGTGTATTTGGGGGCTCCATTGTTGCATACGTGCTTATAATTATTATATCTTCTTGACATACTGACATGTCAATCATTTTATAATGTCCTTTATCTGTAGTTACAATTCTTGTCTCATAGCCTATTTTGTCCAAAATTAGTATAACTACCCCAGCTTTCCTTTGTTACCATTTGCATAAAATATTTTTTCTATCCTTTTACTTTCAACTTATTTGTGTCTTGTATAGTATATCATTGGGTCACATTGTTCTTAAGTCCATTTTGCCTATCTCTGAATTTTAATTAGAGTTTTTAACCCACTTACTTTTACTTTAATTTCTGATAAAATAAAATTTATGTCTGTGATTCTGCTATTATGTCATTTTATTTCTCTGTAACTCAATTATTGTGTTCTCTTGCGTTAAATAAATATTTTCTAGTGTGCCATTTTAAAGCTTTTGTTATTTCTTTTACTATATTTTGAGTTATTTCCTTTGTGATTGACCTGGTGATTACAGTAAACATTTTAATGTATAATATAACAATCTGGCTTACATTAATAACAACATAATTTCAACAGTGTTACACACAAATTACATCTTTAGCATTGTGTGTCCATCAACACACATTTATAATTACTACTTAATGCAATTATCTCTCAACTGAAATAGAAGAAAAAAAAAGCTACCAGCAAAAAATACATTTGTATCTTCTTTTTGTTTTTCCATGCAACTATATAGGCATAGTTGCGTTTAATGTTACTCGATTTCTTCTTGTTTATTTGAGTTGGTCTAGTGTCTGTTCATTTAAATGACTAAGACTCCCTTAATATTTCTTGAATTTCTCAATTTTGTCTATCTGGCAATGTCAATATTTATTAATTTATTCTTTTTTTGAAGGCTAGTTCTAATGAATATACAATTTGCCATTGACAGCGTTTTCCTTTTTTCACTTGGAATATTCAATTGCATAGCTTTCTGGCCACCACGATTTCTGATGAGACATCAGCTGTAAATCTTATTAAGGACCTCTTGTTTATCATGAGTCACTTTTCCTTTCTTGCTTACAAGATAGTCTTTTTGTCTTTGGCTTTAACAGTTTTACGATGATGTATCTAGGTGCAAATCTCTTTGACTTTATCTTACTTTCAGTTTGTTGATTTGGATGTAAAGATTAATGTTGTTCTTCAAATGTGTTAAATTTTACCATTATGTTTTCAAATACGCTTTCTGCCAGGTTTTCTCTATCCTCTTCTTAGACTTCCATTGTAACAATGATAGCAAAATTGCAGGCATAAATTTCATTTTAACACCACCGCTTGATTGTTACCATTGGTCTCTGAAATTCTGTCCACTTTACTCTATTCCTTTCTGTTTCTGTTCTCAGGATAGATAACCTCAACTGACCTAAATTTAAGCTTACTGATTATTTTTTGTTCACTCTAATCTGCTATTAATTCCCTTTGGGGTGTGTGTGTGTGTGTGTGTGTGTATTATTTTATTTTATTTTATTTTATTTTATTTTATTTATTTTATTTTATTTTATTTTTGAGATGGAGTTTCGCTCGTGTTGCCCAGGCTGGAGTGCAATGGCAAGGTCTCGGCTCACTGCAACCTCTGCCTCCTGGTTTCAAGTGATCCTCCTGCCTCAGCCTCCCAAGTAGCCTGCATTACAGGTGCCCACCACCACGCCTGGCTGATTTTTTGCATTTTTTTAAATAGAGATGGGGTTTCATCATGTTGGCCAGGCTGGTCTTGAACTCCTGACCACAGGTGACCCACCCACCTTGGCCTCCCAAAGTGCTGTGATTACAGATGTCAGCCACTGCACCCAGCCCCTTTGGTATGTTTTTATTAATGTATTTTTAACTCCAAAATTTCTATATGGTTTCATTTTATAATCTGTATATCTCTTTATTAATATTCTCTATCTGTATGATATTATTCTTGTTTTTCCCTTCCATCTTTGTATCTAGTTTATTTTAGTTATTTGGACATACCTAAAAATACTTTATTTAAATTCTTTGTCCAATACATTAAATATTTGGACTTACACAGGGAGAGTTTCTATGGATTGTTTTTATTTCTGTTTACAAGCCACACTTTCTTGTTTCTTTGCATGCCTTATACATTCTTTTGCTTGAAAAGTGGACACCGTAAATAATACAATATGCCAACTCTAAAAGTCAGATTCTCCCCTCCCCCAGGGTTTGTTGTTGCTGGTTTTGGTTGTTGGTGGTGGTGTTTGTTTTTTTAGTAACCTGTTTGAATTAAACATAAGTCTATATTTTTTTTCATCTATGGCCACTGAAGTCTTCGATTGGTTAACTTAGTAGTCAGCAAATCACTGGTTAGATATTTCATTAAATGCTGGGGATCATTAATTTTCCAGTTCTTTCAAGGTGTTCTTTGTGCATGATAATCATGGCTTCCACCTCTGCTTTACTTCTTGCTTGCAATGAGCCTCAAAGTTAGGCAGACATGAGACTTTCAGGCCTTCTCAGATCTTTCCTGACATGTGGACAGTCTTCTGCATTCATATGGTTTTCTAGACTTCCAAGAATATGTGAGTTTTTCAGATCTCTTATGGCCATCTTATTCCTTAGCTTTTCTTTTTAAGGTTTTTTTGTTTTGTTTTGTTTTGTTTTGTCCCTATTGCTTTTTCCAACTCTTATCCAGCATCTAGAAATTTGAGCACCCATAAAATTAGACAATGTCCTATAATCGTATTTGACACTTGGAAATAAAGCATTTTTCACTGGGCGAGCTCTGAGGCAGGTCAAATAAAACCAGCTTGGCAAGTAATATGTTCTGAGGGAGCCTCAGACAGGTCAAATAATGACACTTCTGTGGCAATGAGCCTTCGAAGGAGCTCCAGCCTTGTTCTACTCCCCTCAGTGACTTCCAGGTAACTGCTTTTACTGTGATCATAGGGCATTGGTTTGTAAGGATATGGCAGAGTGAAGAGATGGGAAAAGGGTGAGGAAATTTCCAGGAGCTCACTGGAGTTCAGTTATTGCTGAAATTCAGTCATCTTACTTGAACAAACACTTTGGATTGCTGCAAGCTTTTGTTAATATCTAGAGTTCTATCAATGATTATTCTCAACATCTTTGCAAATTTTCTTGTTGCTCTTATTTTGGAGATAATTTCAGAGGTCCTTTTCCATCTTTACTGACATCACCAGCTCCATTAAATTTTAAGTATGTTTATTTTACCCACGTGAAATATACTTTCACAAATTTTATAAAATGTGATGATTATACCAGTATAAACACAAGTCAAAGATTTTCTTAACTCATAAATGAGGGAATGAATAGAATGGTAAATCTGATTCAAAGACACTTGAAGGAACTAAGTATCTACAGTCAAGCAGTTGGAAGGAATACAGAAATGAGTGTTCTAATAGATACATAACTTCTTAATGCCTTACCTGCATTGATACTATTACTTTTGTAGTTATCCTCTTTACAGTACAGAGATCATTTGCATCTCTACTGGAGATAAAAATCTATACATTGACATGTAACTGTGCAGAGCCTGTATCTTCATCAAAACTGTATAACAAGTCAAAGAAAGGCTTGCAAGCTAGAAAATTAAATCATCCTTTCGAAGACCTGTTAGACAATACTCCACAACAAAAATGGAAGCATGTGGAGTCTTCATTTTGCCTTATTTTTCAATTTTGGATAATTTAAATTTTGTTTAAAAAATTGATACTTTGGTCGTTTATTGATTCAAATGAAACCACTCAAAAACATAGGGTCTTAAAAACAACTGCCATTTATTTTCTTTACGAATTTGCAATTTTGACAGAGAATGGTAGTGCTCCATGGAGCAATGGTAGGGAGAACTTTCCCGAAGGTTGGATAATCCATTTCCAAGATGGCCCATTTTTCACTTGGCTGGAAAAGTTTGGCTGGCTGTCAACTAGGAGATCAGATGAAGATGCTGCCTGAGCTCAGTTCCTCTCCACATAGGCCTCTCTGTGTGTCTTGAGCTTCACAGTGAATAAAATAGATCCAGAGGAAAGCTTGATCACATGCTCTGCCATAAGTTCAGTCACATAGCACCACTCCTTTCTTATTCTAGTAGTTAAAGCAATCACAAAGATTCATGAGACTTAAGGGGAGGAAACATACATTCCACCACTTGATAGATTCCAGAAATGAATGCATTGACAAGTAATGTAGAAAGAACTTTTGAAAAAATGCAATCTTTCACAAACCACTTGATTTTGTTTTGTTTTGTTTGATTTTGACTTTTTGTGTGTGTTTTTAAAATATGTGGCACTAGGTTATGAGTATTTTGTTTCTGAACCTGTGTCAATGACTCAATCAGCTTTTTGAAGAGAAAGATGGTAAAATACGTTGATCCAATCATTTGAGGAAAATCAGAGGTATAAGTTACCTAAAAGTGTCACCTAAGGAATTGACAACTTTTAGAATTGCATCATTAATACGACCGACATGAGTTACCAAGATTAGATCCTATCATTTTAAGTTATAAGTACATCAAACTCAACTTACTATAATTTCATTAAACAGAAAAACTAACTCTCGTGGGCATTTTTTAAAGTACATGGCTTAATTACTGAACATATTTTTAGACTATGACTACATCTGTACAAAGTTAAAAAACTTGGAAAGTGACAATTTTAGTTAATCAATGAATTGGTGTTTGTTGCTGGCGTGTCATCAGTTTATTTAATTGTTTGTCCATGGTCCATGTTTACTTCTGGATGTAGCAATATAGTTTGGTATAACAGTGATTGAAACAAAAGTCTTAGACATGTGTTTGTTCATTTAGAGTCCTATCACCAGTGGGAAAACTTGTGCTTACATAAATGTCACTGTACTAATTAGTGGAACTTTTAGATGGCACCTTTCATAACTACAGGAACTCAGCAGCTGTGACTCTTGGCTATTTCACATAGTCTTTGTTAAGAAGTCCTAGGGGTATATTTTATAAGCTCCTCCAAAATTCCACAGTTTCATCTGCTCTGGATTCTTCATTGAGGGACCCTGCACTGCCTCTGCTAGGAACTAATATGAGTTCTCAGAATGCCTATGTTCATGAAAGACAAGAACAACCTGTCTGAGATGGAGAAAGAATTGACCTCAGCCCAAATTTGCACATCACTTTTCCTTATAATGCTGACTGTAATTAAGTTTGAAAGAGTTTTGCAGTTGTCGAATTACTATTATTAAATAGCTTCTTTAGCTTCTGATCCTAACGGCACTTTCTCTATAGAGTTCTCTCAAAAGTAGTCTACCATGGTGGGCAGACTACTGATGGCCATGCCACTACTCTCTCTCTCTCTCTCATACACGCACACTCTCTCTCTCTCTCATACACACACACACACTCTCTCTCTCTGTAGCTCTCATACACACACACACACACACACACACACACACACACACACACTGTCTCTCTCTCTCCCCTACTCCCTCATCCTCTTCCACTTTCCCCTGCCCCATTTCTCTCTCTCATACTTTGCACAAACCTCCCTCAGTCTCTTCTCCCGAGTCCTGCAAACAATCCGAAAAGCTCTTGATCAACTCATGAACATATGAATATATACCAGAGAGATGGACAGCCTACCAGTTCATAAACATTCAAATGTAATCTTGGTTCGAGCCCAGCTGGGACACTCTGCTATATTAAGATAGAAAGTAGAGGAAGCCCTGAATTAAATAATTATTTGTTTGAATCAGAGATCCTTCTTTAAGGCTGTTAAGATCTATCAAATGACAAATGAGGAAAATGTAATGACAAGCGATTTTTTAAAAATCAGAGGAGTGCGCATAATTTCAAAAGTCAGAATGAAATAAAGATACGGAAAGGATTATCCCTCTGTGTCTACTGTAGAATTAATTCTTCAGAGGCTCCTCTCTGATCAAAGGAAGACACAGTGCAATTATCTCTCACACAGGGAACATGTTCTTCCAAATGTGTGAATCCCTTTTGATTTGTTTCTTAAAATTTGTTGAACATCTTACAAAAATAGTATTCAATCAAATAAAGCATAACTGTGGAATAGAGTATAGGTCTTAAAAAGCAGCAACGTCTTGTTTTAGAATTTTCGATTGTGCCTGAAACCCAGGAGCAACTTTCCTTATTTAAAATTCTGATCATCAAATGAGTAAGTTGGAAGAATGTTGAGTGAAGATAAGGTATTTTATATTTTGACATACATTTTAAAAGAGAGCACTTCAGGGACCTACCACATGGGAAGACAGAGTCATTCCCACCTCTCATTATTCATGTGCTTCTGTCCTGCTTATCAGTCCCTTTTTCAGAGAGGGCTTTCCTGATTATTCAATCTAAATCAGATGTTTTCCTCATTTTTTGCTCCTTCTTCATAACCTTTATCAAAATCAGAAATTATGAACTTATCTGTGCCCTTATTTCTTTACTTTTGTCCCCTTCACTGAACTGTAACAGAAGTAACATCCATTTTGTGAATATAGCACAATGTCTGATACAGAGTGGGCACCCAGTGAATATGTAAAACTGAATAAATAAGTCATACCATCAAAAGAGTGCAGTATTCTTAATTGTCCAGTGTTATACTTCAGAAATTATGCTTGTTGAGAGATACTTCTCCGTAGATGTCTTGTGCTGCTACACATCTTTCAGGCTTGCCACAAATACAAAACCTTGGCTTCTCTGTGGCAGGGACTTCTCAAGGTGATGTTTACACTAAATGGCCTTTGCAGATGAAATAATATCTCCCTCCAGAAATAAAGACCAGGTTCTCTTACTGCCTGCTATAAAAGATGTAGATTGTACATGACTGATGTTTCTCAACTATGACACAAACCACTGCCTACATAGCATCTATTTGGTCTCCTCTCAGGGATTAAATGAGAGTTAGACCCTCTGGAGCTTGAGGTGCAAGAGTAACTGATATGGAGTTTATTGCATGCTTTGTCATGAATAATGGATTTCTTTGTCTCTGGCTCAAGTGGTTTATGTCAGAATCCATGAAATAATAACCAGCTGACTTATTAGCCCGAAAGTGGAGTAAAATCAAATTCTAGATCCTGAGTAATAATACATAGAATTACTGAGCTCTTGTAATTTTCTAAGCAAAATAATAGAAGTAAGAATTAGCATTTATCACTTCTTATAGATTTTCCTACCTAATTCTCATGTAATAATATTAAGTTATTAATATTGATACTATTGTCACCATTTTACATAAAAACCAAGTATAGCCCCTAAAAGGAAACTAACTTGCCCAGTAAGTATTGAAATTATTACCCAGCTTGTATGTAAAGAGAAGGTAGCCTGTGGTCTTCATTATTTTGTTACAGCATCTCCCTTGGGCAGCATCTCATTTTGGTTTATTAATGTGGTAGTAACTTCAAAAGAAATGGATTCTTTGATCTCTGATTATATGCAATCTGGAAGCAGGTGTTTTATCAGTCACTAACAATTGAAGTGAATGCGTTACATCAGTAAAGCTAATAATGTAATAACATTTACATTCCAATGATCTTACAGCAATGGTTCTCAAAGTGTGGTTTTCAGATCAGAAGCATCAGCATTGTTAGAGAACTTGTTAGAAATGCAAGTTCCTAGACCCATCACATAACTTTTGGCATTTAAGGATTAAAATATGTATGTTTACTAGTCCTCCAAGTGATTATAATGCACATTAAATTTTAAGAACCACAATATTCAAGTATAATTTGATGAATTTATACAATAGATGCAAAGCCAACTCAAACAAAACCATGTCCTCTTGGTGGCACAAAGATGCAACAATCAGATGAGATAAAAACACATCCTTTAGCCAATCTGGACACTATCCGCCATGGAGCAAAGCAGGCAAACAGAAAAGTCCAGGATAAATTCCAGCAAGCCAGGGTAAATACTGCCAGTCAACAAAGTTGACTATGTCAAGGAAGAGAAAACCACATCTACTATTAGATGAGGTCTTACCATGTATTATGCACTGTATTATATGGATATAAATCCATTTAAATTAAATAACAAATTTACATGGTGGAATCAATTATTATCCATATTTTCTAAATCACAACACTAGGAGCCAGTGTTATGCCTAATTCACAGAGTTAGAAATAAAAAATGATGGAATTTCAGGCCGGATATGTTTAAATCTAAGGCGCATGCTCATGATCATTGTTCACTGTAGCCTCCCAGACAGTACTTACTGCAGATGCCAGTGGGCAAAATTCAAATTTTGGCAAAATAACGAGGCAACATCAAAGGCTCTAGGAATCAGGGTTGAAATTCCTATATTGGCCCCCTGCTATGTTTAATGCCATCCACCATAAATGATGCAAAATGCAGCTCTTTTAGTATCAGTTGTGGCCATCCTTCTTGACACTCTCCAAGGCATCAATTGTCCATATTACTTCTTTATAGCTCATCTACAGTCATCAGTTCATGTCCTTCTCCTACCTCCAGACAGTCAGAATCTTTCCATCATCGATAACATGGATGACTTCATCATCTGACACCTCACTCTGTATTATTTCTTGCTCCAGTCTTGTTCCTAGGGAAGTGTATATTCGCATTACTTTCACTTTGCTTGTATTACTTACACTGCTTAAGTCATTCCTCCCTTGTCTGGCTCAGTTAATATGGTCTCTCTTAAATGCTATCTCTCCATGAAATATTCCTCTACCACTATTCTCCTATCTTCCTTAGAAAAGTTAGTTTCATCTACCTTTGCAGGTTGTATTTACACCAGTGAATGATTATTTGCCAGTATAAACCTCCTGGACTACAAACTCAATCAGGGTACAGATGAAGACCCAGGCTGTAATCCCTGCAAAAATCCTGGCACACAGTAAATGCTCAAAGAAACACCCCTTGGTAGATAGGCAGGCAATATATCTATATATTAATGAATTAATTTCTTCCTGATGCAGAAGAGCAATCAGTCTCCCCTCTGCTATGGAATGTGTGAAAGCAGAAGTGAATCTCATTTAATGAGTCACAGTATTCAATTTCTTAGATTTTTCAATGGTCTTATACTGATAGTAAATTTTATATTTCTAAGAGAAATAATGAGTACATCTTAAATTTCTTTTTTGATCTTGTTTTCTGAAAGATAATCTACATATAATTTTTCATTTTTAGTAAGCTTAGAATAAGAGAACTAAGTATGTTTTAAGTATGAAAGTAAATCTTATCAAGCTTAGTTGACTGGATGATTGAAAAGGACGAAAAGTGGTGAATCACAAAAAAGACATAAATGCACTTTTAATATTTCATTTGAAGTCAAAACATGTAAACATATATGGGTTTGCTCATCAGTTGATATGTGAGTCAGTATATGGTATTTAAAGCTTGTTCTCTGGAACCAGATGTCCTGAGTTCAAATCCCATGAAAGATACTGAGCAGCTCTATAACTTAGGGAAATTATTCATTTTCTTGCCTCTCAATTTTCTTGCCTCTCAATTTTCTCGTTTGTAAAATTTGGAAGAAGAATATTAAATGAGTTAATTTTATAAAGCTCCTAGAACCCTGTGTGGCTCATGCTATATACATTTGCAAAATGTATATATGGTCCCAGTCACTGCATGGCTATAAAAATGCATCTCAAGGGATTTTTGTAATGGAAATGTCCTGTGTCTTGACTGTATTGGTGGACCCACAGATACACACATATGATGAAATTTCATAAACCTAAGCGCACCCGTGCACATGCACACATACACACACATACACACATACACACGAGTGGCTGGGAAACCGGTAAAATCTGAATGAGATCAACAGACTATTTCAATCTCATCCTCATTATGATCTTGTACTATAGTTGAGCAAGGTGATACCACTGGGGGCATATGGGATCTCTCTGTATTGTTTCTTACAACTGCACATGAATATGCAATAATGTCAAAACAAAAGGTTAAAAATAAATACATGGGCTATTGATAGTGGTAAGCATGTGTAGGGACAGGGGCTATACAGAAACCCTGTAATTTCCACTCAGTTTTTCTGTGAACCTAAAACTGCTATAAAATATAAAGTCTACTAAAACAACCAAACAGTGTTTATTTTTGTTTTAGGAGGAAATATGGTCAAGTCATATTTTTTTCTTATCCTTTCAATTTTGTCTGATTATCTTCCTTGTGATTTTGCCTAGATAAATCATACTCCGAATGCATATTCTGCAACTCAAAGATTTTATTCATTAGAGTAAAAAAGTTGAAGATATTTTAATTGCCATGTGTGTTTCAAAGCTTATTGGTTTTTATATTTTTTCTCCATCTTTTATAGTGCCTCACATACACCTAATTCAATGGTAGCTCTTGCTGTTATTTTTAGAGATGTAACTTCTTCAGTTCTCACCAAATATGTCAACTTATTTTTAAAACACTGGTTTATTTTCATTTTACGTGTACATTTTATCAGATCTTTAAATATTTTTATTAAATTATTTAATTACAGTGGCAACCAGCAGAGTATAGCCATGAACATTCAAAGGTACAAGTGAGGCTGGGCACGGTGGCTCACACGTGTAGTTCCAGCTCTTCGGGAGGCCGAGGCAGGTGGATCACTTGAGGTCAGGAGTTTGAGACCAGCCTGGCCAACATGGGAAAACCCCGTCTCTACTAAAAATCAAAAAATTAACTGGACGTGGTGGTATAGTCCCAGCTACTCCTATCAGGAAGTTGAGGCAGGAGAATCGCTTGAACTCAGGAGGCGGAGGTTACAGTGAGCTGAGATGAAGCCACTGCACTCCAGCCTTGGCAACAGAGCGAGACTCCGTCTCAAAAAAAAAAAAAAAAAAAAAAGACACAGGTGAAAAATTCAGATAATGGGAGTGGACATCTAAAAGGTGGGTGGCCTCCAGCAAGGACCAAGGCTCCCTGGATTTCCTGTGGCATAGTTTACAGCAGAAAGGGAAAGATGGTTAATCCAGCCAGTTGACTAAGTGGAACTCTGTGCCGTGAGCGCCTGCTTTTGTTTTGGGATCACCAGCAAGACAGAGACATATTTATCTTGCCAGCTGCAATCCGCTCAACTTAGTGATTAACAGCTACTACTCCAGCTGGTCAGATATTTTTCTGACCTCCTCTAGTCTCTAAGCATATCTCTCTGCTTCTGTTTTAATAATTATTGTATAAGCATGAAAGAAGTAAGGGCAAAGTACCAGATATGTATATGCCTGAAGAAAATTAAAACTTGAAAGGACTGGCCGGGTGCGGTGGCTCACTCTTGTAATCCCAGCATTTTGGGAGGCTGAGGCAGGCAGATCACGAGGTCAGCAGTTTAAGACTAAGCTGGCCAACATGGTGAAACCCTGTCTCTACTAAAAATACACAAATTAGCCCGGTGTGGTGGTGGGTGCCTGTATCCCAGCTATTCGGGAGGCTGAGGCAGGAGAATCTCTTGGACCCGGGAGGCGGAGTTTGCAGTGAGCCAAGACCACGTCATTGCACTCCAGCCTGGGCATCAGAGCCAGGCTCCATTTCAAAAAAAAAAAAAAAACAAACCTTGAAAGGATTAGAAAAGCATCAGTAGCCTAATGTATGTTTTCCTACCACAATAGTTAACATATTATATCTGTGATTTGCTATGCACCAGATACTGGTTCTAATAGCCGATAGATACTAACTCATTAATCCTCACAGATACCTTGTGAAAGCGGCGTAAGAACAATCTTCACCTCCATTTTACAAATGCGGAAAGGGGAAAACAGAAAGGCTAAATAAGTTGCCCAAGGCTATATATGCACTGTGACACAAATGAAATCTGAACACAGACGAAGTGTGTCGAGTCAGTGCAGTTCATCTCTCCACTGCATTGCATCCTTTTGCATGATATTCTCTAAAGACAAATATCATTCTCTAAAGAATGGGCATTGAGGGCATTGGCACCAAAGAATTATTAAGCCAATGTCAGTTCAATGTCATTCAGTGTTCCTATTTTGTTATAATGTTCAATGTATTCGTTATAGCATTTCTAAATCAAAATAAGGATCTTTATGTGATTTTTTAAACATTAATAGATGTATTTTATAACTAGACAGGAAATTATGAATAAATATATGTACTAATTGTAATTTATGCTAGTAAATTAGATAAAAAGTAAGCATGAATTATGAAACGTTTTAAGTTAGGGAGCATTGATATAAATGTTACACCACGATTAAGAGTAAAGTTTAACAACAGTCTTCGGAAGTGTGGAAAATGGTTTTGATATACAGCTTTCATAAAAAGGAGCTTCAATGTTCACTCAGTGAAAGGAAAAGGCAGAAAGTAAATATGACAATAGTTTACCCATATTTTTAGGTTGTGGGAAATGTTTGCGCTTTTCTTCTATCTTTTCAAATGTATTTTTCTATAGGGACATAATAATAACTCATTAAAACATTAACATTGTAAAACACTTATTATACTATGCTACAAAGAAAGAAAACTGGTGCTATATAATTTTAATGATGGCGATCCTGAGTGTGGGAGAGGACACCAAGCCCCCAGATATTTGTTGGAGGTTCCTGACAGAGCACTGTAAAAAAAACCTTAGTACAGCTGCTGTCTATTCTGAGCAGAATTCTAATAGGGGATGCTTAAAATAGAATGCCCCTCTTCCAGGAAAAATGACCAGATACAGAAATAGTGTAGAAGGAATTAAAAGAGACTTACCTGGCTTGTTCGTATTTGTGTGAGTCTATTCCCTGACTCTGTGTCTGCAGAATTGAAGTTTCTGTTTAATTTCCTCTTGATAATATCAACTTTGGAAATACTATTAGGTTGGTGTAAAAATAATTGCACCAATCTATAGTAATGACTTTTGCAGCAACCTATAGTAATTCTAATATTATGAAATATTACTTATGATTTTTAACATTTAATTTAGTTTTTGTTTTTTCTTTTAGAGACAGGGTCTTGTTCTGTGGCCCAAACTGGAATGCAGTGGTGCAATTGTAATTCACTGCCATCTTGAACTCCTGGGCTCAAGTGATCCTCCCACCTAAGCCTCCCAAAGTGCTGGAACTACAGGCGTGGATGACCATGCCTCACCAAAAATGATATTTTGGGCTTTTGCTTTTGTCTTGTTTCAAGTTGGATAACTGGCTCAAAATAATCTTTAAAATGTAATGAGATTTTATGTTCTTACTATATACAATTTATATTATCTATATCTATATTTGTTTTCTTTGTGCTCCCTACATTTCACTATTTAGTTAACGCTCATGTTCACAAAGGAATTGAAGTTCTTGTTAGTAATCTATTGTTCAAACATTGATTATTTTTGACAGGCTGTCATAGGGTTTCTCTCAAAGTTTAGGTTAAAATTAGTACTCTGGCTTTTTTTCCTCACTGGTAAAATATTTTGGTTTGAAAATTTAAAAGTGTAATAAAGCATTTGACATTTTGGTATCTGTTTTTAAGTATTAAGAGAGCAAGGCCATAATGTAAACATGAAAACAAAGAAGTAGAAAAAGAACTCACCTAAAACGTTTTTGCTTGGCTATAAAATTTATAATTGCATAAGAATGTGTCTATTGGCAATCAGAGGGAACTGAGAGAAATGTCTCCGTAGAATACACCTTATATAGGAGCAAGAATTTTTTTCCACAAAAAAAAGTTGTGGTTGTTTTGTTTTTATAATTGTAAAGGTTAATTCAATTTTTCAAGCTGGAGCTCATACCAGGTAGTACATGGGTAGACTAAATTTCTTTCTTCACTCAATTTGTCTTCATGAATTGAGCTTGTGAATTGGACCTGCATTCACATTGGAGTAAACTCTGGCTATGTGAACAGAAATAAAATCTTTACAGTTTTATCAAGGAAAAAATAAAGCACAACTCTGTATGTTTGTTTTTTTTACTTTGTTACCTTTTCCAAAAAATAATACTAATAACCTGTATTCATTCATTTTATGCTGCTGATAAAAACGTGCCCAAAACTGGGTACTAAAAGAGGTTTAATTGGACTTATGGTTCCACGTTGCTGGGGAGGCCTCAGAATCATGGCAGGAGGCAAAAGGCACTCCTTACATAGTGGCAGCAAGAGAAAATATAGAAGAAGCAAAAGCAGAAACCCCTGATAAACCCATAAGATCTTTTGAGATTTCTTCACTACCGTAAGAATAGCACAGGAAAGACCATGATTCAATTACCTCCCCCTGGGTCTCTCCCACAATACGTGGGAATTCTGGGAGATAAAATTCAAGTTGAGATTTGGGTAGGGACACAGCCAAACCTTATCAGAGCCCAATTATTTTTATTCTATATCATTGTTATTTACCTTAGACTATCTGTTCTTAGGAGAAACACATTTTTCTAAATTCTCGGTAGTGCGAATAGAACTGTGACATACAGATTTTTATAAACTGTTTTTGATGACAAAGTTAACTAATTTCATTTTTATTGAGCATATTTTGTTACCTTTATGTTAAGATAAGGTTGTTTAAAGACCACTATGAGAAAGAGTTCTCAATTAATTGCTAGATCTCTTTAGTTGCTTCAAATATATCATACTGAAGATCAAATATCATAATGTAGAAATTTGGGAAATAATTAATGTGAAGTCAGGTCTTGATCACTCTGTAAATTCTCTATCTGTGAGTATTGTTTCGTTGTATGCAAAGTAAATAGGTAACTTCAAGCATCTTTTCATTTATATATTCTTCTGTCCTTTCTTTAATCACTTATTGTTTACCTCCTCTTACTAAAACATAAATTGAAATGCAGCCTTCTGCATTATACCCTACACTTGAAAACACTAAGCTTAATATAATATGAATTGTGACCTGGTGTCTGTACAAGTAACAGGGTGGTGGAGGCAAATCATGAGAAACATGCTATTTTCAACATTGTTCTTTGTGTCATTACTGGTTTAATGTATGCTTCCAAAATAATACCCCTGTTGTAAAAATCCTGAAAACCTAGTTTGTGCTGAAGTATGCTATTTTAATGAATTATAAATGACATACTTGACCCTAAGGAAGAACTAGGTGGTAATGAGATGTAATCTGTGCCTGACTAAACTACCTATTTCTATATTAATTGATGGGAATTTTCATTACTCTGAGTGCTTCAGGAAGCAATTGATTTAATTTCAAATCAAGGGAACTTGTCAGAACCTTAAAATATAGGCTTACGAAGAACTTTGTCAGTAGCAATTGTTCAAATTATGCACTGTCACTAATTAGCACCTTCTCAATGTGGCGAAGATCTGAGAAAAATCTTACATTATCTCCTGTGCTTTTCCTGGAGTGCTGTAATACATGTTCTTTAAATAAGGGCATGTTTAATAAAACATATTTTGTTTCCTTGAGAAATGACTGAAAGTCTTTAGTGGATTCAGGAAGACTCTAGAGATACCCAGGAAAATCCAATGGCCATGTATTAATTCCTCAAGGTATAGTAAGGGTTAGGTTAAACCATATGAAATTGCCATTTTTGAAGGTCGATATGAATAAACATAAGCAATATCTTATGGCTGAAGCTATTGTGATTTGATGTCATAAACCAAATTTTACAAAATTCGTTTTTCCTATGCTTTGTGTCTTAGCATAGCATAGGAAGCACAGAGTGTCTTTCTTTTTTCTTACCATAAGAGTTTTTTGAGAAAGTGAAGGTTATTTCAAAGCAATCGTCCATGCAAAATCATAAAAATGTATTGACAATACAAAACAGAAGGAGTAGCAATTTGTCTTTCAGTAATACTACTTTTTAAGAATTAAATAAAGGGTATTTTTTCAGTAGTTTAGAATTTTTACCTTAACCATAAACTCATGTATTGACAATAAACCTACAGTAACAGAATTTTAAGAATAATCTCTTTTTAAATTATTTTAATCTTAATGACCACATCAACTATTTAATGATAGTAGAAGTATTTTTAAATGTTTAAAACTAAACGTAATTCTTAATTTTCTTTATAAGTGTTACTTTACAATTACTTATTTAATAAAATATTCTTATTAATAACTATTTTCAGTTCTTTAAACTTTATATTTTTTGATTTTTAAATTAAATTTTAAATAGACAATTTCCCTTGACTTCAGAAACATAAAAAGCTATTTGGGTCCATATTTAGTTTATAGAGATTCTTCATCATTGAGAGGAAGGGCATCTGAATGCATCATTTACATTTAAAATTTTAATAAAATCAATATATGCATCAGGCACCATGATGCACTGCACAGAAAATAAGATAATGATGAATATGACAAAGATAACTCATAGTTTAATGGGGAGAAAAATCTTCATGCAATCAAATATAAACATAATCCAATATAAGTGGAGTTTAAGCACTCCTTTTAGTCAGCATCATTTACTTTGCTCTGCATCCTCCTTGGTTCCAGTCTCCATCTCCACCTTCTTTATTTCCTTCTTTTTTTGGTACAATCAAAACCACTGCAATAAAAAAAATTAAATATATCTTTATATACTGTGCATTTAGTTATGGGACTGTGCTGGGCCGAATGGCAGACATCCAAAGATGCTCATGTCCTAATTATGACTGTGATTATGTCTCTTTACATGGTTAAAAAACTTCTTATAAACTATTAAGTTAAGGATATTACAATGGGGAGAACATCATGGATTATCTGTGGGCCCAGTAGAATTACAAGGGTCCATATAATGGAGTTGTAAGAAAGCCAGACAGAAGTGACATTGGAGTGATGTGGCCGGGGCCAGTGAAGGTCATTGGCCTTCATTCCACCTCTGGAAGCTAGATAATGAGGAAAATATTCTCTGCTGAAGCCTCTAACATGAGCCATTCCAACCAACACCTTGATTTCAGCCCCATAAGACATATTTCAGACTTATCTCCAGAACTGTAATAGTATACATTTGTCTTGACTTCAAACACATAGTGCAGTAATTAATTAAAGCAGCAATGGGAAACTAATCAAGGCTTTAGTACTTGGAGGTGGGGTGCCACTGTACTCAAAAATGGTGAAGTTACTTTGAAATTGGGTGATGGGTAGAGAAAGAGACGATTTTGAGGAGTGTAATAAAAAGTGGCTATATTTCCTTGAACAGACTCCTAGTAGAAACATGTGCAGCTGGTGAGGTCTCAGAAGGAAGTGAGCAGCATGGTAGAGAAAATCTGTACCATCTAAGAAGTGACTAAGACATAATGCATAGAATACTGGTAAAAACATGAACATTGATAACACCGCTGGCAAGAACTCAAAAATAATGAATATGTTATCAGAAATTGGGGAAAAGGGAAACCTCATTATATGGTGACAGAAATCTTAGCTGAATGGTATTCTATTGTTATTTGAGAAGAGTAATTTATAAGCAGCACATCTGTGTATTTAGCCTAGGATATTTCCAAGCAAAGTTCTGAAGGTGCCACCTGGTTTCTTTCTGATAGTCTAGTAAAATCCAAGAGAAAAAAAGAAAAGACAGATTGAGGTAAGGACTGTCAAGCAAAAATGAATCAGGATTTGATAATTTGGGAAATTCTCAGACTGCCCAAATTGCAAAAGAGGCTAAAAGTAGGAAACTCACTCTTAGGAATGCCTGCCCTGGAGAGAAAGCTAGCGCCATGGCTGGATAATATTTGGTGGTGTGTCAGTTCCATAGTGATGAGGAAATCATGTTGTACGGGCCTGGGGAGCTTCAAAGGAGATCTTCTGCTTTGGCAATGAGAATATTTTCTTGATATTATCTAAACCCTTTTCCCTAGGAAAAATTTATCTTCTTCATAGTCCCTTTTGCCCTTTCTTGGAGGTTTGGTTTGTCTTTTGTTGTTGTTGTTGTTTTTGTTGTTGTTGTCCTTGTTTAGGTTTGGGGGTTTTGATTTATTTTTCTTTTGTTTGCACTATCCCGCCTGGCCATTTCTAAAAAGGGTTTTTGGAATTTTCTCTTCTTGGATTGATAAATTTTTGCAGGCCACATTTTGATGATTTACTTTATGAGCCCAAATATTATTTTAAATCTTGCACATTTAAAAGGAATTTTTATTTGGGCTTATCATTGCTTTGGTAACACAAATCGCCTAAAAATTCTGATCTGATTGTTTCTCATATGTTCATAGTTCCAGAGGCCACACCAAAGAATTCCTTCATAGTTGTAACACTGAAGTCTGATTTGTTTCTGTGCACCTCTGCCTCTATGCTGCCATCTCTCAAGTTAACAGCCACAATGTAAAGGTAGAAATCCAGACTTAATGTGATCATTGCCAGGGACGAAACATTATTAGCATTTACTCTAGAAAGCATTTAAAATCATATTGCCTACTGTTTGGGTTTCAGGAAGAGTTAGATTTTCCAATTTTGAGTCTTCAGGTTGTTATACTTTATAGTTACCATTTCACCTCTGCAAACAAGCCTTTCAATTATTTCCTAATCATTTGCTGAAGGACCCAATATCCACAAACATACTATGAACATTTTGCTTTTCAATGTTTTCCACTAAAGCCACTGAATGGAAAAGTGTTTGGTCTAAATCCAGTTTATTGCAAAGCAAAATTATCACTAAATATACTGGGAATTCTTATGATGACCTTATGATGACATATTATATTTCAAGACTCCAAAATGAGTTACCTCACCACCTACTACCCAACCACAAAATTCATGTCATACATAGGTTCTTATTATAACACCATACTTCCAATACTGTTTCAGCATTATTCAGGATGATGCTAGCTGTTGCCTAAGACAAAGTGTGATATGTATGGTTCAATATCATAGTCTGTGGTAGTTGTCCTGGTCAAGACAAATCACTCCTTTAAGTTGCAATTAAATAACACTTTTAAGAAGTGATTAAATCATTCCTTTCAGCAGCAAATGAGGACATGTGCACACACTCACACACACACACACACACACACACACACACACAGCCCAAATTAAAACATTAAAAGATGACATGACATGAAATACAATGACATTGATGGACCACCAACATCCAAATGTCAGGGAAAGAACAAGAAAAGAACAGATAAACAATGATTATATACATCATGTAGAAATTATGTACAAAGATGGTAAACTTAAATCCAAACGTATATAAATAATGGCAGTAAATATTAGTGGACTATGTACCCTAATTAAAAGGTAGAAAGTGTAAGAATGGATTAAAAAGCACGACCCAACCATACGTTACTTATAAGCATGTTTTAAATGAAAAGACACAAATAGTTGAAAGCAAAATAACAAAAATGTATATGCTATGGAGAAACTAAGAAGTATGTTGATGTGTCTGGATTACTATCAGACAAAGTAGATTTATGGAAGAGATTGTTGGTAGATAAAGAAGGTCATTTATTGATGATAAAAGTATCAATTTAAGAAGGCAAAATAATAAATGTTTAAATACTCAGTAGCAAAGCTCTCAAATGAATGCCAAAAACCCCACAAAACTAAAGGAAACTAGAGAAATCTATGATCCTAGTGAGAATCTGGCACAGTTTTTCCAGTAAATAATAGAAGAACTTGGAAAAACAGTATTAGAAAAATGCAATATTTGAATAATGCTATCATCAACTTGGTCTAATTACTATTTGTGGAACGCTACCCTCATTTGATGCAGAATATACATTTTAAAAAATTGCCCTTGGAACATTCACTGAGATAGACAATATAGTTGAACTATGAAAGAAATCCCAACAAACTTAAAATAATTAAAATTTTACATAATAATTCTCTCCGATCACAATGGTTTTAAATTAAAATCACTGATAGTAATTTTCCTAGAAAATTCCAATTGTCATAAATTAAACAATACATTAGGACATATCTCAGTCAAAGAAGAAACCACAAGAAAAATTAGAAAAACTTTTAACAGATCTAACTCTACACTTCTTAGAAAAATATAAATACATTAAAAATAACAATATTGAAAACGGTATATCTTGCTAACTCTAAGCAAAAGAACATTAGTGAAGCTGTATTTATGTTGGACAAAGTAGAGTTCAGAGTGATAAAAAGGGGATAAAGATGGTCATTTCTCATTGATAAGGGAGTCAATTTATGAAAAGAGCTTAAACACTCCTAAAAGTTTATGACCTAATAACAGAAAGTCAAAATATATTGGAGCCCAAATTGATGGAACTAAAAGGTGAAATAGAATAACAATTATATTTGCAGATTCCAGGACCACTCTTCAATAGTCCATTGAGTAAGTGAAGAGAGAGTCAAGAAAGATACAGAAAACTTTGACCCACTTGACATTTATAGAATCCAACTCTCAATTTAGGCAACATATACAAATGGTCCCAGACTTAACAATGGTTCAACTTACATATTTTTGACTTTACAATGATTTTATCAAGACGTAAGCCCATCGTAAATCAAGGAGCATCTATACTTTCTTTTTAAGGGCACATAAAATATATACACATATAAGTTGTGTTTTGAGCCATAAGACAAGTGTTCATTAACATAAATGAATTCAAATCCACCCTTTGATCAAATTTAATGTAATTAGAAATCAATAACAAAGGTAAATGCTGAAATCCCAATATTTAGAAATTAAATTATATGCATCTAAATAACTCATGAGGCAAAAAATAGAGAATTATATAGTATTTTGAAATGAAAGAAAATAGAACCACAACACATGAAAACTTGTGAGATGCAGATAAAGCAGTATTCAGGGAGAAATTTGTTGCACTACTACCAATAATACAATTAAAGACAGGCCTCAAATCAATGACTTCAGATACTACCTTAAGAAGTTAGAAAAATAAAGCAAAGTAAACCTAAAGTAAGTGAAGAAATAATGAGGATTAGATTAGTTATTGAAATAAGTAAAATGGAAAACAAAATCAACAAATCTGATTCTTTCAGAAGACCCATGACTTTTATAATCCTCTAGCCATACTGACCAGGAAAATTACAAGCGACACTCACAAGTAGTTTCTACAGTGTAGATGAGTTGAATCATTCCTCAAAGGACACAAATTCACAAATTTCAAAAGCATGTGCTCATCTTAATGGAATGGAGAAATGTCTAATATCTATTACTTGTGAAAACTCTGGGTAAATGAAACAAATTCAGCTTAACCTGATAAATGATATCTTCAAAAACTCTACATCCGAAATCATATATAACAATAAAAGACTAAATGTTTTTCCTCCAAGGCCAGGAACAATCTAAAAATGTCCACTTCACCACATCTTTCTAGCTAAATAAGCTTATTTAATGTTGGTGGGAACTATTAAGTTAGTTCAGTAACTTTGGAAAATGTAACATCAATATGTAAGAAAAAAGTATATTTGTATATACTAGTAACAATTAAATATGTAAATTAAAAACATAACATAGAATAGTAGTAATAATATATAACATTTGAGACAAATATGATGGAAAATGGACAACACACTTATTCTAAAACCTATACAATATTTCTAATAGAAATTAAATACATGGATTCATATACATAAATACACATATACAGAAATGGATTACATACATACATAAATGAATAAATACATCTTGTTTATGGTTGAAAGATTAATAATGCTAAATGCCAATTCTCCCTAAATTACTATAGGTTTAATATAAACTCAATCAAAATCCTAGCAGAATTCCTTTTGTCAGAGTTGGCCAGCTCATTCTAAAATACATGTTCAAAAGCAAGTTACTTGGAATAGTAAAAATAAATTTGAATATAAAAATTTCAGTTTAGTATTTGCAGAACTTGACTTCTAGACTTATTATAAAGCTACAGTAATCACTAGAATGGGGTACTGGCATCAAGAGAAGCAAATAGACAATAATTGGGAGTCCAGATTCAAACACATATAGTCATTTAATTTTTGGCAAATATGCAAGAGTAATCCAGTCTTTTCAACAAATGTATTGGAACAATTATAATCTTTTCAACAAATGTATTGGAACAATTATATACCCATATGTAAGAAAATAAAATTCCACCCATTTAATGTACCATACACACACACGAGTTTGGTAAGTTTTAAAAAGCTGAAGACATAAATGGACACTTCTCAAAAGAAGACATGCAAGTGGCCAACAAACATATGAAAAAATTCTCAACATCACTCAGAGAAATGCAAATCAAAATCACAATGTGATACTATCTTACACCAGTCAGAATGGCTATTTGTAATAAGTCAAAGAATAACAGCTGCTGGCTAACCTGTGGAGGAAAGGGAACGCTTATTTAACGCTGGTGGGAATCTAATTTAGTTCGGCCTGTGTGGAAAGCAGTTTGGAGATATCTCAAAGAACTTAGAACTACCGTTAGACCCAGCAATCCCATTATTGGGTACATACCCAAAGGAAATCATTCTACCAAAAAGACACATGTACTCATATAGTCGTCACAACCTGCTCATAATAGCAAAGACCTGAAATCAACTTAGGTGTCCATCAAGGGTGGTTCGAATAAAGAAAATGTGGTACCTACACATAATGGAATACTATATAGCCATGAAAAAGAATGAAATCATGTCCTTTGCAGCAAGATGGATGCAGCTGGAGGCCATTATCCTAAGCAAATTAATGCAGAAACAAAGACCAAATACCACATGTTCTCACTTATAAGTGGGAGCTAAACATTGGGTGCACATGAACATAAAGATGGCAACAATAGACATTGGGAATTACTAGGGGGAAGGAACAGAGTGGGGCAAATGTTGAAAAACTACCTGTTGGGTACTATGTTCAGTACTTGGGCAAAGGGCTCAAACATACCCAAAACCTCGGCATAGCACAATATACCCATGTAACAAATTTGCAATGTACCCCTGAATGTAAAATAAAAGCTAGATTTAAAAATGAGCTAAATATTCTAAAACTTTGAGAGAAAGGAAATCTTGAGGACCTGTGGTTACACAAAGATTTCTTAGATGCTATACCGAAAGCATGAGCCATAAGAAAATATATTGATAAATTTTCCTTCACTGAAATTAAAAACTTCTCATCATAAGACACTGCCAAGAGTATGAAAAGACAATGCATAAACTGGGAGTAATTTTTGCAAAGAAAAACACCTGATAAATGTTTTTTTTTCCACAATATTCAAAGAGTTGTCAAAATTCAATGCAAATAATCTGATAAAAATTCAATAAAAATAAATGAGTGAAAGATTTAGGCACTTCACCAAATTTATTTGGATGACATATTAGCACATGAAAAGAATGCTTTGGAGCAATGGGAATTTTCTAGGTCTTTACATATACACATTTGTAAAAATGTAAAAATTGAGTGTTGGGGTGTGGACGGCAAGTAAGGGTATAATGAACTACTATGGCCAACTGTTGACAATTGTCCAAGATTGAGGATGGATGGAAGGGGGATAAGTTACACTATTCTGTTTTTTCACATTGTATGTTTTTAAAGTTTTCAGGATAAAAAGTTAAAACAAACACTACAGCACAGGATTCGATATTAGTTTCCTGTGTGTCTAGCTCTGGATCACCTGTTTTTTGGCTGTTTATGAAGGAGACATGATGTCCTATATTGTATCCCATTGGTATTTAAACTTTTGGCTTAATTTTGCCCTCTGTCTTTCCTGCAAGAAAGTATAATGGTTACACATACTTAAGTATATATAATTAAGCCAAATATATTTTAATTAAATCCCCGTAATTAAATACATTTTCTATTATTTTAAACAAACACAAATCTCCTCATCAAGACAATTATCACTCTCTTTGCAAACAAATTTGAGACACTAAGAAAACCAAACTTTTTTTTTTTTTTTTTTTTAATCCCAACTCGATTCCCAACACTAAAGTTGTGTTGACTTGATTTAAACTTATTTGTTTTGGACTATTTTGAGGACTTTTTTTTTTTCTTTTTTTTTTTTTTTTGAGATGGAGTCTTGCTCCGTCACCAGGCTGGAGTGCAGTGGCGTGATCTCGGCTCACTGCAACCTCTGCTTCCCAGGTTCAAGCAATTCTCCTGCCTCAACCTCCCGAGTAGCTGGGATTACAGGCGCGTGCCACCACGCCCAGCTAATTTTTCTATTTTTAGTAGAGACAGGGTTTCACCATGTTGGTCAGGCTGGTCTTGATCTGGTGACCTGGTGATCCACCTTCTTTGGCCTCCCAAAGTGCTGGGATTACAGGCATGAACCACCGTGCCCGGCCTAGGACTTTTTTTTAAGAAAGTGTGTTTTTTCTCAGGTTTGTCAAAGATCAGATAGTTGTAGATATGCGGCGTTATTTCTGAGGGCTCTGTTCTGTTCCATTGATGTATATCTCTGTTTTGGTACCAGTACCATGCTGTTTTGGTTACTGTAGCCTTGTAGTATAGTTTGAAGTCAGGTAGCGTGATGCTTCCAGCTTTGTTCTTTTGGCTTAGGATTGACTTGGCAATGCGGGCTATTTTTGGTTCCATATGAACTTTAAAGTAGTTTTTTCCAATTCTGTGAAGAAAGACATTGGTAGCTTGATGGGGATGGCATTGAATCTATAAATTACCTTGGGCGGTATGGCCATTTTCATGATATTGATTTTTCCTACCCATGAGCATGGAATGTTCTTCCATTTGTTTGTATCTTCTTTTATTTCATTGAGCAGTGGTTTGTAGTTCTCCTTGAAGAGCTCCTTCACGTCCCTTGTAAATTGGATTCCTAAGTATTTTATTCTCTTTGAAGCAATTGTGAATGGGAGTTCACTCATGATTTGGCTCTCTGTTTGTCTGTTATTGGTGTTATTGTCTGTTATGGGGAAAGGATTCCCTATTTAATAAATGGTGCTGGGAAAACTGGCTAGCCATATGTAGAAAGCTGAAACTGGATCCCTTCCTTACACCTTATACAAAAATTAATTCAAGATGGATTAAAGACTTAAACGTTAGACCTAAAACCATAAAAACCCTAGAAGAAAACCTAGGCATTACCATTCAGGACATAGGCATGGGCAAGGACTTCATGTGTAAAACACCAAAAGCAACGGTAACAAAAGCCAAAATTGACAAATGGGATCTAATTAAACTAAAGAGCTTCTGCACAGCAAAAGAAACTACCATCAGAGTGAACAGGCAACCTACAAAATGGGAGAAAATTTTCGCAACCTACTCATCTGACAAAGGGCTAATATCCAGAATCTACAATGAACTCAAACAAATTTACAAGAAAAAAACAAACAACCCCATCAAAAAGTGGGCAAAGGACATGAACAGACACTTCTCAAAAGAAGACATTTATGCAGCCAGAAAACACATGAAAAAATGCTCATCATCACTGGCCATCAGAGAAATGCAAATCAAAACCACTATGAGATACCATCTCACACCAGTTAGAATGGCAATCATTAAAGAGTCAGGAAACAACAGATGCTGGAGAGGATGTGGAGAAAGAGGAACACTTTTACACTGTTGGTGGGACTGTAAACTAGTTCAACCATTGTGGAAGTCAGTGTGGCGATTCCTCAAGGATCTAGAACTGGAAATACCATTCGACCCAGCCATCCCATTACTGGGTATATACCCAAAGGACTATAAATCATGCTGCTATAAAGACACCTGCACATGTATGTTTCTTGCGGCACTATTCACAATAGCAAAGACTTGGAACCAACCCAAATGTCCAACAATGACAGACTGGATTAAGAAAATGTGGCACATATACACCATGGAATACTATGCAGCAATAAAAAATGATGAGTTCATGTCCTTTGTAGGGACACAGATGAAATTGGAAATATCATTTTCAGTAAACCATCGCAAGGACAAAAAACCAAACACCGCGTGTTCTCACTCATAGATAGGAAGTGAACAATGAGAACACATGGACACAGGAAGGGGAACATCACACTCTGGGGACTGTTGTGGGGTGGGGGGAGGGGGGAGGGAGTCTTAGGAGATATACCTAATGCTAAATGATAAGTTAATGGGTGCAGCATACCAGCATGGCACATGTATACATATGTAACTCACCTGCACATTGTGCACATGTACCCTAAAACTTAAAGTATAATAATAATAAAAAAAAGAAAAAAAAAAAGAAAGAAAGTGTGCTTTTTAAAATTCTATTCAACACTTATATAACACATTACATACCGACCATTTTACTATTCACTTTATATTCATATATACTGTAGGGGTATTTATACACAAATATTATATATTAAGTCGGTTTTATTTCCATATTTTTTGGTAAATAAAATCAATTAAATACAATCAACACAACCATTTAGAGATTTGCATTACTTGTGTATGATTCATAACGTGAAAGCCTGCCACTCAAGTGGAAACATTCTCCTTGGATTAGTAACCTTTAATATTTATAATCTATTTATTAAATCATCCATTTAAAATTTTCCTGATTTAATGATTTAATTATATATTTTATTTTTAAAACATTACTTGGTGCTTTTTAAAATGCTCTATATTCTAATGTAAAGAGAAAAAGAAAATATTCACAGAAAATTATATCGTCAAAATTTGTATATGTTCTGCTGTGAAATTCTATCTGAGCTTCTTCACTGTCGTTTCATCTTGCAAAATAATTGATTGGCAGCAAACAACAACAGCAACAAAAAAAAAAACTAGGCAAATGACCCCGATTATTATTTAATGGGATGGAGAATGCAAAGCCACTCTACTATGCCTGCATAGGTGCGTGAGATGACTGATGAATTGCAGAAAAATCAGGGCCAGGCGCAGTGGCTCACGCCTGTAATCTCAGCACTTTGCAGGGCTGAGGCGGGTGGACCACAAGGTCAGGAGTTCGAGGCCAGCCTTGCCAAGTTGGTGAAACCCCGTCTCCACTAAAAATACAAAATTAGCCAGGCGTCGTGGCACACGCCTGTAATCCCAGCTACTCAAGAGGCTGAGGCAGGAGAATCGTTTGAACCCAGGAGGTGGAGGTTACCGTGAGCCGAGATCGTGCAACTGCACTCCAGCCTAGGCAACAAGAGCCAGACTTCATCTAAAACAAACAAACAAACAAACAAAATCAGAAATGAGAATGGAAGGAAGCATTTAGTGTTAGAGGACAGAGTTGTTGGAGTTTGAAATAGTTTTCCCACACCATTACTTTGTGAAGTGGATTTTTAGGAGCTTTTTGTGCTTGTAGCATACTCTTGTTTGAATTAAAGATGAAGACATTTCTTGGCACTCTTCTTGCTTTATATAAATCATGTCACAATTAAATATGTTTAGAGATCCTCCGTTGGAAAGATTTTCTATAAAAAAGATTTTTTTTTAAATTTGCAACTTCAAATGCAATTTTCACTAATGAGACTCTTTAAATTCATATTTGTGCCTACTTACTGCACTTGGGAACTTTAAAATTGTATTTATAGATAGTGGAGTATATAAAAATGGAAGTCAAAAGAAAATAACAGTAATCAGATTTCCCAATTGGGTAGGTACATTATTTTAGTTTTTTCAAAACTGAAATGCTTAGAATTCTCTGTGGTGAGGGTGAAACAAATCTATATATAAGGATAAAATGGAAAATATAATTTCTCTTTATAAGATATTTAACTTGAAAAGTTCTAATAATATTCAGAAAACCAATTTTTCAGAATTGTAATATATGTTTTCATGTTTCCTTTTTATCCCCACAAAGGAAAAGTCAAAATGATAATTTTTTCCTCTTTTTAAAAAAAATTACTTTATTTCAATAATGTTTGGGGAACAGGTAGTTTTTGGTTACATGGCTAAGTTCTTTCGTGGTAATTTCTGAGATTTTGGTGCACCTGTAACCCGAGGAGTGTACACTCTGGCCAATGTGTTATCTTTTATCCCTCACCCCCTTTCCACCCTTCCCCCAAGTCCCCAAAGTTTATTATATGCTCATTGTGTTTTTGTGTCGTCATAGCTTAGCTCCCACTTATCCGTGAGAACATACAATAATTGATTTTCCATTCTTGAGTTACTTCACCTAGAACAGTGGTCTCCAACAGCTGGGCGTGGTGGCTCACGCCTGTAATACCAGCACTTTGGGAGGCCGAGGTGGGCGGATAACGAGGTCAGGAAATCAAGACCATCCTGGCTAACAAGGTGAAACCCTGACTCTACTAAAAATACTAAAAAAAAAAAAAAGAAAAAGAAAAAAAAAATTAGCCGGGCATGGTGGCGGGCGCCTGTAGCCCCAGCTACTCGGGAGGCTGAGGTGGGAGAATGGCGTGAACCTGGGAGGCGGAGCTTGCAGTGAGTCGAGATCGCGCCACTGCACTCCAGCCTGGGCAATACAGCGAGACTCCCTCTCAAAAAAAAAAAAAAATAATAATAATGGTCTCCAACTCCATCCACGTTGCTATGAATGTCATTATTTCATTCTTTTTCATGGCTAATATTCCACGGTGTATAAATACTACATTTTCTTCATCCACTTTTTGGTCAATGGGCATTTAGGCTGGTTCCATATTTTTGCAATTGCGAATTGCACTGCTATAAACATGCATGTGCAAGTGTCTTTTTCATATAATAACTTATTTTCCTCTGGGTAGTTACCCAGAAGCAAGATTGCTGGATCAAATGGTAGTTCTACTTTTGGTTATTTAAGGAATCTCCATACTGTTTTTCACAGTAGTTGCACTAGGTTTCTTGTTTCTTTGTTTTTGGTTTTGTTGTTTTTGTTTTGAGCCTCACTCTGTTGCCCAGGCTAGAGTGCAGTAGCATGATCTTGGCTTACTGCAACCTCTGCCTCCTGGGTTCAAGTGATTTTCCTGCCTCAGCTTCCTGAGTAGCTGGGATTACAGACACCCATCACCACGCCTGGCTAATTTTTGTATTTTTGGTAGAGATGAGGTTTTGCCATATTGGCCAGGCTAGTCTCGAACTCCTGACCTCAAGTGATCTGCCCATCTTAGCCTCCCACAGTGCTGGGATTGCAGGCATGAGCCACCGTGCCTGCCTGTGGTTGTACTTGTTTACATTCCCATCAGCAGTGTAGAAGTGCTCCCTTTCCACACCATCCATCCAACATCAATTTTTTTTTTGATTGTGGCCATTCTCACAGGAGTAAAGTGGTATCTCATTGTGGTTTTAACTTTCGTTTTCCTGATAATTTGTGACATTGAGCATTTTTTCATGTTTCTTGACCATTTGTATATCTTCTTTTGAGAGTTGTCTCTTCATGTCCTTTGCCCACTTTTTGAGCAAAGTAAGCAGACAACCCACAGAGTGAGAGAAAATATTTGCAAACTATGTATCTGACAAAGGACTAATATCCATAATCTACAAGGAACACAAACAAATCAGCAAGATCATTTTTTTTCCATGTGTCTTCTTTCTCAGCTCATTTCTTGTACCACATGCGCCATAGTAAGGAGAAAGTATCTTGTTATGTACAATTTACTGTTATAGTAATTTGGTGATTAAAAAGCACTTAATGAAATAATTCTAAATTGTTATATAAAAAACTAAAAATCAGCAGGCAGAGGCCCTCCTGACTGCCTTAATTCAACTGTACAATTGTATAAATCATTAAATTCCCAGGAGTCTCATTTTCTCATGTATAAAATGGTGGAGATGGAAAAAATGACTCTTAAGGTCATTGCCAGATCTGATATACTCTGATTACATCCCAGGCTGATGGTAACAAAAACACATGTGGAAAATATAGGGCTGAAAGGACTTTGCCAAGTAGTTGATTACTACGACATGCATCCTCACTGCTGTTACTAGAACAAGATTAGTACTATTTGTATCTTGTTTCAGTGTTTTTCAAACTTTGTTTCTCCTCTAGGTCACTTGAAATGAGCAAAATTCCATCATTAGCAATCTTTTTATGTGATGCTAGAGAGATTATTCTCCCGCTCTCCCAAATATTTCATTGTGTCTTTTTCCCAAATCTCAAAAAAAAAAAAAAAAAAAAAGAATTCTCTCATCTCTCACTCATAACAGATAACTTCGGTTTTTAATTCCCCTGGAAATGCAAAGGAATCTGATAGGAACTCCATCAATATCTCATCCTTAAAACTCTGAGCCTTTCTTCTTCAGTGCCCGTATTCTTTTTCTCGAGTTGCAGTGGAGGCCACATTGCCTTTGGGAAAATACCATCATCCCACTCACACTCCAGATGGACTGCTTCTTATCAGGGTTACTCAAGTTTTTGCCTCATTCTTCTACTGGTTGTTATTTAAAATATTTACCAAATGGTTATGACACAAGCATAGATCACAGAAGAGGAAGTCAGCACTGAAAACCAGTCCTGCTCTTTGGAATCACCCCTTCCTCTCTCTCGCTCCCTCTCATCATATCCATCTGCCTAACACGGTGCTTGACAACTTCCCACCTTAAGAAAACACTTCCTTGGCACCCTGGGCTTCTTTGCCTGCCATCCAGTTTCAGGGCACTAAAAAATACAATTGCCAATATGGGATGCAATAAAGAGCAAATGGCAAGTGAAGAAGTGGAGATAATAAGATACCAATATTCATTTGAGTAGATTTTCTTCTAAAAGGAATCGTTGGGTCACACAGGCTCCATTTCACACTCCCTCTTACTGCTCTTATCAAATCATCAGTGACCTCATCCTTGCCCCTTTCAGTGGATACTCTTCTGTCATTGATCCTACTTACTTCTTCATAGCAGTTTCTCCTCTCTTGCTCAGCATTTTGTTACAACATGCTCTATTTGTGTTGTCTTCTTCACCAGCTGCTTCCAAGCTTCCTTTCCTGTCTCCTACAACTTCCAAAAAACCTTAAAGTTTTAAGGTGCCACAAAGCTTAGGGCACAATACCTTATCTATTGAAAAACTCTATGTGATCTCATCCTTTTCTGCAGTTTAAAATGGCAATCGCACACTGACAATTACCAGATTTCTCTCTCTGACATTTATCCATCCTCTCAACGCTGAACACATATCCCAGTTGACATCTCCACTGAGGAGTTTCACAGATGGGTCAAATGTAACATATCCAAAACAGACCTCTTGTCCTCCTCTGTGTACGCCCTTCTTACTTTCATTTTAAACTCAGTTCTGGATAATATTATTTACCCAAATTCCCAAAGCAAAATATTTGAATCAAACAATCTTGTCCTCCTCCTCCCTAGCCAATATATTAGCAAGTATGGCCAAGTCTTCCTCACCTATATTTTTCAAAATCCATCCATACCTCTCTTTCTTCAATGCCATATGTCCTATTGCATTTAACCCTTTACTGGTCTACTGACTAGCTATATTACTCCATTTTCCTACTGCTTTGAAGAAATACCCAAGACTGGGTAATTTATAAAGAAAAACAGGTTTAACAGACTCACAGTTCCACATGGCTGAGGAGGCCTCACAATTATGATGGCAGAAGGCAAAGGGGGAGCAAAGGCACGTCTTACATGGCAGCAGGCAAGATAACATGTGCAGGAAACTTCTCCTTTATAAAACTATGAGATCTCATGAGACTTTTTCACTATCACAAGAACAGTGCAGGGTGCGGGGAACCTGCCCCATGGTTCAATTACCTCCTACCGGGTCCCTCCCACAACACGTGGGGATTATGAGAGCTACAATTCGAGATGAGATTTGGGTGAGGACACGGCCAAAACATATCACTAGCTTCTTATTTTACAGATCTCATCTTGAGTGTCGTCTTCTCAGGATTTTCTTTCTTGAGTACTCTACTCAAGGTAACTCCACCCCAGCAAACCCAAAGTCCACACAGTTGGCAGCTCCCTGCTGTGTGGTTCAGTGCATTTCACTGTACTTCACACCATCAAAATGTGACATCCTTTGTGTGGGCCTGTGTATTATCTGCTTTCACCTTCTAAAGTGTCAGCTACATGAAAGCAAGTATCTAATCAATAAAAACATCCTTAATAAATAAATCAGTAGTAATAACTATCTTCTAGCTAAATCTAAATGGGGGAGAGGGGACCTAGCCCTCTACCTTCCCGTCAATTGCTTCATACTCATATAATACTTTAAAGTTTTAAAAGTACTGTATTATTACTGTTAAATCTGATCATAAATAATCCTTCAAAGTTAGTGAGATCCAAATAAATATATGCTATGCACATGGTCAAAACCAGTATCTAAAGTTAAGTGACCTTTCGAATATCATACAATAAACATTTTGTTTTAACAGTACCAGAATTTGAGCTCTCTAATTTTTCTTACTTGGGTATTGTTTATAGAAAAGTCTTAGTTTCTTGAAAAAAACTAAACATGCATTTGTAAATTGTTTAATGTATTTATAGGTAAAATTATTTTTCCTGTGACTAAACATATTAAATATGATTATCTAGTATCAGTTTATTCTGTATGACTATATATATGGGATATATATATCATTTTGTTATTGACACTAAATTGGTTATGTAAATAATATAAATGTGGGATAATTTATTCTTTTAAATAATTTTATTTAAAAATTAATCGAGTTTAAAAATAATAAGAAAATGGAATTTTTAACATTTTTAGTCTTCCCAAAGGAAAAAAAAATAACAGATGTAAGAATAAGAGTGTCATTATTTAAGTTATATATGATGTCATGACATCTAAGCAAAAATAAATGAAAACTGTATAGACTATCAAGACTATCAACACTAAAGAAAACCTTGAATTTGCACGAAAGACAAGACCTGAATGTAAGAGACAGGTTCAGTAGAAAAAGAAGTGTCTAATATCAAGTCAGAATGACAGGAGGGGCCCTATCCTGTATTTAAATGCTGAAAGGTGTAACAATGTACATAATGATCTACATGAATCACACAGGTCAAAGGATGCAGTGCCACAGAAAGACTGCTGAAGAATGCTGATAGAGACGTGGTTAGGGCAGGGAGAAAGTAGCAAACTAAGATAAGGCAAGTGCCAACCCTATTGTGTAACACAAAGCAGCCCTTTAATTTTAACTAAAAATAATTTAAGATTTGTCACCTTAATTTGGATGATATATTTATTGTGATAACAATCATCTTGTCACGGAATGGTTAAATTTACCTAGATTTTCAATTTAAATAAGAGTTGGTAGGAAACATCTCACATTGAAAATATCTGTTTCACAGCATTTGGTATGAATTGTGCTTAGAACAATTAGAAAAGAGGTTGCTATTGATGCAAATATATAGGAATATTTGTAAAAATTATATTACAAAAGCTAGTCAAGAAATCAAATTACACTGCCTCTTCCAGTGCCATTTCTGTGGGAAAGTGTGGCTATGTGTCTAAGCACTGTGAAAGTCATATCACATTATACAATGAATTAGGAGACCTTAGCATTCATTCATCCTCACCGTGAGCTGCTTTGTTGAGCGCTTTTGCATCTCCACATTAACCAATTGGGAAAATAATTGCATTAACATAGATAGTTGTACTGGAGGGAAAGGAAAAATATTCTTTTCTTCTACACAATGTTATTTTGTAAACAAACTCTACAGTGATAAAAAGGCCCCAGGACCAAACTGAAGATTAGCTAGAACACATTCTAGGAGCATGATTCCAATTATTGTGATGAAGCTGACCTATGTATCAAAGTGCTTGATAGTAGAAACTTCATTATATAAGACAGACTAAGCTAATGTGCAAACAAAGAAATATTGGAAAAATGTAACAAATTCAATGAAATGTCAATGCATAGCACGAATCTATTAAAGGGAAATCTCCTTTTGGCAGAAACAAAGGTAAATCACTATTGAGAACACTCAGTGGGAGACAGGACAAAGGGGTTCATGGGAAATATGTAAAATAGGAATGAGACGGAAGTTTTCCATTTTGGGAACTGGAGTTTCAATTTCTATAGGAGGATGAGACCTGGGCTGTGACCTGCTGTTGGTGAGAGTATGAAACTGATCAACTTTCATGAACCTAGGAGTTAGGCTTAAAGGATTGCTAATTCAAATAAGAATTATACAAATTTTGCACATAATCTCTGAAAGGCTTTCTATCCACTTGCATATTACTTCATGTCTAGAGCCTACACATGATTGTTTCGGGACTAATACAAACATATTGGATTTAGAGATTCTTGAGCATGGAAGATAGAAATAATATGGTAGAACTAGAAGAAGCAAGTTTCCCTAATGACCTGGTGGAGCAATCTGAATTGCCACCTATAGAATTCTTTCACTTGTGAAAATAAACAAAGATATGTTTAAAGCACTGGATTCAAGTCTTTGCTCCTGGAAGCCACAAGTAACTGCTAACTGATAAACTGATCTGGCGCCAAAAAAATTGATCCCAAACATAATTAGAAAAACAGATTTCTTCAATGGGCCACCCCATAATTATTTATGGTCTGATATGATATTTGCTCTCTTTTGATAGTTGAATGTGTTAACTTTTTTAAAAGTCATGCAAAATATTTCATACAATGCTTAATAAGTTACATTATCACAAATGTTCAGTATAATATTAGATTTCCCTTTCTTAACTTGTGAAAAAGCACTTTAGTCACAGAGAAGCTCGAAAGGTAGATACAGATACTTAAAAAAGTAAAATTGTAAAAGGAGCTGTAAAAATTTTCTTTAAATTATGACAGCTAAAAAACCCATCTCGTATCCCATTTTAGAAGAAGTATTTTAAGCATCAGAAGCAACACACAAAATGGTTTGAAGGAAATAGAGACAAGATAGACGGTGTCTAAAAAAAGCATGAAGTGATTATTGCAGAATTCACCTTATTGCTAATTATATGATGAGGTGGGAAATCCAAATAGCTCCTTTGTGCACAGACTGCAGATTTTCTAGAACATTTAGTAAAATATAAAAATAGTTTTTTTTTTTAAGTTTAGTTTCCCAATGCTGATCAGACAATGACCTCTATTACTGTTTGGAACAACAAAAAAAAAAAGTCTGACAGCTTATGAGTGAAGTCTACAAGTCACTAAAACCCTAAAAAGAGCATCTCATGAGAAGTCTATAATTGCACTCTGGGAAGTTTAAAAACTCTAGTGATGTTTTTAAGAAAATAGACCTTTTTGTATATCTTAGATCTTACCAACTTGGCTACTAATTTTGGTCTGCTTGCACACCAAGCTAGACAAGCAGTTAATTGCACTTAAATTGACATTTTGATTGATTCAAATGGTATTCCTGATGAATTTTACTATGTTGTAAAGAAAGAAGTTCAGAATGCTCAATAAGAAAGGCTTGGGGAAAGCTTTTGATGTTTAAATTTTAGAGTTGAGAAAATTAAGAACCAAATAAATTAAGTGACTTCATACTCGGTTAATCAGTAAAACAAACTAGAATTAGACCCAAGGCTCCTAAATGCTCTGGCCAGCTTTCTCCTGGTGGATGACACATGGTAATACAGATCATTTGATAGGCCAAGAAAACTACCAATATACTCATATTGATGGAATCTCTGTCTCTTGCATGCCCCCTTCTGATAAAGGCTAATACATCTATACCAAAAAAAAAAAAAAAAAAAAAAAAAAAAAACTATTTAAGAGAGTGTTTCATAAGAGAATATCCATTTCCTCACTAAAGCAATAATATTCGTGTACATTTTCCTCTAAAATATCTGTTTTATCATTATGTAGTGATGTGTTAAAAGCAAAGCAAAACTGGAATCAAAACTATAGCTATGTGCCTATAAGGTTTTAACAATTTGGAATGGAAAAAGCCACACAAACAGTAACTAAGAGATTCTATTTTATCCCAAAAGGATTTCAAGAAGTAAATCAACAATGTGAAAATACTAGTATTCTTGTGACTTATCACTCAATATTTTAAAAAAGAGGATTTAAATGAATTACTAAAAGTAACATGAGAAGAGTAAACTTAAAAACGATAAATCTAGACATAATAGAGAGATTAATCTATGTGACGTTTTAATGAACTTATACCTACGTTCAGTGGAATTTTTTTTTTTTTTTTTGAAACAGAGTCTCGCTCTGTTGCCCAGGCTGGAGTGCAGTGGCGCAATCTCGACTCACTGCAAGCTCTGCCTTCAGGGTTTGTGCCATTCTCCTGCCTCAGCCTCCCGAGTAGCTGGGACTACAGGCGTCCACCACCACACCCAGCTAATTTTTTTTTTGTATTTTTAGTACAGACAGGGTTTCATTGTGTTATCCAGGATGATCTCGATCTCCTGACCTCGTGATTGGCCTGCCTCGGCCTCTCAAAGTGCTGGGATTACAGGCGTGAGCCACCGCGCCTGGCCTGGAATTGTTTTTTAACATGAATTAATTCTTTACAGGTTCCTAATGCTGAGCTTTGCCCTTTTTCTTTTAGTATTTTAATCCTGACTAAAACAAACAAAATAGCGACTATTAAGAACATGTAATAAATACCGAATATGAGAGAAGCCCGCCCCAAGCTCATACCACAAACCTCCAGATAAAGCAACAAATATCATTTTAAAAACATGGAAAGAAGATTCCAGAAATGCATACATGAGCTTTCTTTTAGAGGAGCACAGTGTTATATAGCACAAAGAAAATGAAGGAATTAACAAATGAGGAAAAGCTATAAATGAAAAAACTACAATGATAGATGCAAATTTGATAAGCAAAACCAATAATGATGGTGGGCCACAGAAAGAGAAGATACTCACCTCACTACATTCAGCCTATTTCCTCCTCAACAGATAAAAGTTACTGAGAATCCCAAGTTAGAAGTGGCTCCAGTAGTGATTCCACTTATCATTCAAGGAGGTATTAAGGAAGGAAATTAGAAGCAGAGTGGTTAAATGAACTACAAAAGTATTCATCTGACCAAGAGCATTAGAGGAAAGAAAGAACAAATGTGTGCTTGTGGAGAGAAAGAAATTGGGGATAAAAGCAATCAAGTCAGAGGAGAAACAAAGAAACCCTCTTATTAAAGCAAACTGTATGGCTGAGAAACACTAGGATTTCAACTCAATTGCAACTGCAAGTGCATTCCTTGTGTATCTGGATAGACTCCCAACCTGAGAGGATGGCCCCAGGACAAGAGTTTTAATAACATCTACCACAAAAGACATATTGTAGGCTCCCTAGGCACTGGGTACCTTTTTTATCACCTGCACCATCCAAAGGGCTAAAAGAAAAATATTCTTTGACAGCAACCAAACTGAACTAAATGTTAAGGCAAACAATTGATAAAAACAAAATATAAAACATCCTGACCACTTGGTATTTATAGAACTAATATAATGGGCAAGAAATGATAGTAATGATGATGGCATGGTGGTGGTAATGATGATGATAGCCAACCCATTTTTAGTTCTTACAAATAGATTATTCATGGTTTAAATGTTTTACATGTATTTATTTATTCATTTCTCGCAACAACACATGAAAGTCAGTATTTTTAATATCTTCCTTTTCTAGTTGAGATAACTGAGGCACAGAGGGATGAAGTCTCTCATGGAAGACCAGGAACACCAGTACGTGGTAGAGGCAGGGTTAGAACACAGAGGGTTGCAGATAATCTATTCTACATGAAGCAAATAATCATATGATAACGATTTGTACAATCATATCCTCAATTGTGCAGGAGCTTTGCTAAACCTACAGTGCATAAGACACAGCCCTACCAGAATTTTTCTCCAACCATTCCCTCTGCTGGGAAACATCTTTCTCCAGCTACTCTCTTCTCATCCTCATTTCCATCAAGCCTTAGCTTCACAAGAGACCCCCAAGGGGTCTTAGCTTCTCAAAGAGACCCCCATCACACTTAGCTTCTCAAAGAGAAGACCCCCATCACACTTAGCTTCTCAAAGAGACCCCCAGGGGGTCTATTTCCCCTCAGCCTGCTTCTCCTCACTCTACCACCAACACTCCCGATGTTTTTTAACCTGCTCTACCCTCTATTTATTTTTCAGTCTGTGTCAACTTCTAACATACTCTAAAATTTATGTGTGCATTTCATTTATATTTTATTTTTACTCTCTTTTTGCTAGAATGAAACTCTATAAGAACAGGAATGTTTGACTCTTGTTCAGTGACGGAACAGAACTGTGCCTGGCACATTGTCAAGACGCAAAAAAGTATTTGTTTAATGGATAAATGGAAAATAAGTGAAATGTAAAAGGGACTGTGACAAAATATATCACTCAAGAAACACTAAAAAATGAATGCACTAGTAGCTTTGTAATAAATAGAAAAAGTTCTTTGAGAGCTTCACAAAAGGGTTTAGATAGAATTAATGGGGAATTATTTCAGCCTTGTAGTAGTCATTCATTTTCTACAAGTAAAATATTACAAAATATAGAGAAACAATAGAAACTTCCATTATTTTTAGAAAACCAGAATAATAATGATGGAACACTGAACAATAATAATTTGAGATGTATTATCTATTGTTTTAGCATATATGCTATGTTTGTATATGTGTGTGCATATATATATATGTACTGTATGTATGCATGTATGTATAAAACGCAATAACACAGTATTTTCCATGGTGTGGGAATATGACATTTTTATATAAACTTCTGATAGAGCAGATTAGCAATAAGCATCAAATTTAATAGGTATACATCTTAACCCTAAACTCTTACTTATTATTGTGAGTATATAATTGGACAAGGTACATAAAGATGTTTATGCAAGGTCATTAATTATACTGTCTTAAAAATAGCAAACCATTTAGAAACACTTCACATTTCATAATTAATTTGTAGTTGACTATATAAAATGCCCATGCAGGGAGCCTGCCACTGCTACTTAAAAAACAATATCTAGCCGACCCTGGAACAACACAAGTTTGAATGTCCCGAGTCCACTTCCACGCATATATTTTTCCAGTGAATCCAGTAGGCCTTTCCTATTGGTAGGTTTCACAACCACAACCAGAGATCTAAAATTCAATATTCCAGGCATCCAAAACCCGTGTATAGGGAGGATTGACTTTCCGTGTCTGGAACCCATAGGGCCACCTTGGAGATTTGAGTATGTTTGAATTTCAGTATATGAGTGAGTCCTGGAACCCATCTTCCACAGGCACAGAGGGATGACTGCCTATTTACATACATTGACATGGAGCTACACTATGTGTTACTGACTGAAACAGAGCATGCTTCCAATTAGCATGCATGTAATGCTATGCATGTTATGATACAGGTGTGTGAGTACGTGTGTGAGAGAGTGTGTGTACAGGTATGCTTCTGTGGGGGGACAGAGGTTGAAAGAAAATTGAGAATTTTGTTCTGGCACTTGGCATCTTGGGTAAATTTTCACTTTCTTCTTTATTCTTTTTGAATTGGATTATATTTTCTACAGTAGATATCAAAAATTTTAGGGAAAAAACTAATAAAGAGAGAAAATGAAGTTAGGAGAAGAATATGGGGAAAATGCATGAGAAAAAAGAACTACTTTCGCTGCATAGGTAAAATTGAACTAATGTATTTGACATTTTAATTAGATGTCCAGGTTTACAAAATGCCTGAAAAATATTAAATGACTTGGGAAGATAACTTTTATTGTACTGTAATTAATTGACATTATATAGATATAGCAACTCCCCTATTGAGAAGATCTACATTACTCTGAATTATTAAAATATTAGTTCTAGACTCTCTTATGTAAAATAAAAATGTCATTTGAAACCAAATAATTACTAGAAATTCATAGGGATAAAACAATATGCTTAGATTACTTTGTATTTTGTGATAAAACTGGAAAATTTCTCATCTCTTATTTTTAAATGTCTCTGCTTACTTATTTTAATAATTTAAAAGTAAAGATTTTTTTCATTATTCACTTGCCTGATGTCAGAAAAATAAAGCATTGATTACAGCTTGAAACAGGACTCTTGAGTTGAAGGATCAGAAGTAAAGAGGAAAAAAAATGTTGAAGGCAGAGAACTAAGAATTACATTTGGTGGGATAAAGGTTCATAGTGAATCATTTCCCAAATAAAGAAAAAAAACCCTGCTATTAAGAAAAATAACTATGTCACCATTTCTTTTGAATTTCAGTTCAATTATAATCCTGCTGAAGAAAGAATGAGGTGTGGAGAGAACAGACATTTGATGGGTGCTTATGATAGTACTTTGGGTTCCTCAACCCATTCATTCTTGACACTACCACCTTCACCCCACACTACATGTTCTATTTGAAAAAAAAATTATATAGTTTCAGAGTGATTAATAGACAGAATTAAGTAATAGGGTATGGATGGAGCAGGGCTTCTGTGATGACGTTGTCAGGGAACGTTCCTCCAGGTGACACTGGAGCTTGGGTTAGGTGGGGAAGGTGGAGACATCTTGCAGAAAGTCAGAGGAAGAGTGAAACAAGGGCCACAGAGAGAAACCAGATCTGTGCCTTAAGGGAAGGGCAGAGAGGCTTGTATGCCTGGGACTAGTAGCACAGCGGAGGAGCCCATTGGGAGCAGCATCAGATCAGGAGAGGAAGCAGGAGCTGATCAGGTCACTTCTAAGTCACTGTAAAGGCAGTCAAGGGTTTTAAAGAAAAGAATGAGATCGTATTTTTTTCCATAAACATGCCGCTAGCATCTGTACAGAGAATGAAACCTGGAGGATAAGAGCAGACGCAGGCAAAACAGTTAGGAGACGTTACAATCAGTGAGGATGACAGTCACCGGAAGTGCATGCCAGCAGCGAAATGGACAGGACATGCCAACTGCAAGAACTACTTTGGAAAGTAACTTAGAAACACCACTGAGGGAGGTGAGGAGCAGGGGAAAACAAAAATAAAAGGATGATTTTACAGAATGTCGTGTGTGTGTGTGTGTGTGTGTGTGTGTGTGTGTGTGTCTGTGTACGTGATATCACCCCAGTCTATAGCAAAGCAAACAATTGTTTCACCAAAGAAATAAACAAATTTAAGCAAACTTTATCAATACGTTTGAAATTATTATTATTATTATTTTTTGAGATGGAGTCTCGCTCTGTCGCCCAGGCTGGAGGGCAGTAGCGCGATCTCGGCTCACTGCAAGCTCCACCTCCCGGGTTCACGCCGTTCTCCCTCCTCAGCCTCCCGAATAGCTGGGACTGCAGGCGCCCGCCACGAAACCCGGCTAATTTTTTGTATTTTTAGTAGAGACGGAGTTTCACTGTGTTAGCCAGGATGGTCTCGATCTCCCGACCTTGTAATCCGCCCGCCTCAGCCTCCCAAAGTGCTGGGATTACAGGCGTGAGCCACCGCGCCTGGCTGAAATTAATTTTTAACATTAAAAACAATTCAAATTTTGGTTTTCCAGCCAATGAGGTCAATACTTATTTCACTGATGATACAACTTGTGGACTTTCTGCAACATAGCTCCAAGATTGAAATAAGGAGGACATGAGTGACAATCATGACAGCCGCGTGACTGATGTTTGGGCACTGAATTAAGTGGACTTCTTCAGCCAAGAGTCATTGTACAGATAAATCATAGGTATTTGGTTAATTAAGGTGAAAATATTTAGTTTGAGTAATAAATTTTAGTTAGCATTAATTTATTCCCTGATAAATTTCTAGCTTCATTTTGAAGATCTGAACTATATTAGTGAGAGCTCCCTAAAGTATACTGGGGACATTTTGAAGTATATTTAATTTACATTTTAATGTGGCAAGAATTTTTACCACTTTGAAAATGATAATTAATACATAAGTTAATCATTATATATAAATGCCAATTTTCCCCTTGGGTGTTCTCCACAGAATGAGTCTCAAATTCATTGTAAATTCACTACATATCACATCTCACACTTCACAGGTAAATTCACTTTGTTTTTGTTCTTTCAAAAATACTCATACTCTTTTTGTTTTTAAAGACACAGCATTGAGGGGAACATTGCCACTTCTGAAGGTCCTGGCAATGCCAACCGTGGCTTAACAGAAAATATGGGGAGGAAGCACGTACTGTGGCCAACTCATCCTGGTTTGCCTGGGAATTTCCCAGATTAAGCATGAAGAATCCCACATCTTGGAAAATATCCCAGTCCTGGGCAAACCAGAATGGTTGGCCACCATCAACAATGGAAAAAATATATATATGTGTACTATCCAGAAAACAACCAGCAGGAAACCTCGGGATGACGGATAAAGAAGATCTTTTGTGTATTATTACCCATATATCATTTTAACCCAGAGTCTCTATCCATGCATGTGCAAACCAAGTACAATTTCTAGACACTTTCTATTTTTGATAATATGGTCATGAGCATAGATCAAATAAAGCATGCCCTGAGAGGTAAGTGTGCCGTGCTGTGCTTTGGTAGAGCACCATGGAGATCACTGGACATTGCGGTCATTCACTCTTGAGAAAATGGAGGGAGAAAACAAAAGCAAGAACAAAGCATTGTCACTCCTTAGCTCCTTTCCAAGGCCTTCTGTGACAGCAGTGTGGGCATTTATCAAAGTAGGGCCCTGCTGTCCACAGCTGATTTCAACTTTCACAACAGTCCTGCCTGGCCGCTTTGAGTCCTGTAAGTCCTTTGTGATAAAGGGCATCGACTTGCTCTGACTTAAGGACCATTCCCATCATTTTTGAAAAGAGTGTCTCTCCTCACTTTTGCCTAGATCTCAATGAGCTGCCATATTAGTTTATATGTTTTCTATTGCTGGCTATGTCATGTTCCTGAAATTGAACAGGATCTAATAAAATATGGTACTTTTCATAATTACCATATTGTATTTGATGAAATAAATGATATTCAAGGAAACCCCTGAGTATCATTGCTTCATTATTAACATTGATAATGAGGAACTGTTTTCAGGCATGGAAAGGGCCTACAGTTGGGCTAGCACGACGATCTCTCACACACAGACCAGGAACAAGAAGTAGCGAGGCTAACAGAAAAGAACCGCACATGAAGTTGGATTTCAAGTTACAGTTCAAGATGGGACTAAACACAGTAGTGTTTCATTTGTATGATATTCTGAATGCTGCTTCTTAACACACATGCAATTTAATTTTAATGGGTATTTTACTGTGATTAATAAATGTCAATTCTCTGTGTTATCTTCGCATCATAACATATTCATAGACTTTATCTATGCCAAGAGTACTTTTATTGAACTTCATGTTCTAGAGAATTGGGGTGCTGTTAACAATAGTTTCACAGTTTATGTGTTTTGTAAAGCTCAATCTTTAATGAAAATGCTTTGTGAACTCACAGACCTGTTTCCTTGATAATAAAAGAGTAAAGAAACATAGAAAGGGCATGGATAGTGCAGATGTCACATACTGGATAAATTAACTTTAAGATTTGTTAATGGAAATACAATTTTTTAATACAATGAAGGATGATTCAGGCTGGCTAATTTAATCAGACTTGTTTTTTTCAAATTCATATCACCTAAACTTTATCCAGAATAACTTATACAGAATACCATTAAAGCCTACTGCTTCTAGGAGGTAGATACTATTACTTCTAATGAGTGTAGAAAGGTTATTTTTGGGCAATTAATTTTAAACATAAACATTTCTCATTTTAACATTCGCCTTTCATTCTAGACTTAGAAGAAGAAGCCATTATGTAAATGCTGCCGTGGAGGACCCTTCCCTCCACTTATTCAGAACCTCAAGGTCCAATTGATCTGTGATAGCGTTGCTGACAAGTTCAGTCACTATTGAGCATCACTGCTCTCCAATCCCCAGAGCACTTCTCCTTCATATTAATAGAGTGCGTCTTAGTTATAAAGCCCTTTCACACATGTGCACGCGTTACCTTCATCCCAAACTATAGAGTAGGCTGTTTTTTCTCTTCATTTTGTACCTTTTGAAACTGGGACTTCACTCACAACTGTAGTTCAGTAAGTGATACAGTTGGGTAAGACAAAGGACTACTCGCACCCAACCTTCTGGCTTCATGTCTAGCCTACATCACACACAGTGGCACTCAACTGTGCATTATTCTTGTTTGTGTGCACTTCTTGTACATATATGATTGGAATTCCAAAAAAAGTAGACATTTTAGGGTGCAGACTCAAACCTTTCTAGTAGCTCCTATAGCACCTGGTACAATCTGAGGCATCATGGAACATAGTATGAATTTAAACTAAAATTCAATTCACCAACATAAACCGTTCATTGACTGCATTTTTAAAGCAGGGTGCAAAGAAAAAAGATTTCAAATGTGAGGGACGAAAATACTCAGGCATGAGAATAGTTGGGAGAGGTAGTCCTCCATTTTAGCGTCTGGTAAAGGTCAGGTTTTTTGAAAGCAGATTTTAAGGTGGAGATTTGCATTCGGGAAATATGTTGAGTGCTCTCACTCAGCAGGATCTTCTCTGGGGTGAAGGATGAAGAAGGCAGGACAGGGCAGAGGGAGACGCTGGACCGTGAGCCCTCAGCCAATTGTCTGGAGAGCTCTGGAGTTGGATGGCCCTCTAAGTTCTCCCAACTTGGACAAAGGACATGGGTATATACCGCAATTTCAGGAGTCCTTGGAGTGACACTGTCCAGCCTCCTGAAAGGGAACCTTAGGTGAGGCTGCTCTCTTCAAATGAAGGGAATTCTCAGAGAAGGCCGAGGACTGACGGCTTGCCACCCAGCGCCACTACCAGCAGCTTGTAGAAAAAAATATTTTAAATGGGGAATACATGCAGCACAACATAGAATTCACCACTCCAAGAAAAAGGAAGAAGTGAGGATTGTATTATCTCTCTCTCAAGTGAAGCATTGCTGTAGTAAGTCTATAGAAAACATGCATACATGTGTAACTGCTGTCTTGAGCATTTCTGTACTGAGCACTTTATAGAGATTATTTTCATTAATCTTTACAAAAGCCTTAGAAGGCAATCACTATTGTTATTTTCTTTTTACAAATGAGGAAAGATGCTTGGCGTATCTGAGAAGGTGATAAAGGCCGGAGGGCTGAAGTGCAGACAGGGATGGAGAGAGTGGGACGGGGCATGGAGGTGAGGTAGAAGGAGGTCCTGTAGTGGGGGCCTGATGGGGCTCAGAACAGGTTGAAAATGTTACCAATAAACATGTGAGCCAGCAAAGATTTACAATTTCTGATTGTGTGTGTTTCTACCCCTCCCTACCCATTGTGTTTGTAATTTCAATTACAGACATTTCAAAGCAGCCTATCTTCATTTGAATAAGATGTGGGTATCAGCGAACTTTTAGGCAAAGAGGGAGCAAAATCAAAAATGTCAAACTTGAAATAAAAATAATTAGTAATATAATTTTTTAATTTAAAAAATCCATCTCCAATTTGAAACAGTCTTACTATGCCTCGTACAAGTTAGTATTTCTGTTGCAAATAGATTCAAGAAGATAGAAAAAGCACTAAATGGATAAATTGGAGAGGGAAATTATTTTGTTTTCTTCCTATTAATGGATAGGAAGTAATTATACAACTAAGATGATACTTTTTCTTATTATCCATCAAGGAACTTGGGACCCACAACCCATTTGTTTTCTTTAAGCAGAATTATGAATCATAGAGTAAAATTTTTCTGCCAAGTCTTAGTAGGACACTTTTCTTTCCTTACCCATAAATTTAATCACTCAGAATGTACTAGTGTTTATACCAAATATCTCCATTGTTAAATCTTGGTATAAGTTTTTACCATCTTCCTCCTACATTATTGCAATATTCTTCTAATTATCTCCTTGCTTCTGGTCTTGCCTCCATACAATTTATTCTATTCACAGGAACAAAAGTTTTTGTTTTTTTTTTTTTGAGTCAAACTCTCACTCTGTCTCTTAGGTTGGAGTACAGTGGCACGATCTCGGTCACTGCAACCTCTGCCTTCCCTGGTCAAACAATTCTCTTGCCTCAGCCTCCTGAGTAGCTGGGACTACAGGTGCACGCCACTACTCCTGGCTCATTTTTGTATTTTTACTGGAGACAGGGTTTCACCATGCTGGCCAGGCTGGTCTCAACTCCTGACTTCGTGATCGGCCCACTTTGGCTTTTGCCCGAAGTGCTGGGATTACAGGAGTGAGCCACTGTGCCCGGCCCATGTCACTACTATTCCATTGTTCATGATCATTGCTCATGACCTTCCAATGGCTTCCCTTGACTCTTCTGAATTCCAGACTCCTTAGCATTGTGTATGGGACCCACTGGTTCTGGCTCTTTGTCTGTATCTCGAGCACCATGTTGTGTGATGATCCCAGAGCTTGCCAAGTCTTATCCACTCTGATCTCGGGCCTCATTTTTCTAAAATGTGCCAAGTTTCTCCCTGTGCTGGGCCCTTTGCTTATTCCCTCTGGGAACAACCTCCACCCATGTGCTTTTGTGAGGCTGACCTGAGTCCTTCGCATCATTCAGGTCTCAACTCCAATGTCTCCATCTCAGAGAAGTCTTTTCTAAAGATACTCACTAAATTACCCACCTTAGCTCAAGCCCATGTCGCACGTTGCCTTCTTTTTAGTGTCTCTATCGTATTAACCACTCTCTGAAATTACTTAATTAATATGTATTGTCTATCTCTGAGAAAGAGACATCAGTGACATAGGAATAGAAATACGTGGTTTGATGCTGGGCGCAGGGACTCACACCTGTAATCCCAGCATTTTGGGAGGCTGAAGCAGGTAGATCACTTTGAGCTCAGGAGTTCAATACCAGCCCAGGAAACATGAGGAAACCCCATCTCTACAAAAAATATAAAAATGAGCTGCACATGGTGCTTCACACCTGTGTCCCAGCTACTCATGGGGCTGAGGCTGGAGGGTCACTTGATCTGGGAAGTGGAGGTTGCAGTGAGCTGAGCTTGCACCACTGTACTCGAGCCTGTGTGACAGAACAAGACCGTATTTAAAAAAGAAAGAAAGAAAGAAAGAAAGAAAGAAAGAAAGAAAGAAGAAAGAAAGAAAGAAAAGGAAAGAAAAGAAAAGAAAAGAAAAGAAAAGAAAAGAAAAGAAAAGAAAAGAAAAGAAAACTAAATAGATGGTTTGTCTAATTCTGTTTGTTATTGCATCCACAGAGCCTGGGCAGTGTCGGGCAGATAGTAGTCCTTACTAAACATGGTTAATATGCAAATGGGTAAATGATTAAATGATCAGAGAGCTAAAGTATCTTGCTTTGAAACAGATATTCAGATGTTTAAGTAAAGATGAGTTGCTGTAATCCAATGAAAGTAGAGACTTTCATAGCCAAGACAGCAAAGGAGAATTGATCGAGACCTCACTTTGTTCCCTGGTCTATGAAGTCTGAACTTCCTCAGGGCTTACACTCATAAGATCCAACTTCCGCAGCTAAAATGCTTCTCTCTTTCCCTCTCTCTCTCATTTCAAATTACTCCAGGTGCAAATACCAGTTTCCACAAGAAATAAATTCATACAAACCATTCATGACTCCATGAATTCATTCAAGCTATAGAAGATGATGATACAGTGAATATTTTTTTTTCAAACTGTGAGTCATGAAGTTTTTTTTTGAGGGGGTGGGGGATGGAGTCTCGTTCTGTCACCCAGGCTGGAGTGCAGTGGAGCGATCTCGGCTCACTGCAACCTCCACCTCCTGGGTCTAAGCAATTTTCCTGCCTCAGCCTCCCAAGTAGCTGAGATTACAGGCATGCACCACCACGCCTGGCTAATTTTTGTATTTTTTTTTAGTAGAGATGAGGTTTGACCTCATTGGCCAGGCTGGTCTCAAACTCATGACCCCAGGTGATTCGCCCGCCTTGGCCTCCCAAAGTGTTGGGATTACAGGTGTGAACTACTGTGCCTGGCCTGTGAGTTATAACTATTGATGGATCATAAAATCAATTTCTCAGGTCACAGCTAGCTATAAAAAAAAAAGGATAAAAAATATGAAACTTCAGACACAGAGTCAAAATTATTATTTTCTAAAATGTCCGTTTTAGTGTTACATGTGGATTTGTATCCCTAGGCAAAAAAAAAATATTATTTCCTATTATTTCTATTTTTAATTTTTGTGAGTACATATTAGGTGTATATATTTATGGGGTACATGAGAGATTTATCCTTGATCACAGTGAAAATGCTTAATGGCTCCTGACCTGGAGAGATGGCTCATCCAATCCAGGCTTTCCCCACCTTTCTGGCTCCACAGTTTCTACCCCTTTCCCTCTGATTTCCCTGATTAAGATTGGCAGCAACACCTACACTGTGATTACAGTTATCACCACTACATTGCTGCCAACACAGCCAGCTCCAAAATGCCCTCTTCATTTATGCAGAAAGCCTTTCCTGGCTTTGGAGCCTGTTTCCAAGCTTTTTCCCAGGCCTGGGGTGGGGAGAGAAGGGTGCCCACTCTCCTTAGGAGTAACTGGTCATTGAAATATTGCCCATCTTTTCTTTCTTTCAGATACTTTCTAGAGCAACTGTTCTGTAGCCTGAAAGCTGGGATGATGCTTCTGCCCATTCCTATTTGTAGGATTTTTTGGAGGGATTCGCAGAAGATTTCAGGAAGGAGAATCCCTTGCATAGAATACACAGTCTGATTTTTTGGGGCCGGCAAAACCTCTATTTATGCCGATTTTAGGGCAAAAAAATGTAATGGTTGTGTTTCTTCTCACAAAGGCAAAGGAACTGTTGATCAGAAGATACCCAACAGTAGCTAGACTGTTTACCCCAATGTAAGCATGGGGCAGGAGATTCAGGATTCTGCACCATGTTTTTCCCAAACTGTGTACTTTGAGAGCTGAAATCAACTATTTTAGGGACATTTAAATGTTTTTATAACCTGAAGTCATCTTATTTGGAGTGGCTTTCTTTCTTTCTTTCTTTCTTTCTTTCTTTCTTTCTTTCTTTCTTTCTTTCTTTCTTTCCTTCCTTTCTTCCTTCCTTCTTTCTATAAATATGAATAAAAATAGTTAATTCCCTTTGAACATATCTGACAACGATTACTTGTTAAACATTGTATTTATGTGTTAGATACTTTAAATTCCTTAGAAGTCAAATATTAAACTAAAATCAATGCAGAATTATAACACATAGGTCAAAAAGAGATTCAAGCATAGCTGGACTGGCACTTTTTCTTCCCACTATCAAATAAGAACGCCTCCAGTTTGTGAGAGCTAACTGGAAAAAATGCATTCTTTTGTGATTAAAATAATAGCAATTGAAACTAGCTCAGTGTTTTCCCAAAACATTAGTGACATAAAAATCACTTACAAAAAAATGAGATGGGTGGATAAAGCCTTTTTCATAAATTCGTTGAATTCCAATCCTCATCTGTTTAATCTGGTAATAAAAACTATTTACTACAATGATCTTTATCACTCAATAGGAATAAGAAATGTATCTTTTAAAAAAATGTTATAAAACTCTGTAACCTTGTTAAACTGTCACTAATAAACATGTTAGAAAAAACTTAAAATGAACCAAACAAGATAAAGATGTTGATTTAAAAGAAGTAAGAAGAAAAAGACCAAAGCCCATAGCTTTCAAAGTCACTCAGAATTAATGCAGAAAAATGTTGACCTCGGTCACTGCGTTGGATGGTGTTCAAGGAAGTCAACCAAGGGGCCTAGGTAATGAGAAAAATGCTGTCAGAACCGTATGCTTGTTTACTACCTGAGGGCTAGTGGCACCAACTAACAGTTACTGAATAAAGGCCTCTCTAACCTGCTCCTGCTGAAGGAACTGGCGGCTGTGCCTTCAGTTGTACCTATAGGTACTGAACTCAGCCTCCACCAGGCCTCCATAAAATGAAGCTACTTTAATTGACAAGAAATAATTTCTTTCTATTCTATGATACTCATCTCTTGCAGCAATTTGTTTGCTAATATGCCAGCAATCGATAGATGATGGCAAAGAAGAAATTTGTTTTTGAAAGCACTCTTCATTAAATCATACTGGCCCCACTCCCTGCAACTGTAGTTTGCTTCATTATTCAATAACACTCTCAGACCCCATGTGTGTGGCTCTCATTATTACAGATCATTTTTCCTTAGGATGTGTGATTTAATTTTAATGCCTGAATCAAAATCAAAATCCTCTGCTATTTAGACACTCTCTAGCGTAATAAGAACGCGAGGTTTATTTCACCTTTGTGCTTGGGAATGTTTTGTTCTGTTTCTAAATTATGATAAAAACCAATATGAACAAAAGGACAGTGAAAATGTGGTATAAAGTTTTCCTTCCTTAGATAAATATGTGATTCAATCTCCTCCTGAAACAATGCTGTTCCTTCTAGGTACAGCTTCCTCGTTCTTGGTTGATGCAATCATTTAACAAAGTTTTAGTTTGAAAGGTATAGTTAGACCTCTGAGCCATTTCCTTTTGGAATATTTCACATGCTTTGCTGTTCAAAACTAGCGTGTTTTTTGTCATCGCTCTTTTAATTCCTGGATTGCTCATGCACACAGTACCCTCTTTCATTGCTGGTCTCTTCAGAACGCTAGCAAAAATTAAAGCATTTCCCATGCTGGATAATTTCCAAGACAAGCCATGATCTAATAGAACAAATTATTTTCTTTGTTTCCACTCGGAAGCTAGTAAGTGAAAAGCCATCTTTCCAGCCCACCTTCTGAAGATGCAGTCTCTGGCAGGTGGAATGGCTTTGACCCTGTGGCAGTTGTGGCCCAATTCCCCCGTCCCCTAGAGGGCCCACACGTGCCACCGTATGGTAGAGCCTGTTTATTCATCTCTGAGGAAGTTGTTAAATTAGTGTTTAATGAAGGGCCTAGTGAAAGCATTCCTCATTTCACAAAATTTAAATTTCAAATATGCGTTTGGAGATGGGGTGAAAGTATCAGCTCAAAATACTACCACAAGGCAAAAAGGAAAAGTGTTTAAAATCAAGCAAGAAATACTTACATTTTGAAAATAACAGTGTATTATGGGTTCCTTATTTCACACCTATGTGCCAAAAGTTGATGCTTCTCTTCTTTTTAAGGAATACCTCTCACTACACGTGGAAAAAAAAAATAATGCTGAGTTGTTTCATATCAGCTCCTGAGTCATCCCAGGAGTAGTTTTTCTGTTGTGTCTGACACTCCTCCAGCCTCAACATCTCTTCCTAACCTGTAGGCCCACCCAGGAGCCCAGGACATGGGCCTTTGGTGGGCTGCTGCTTCCTGGCCTTGGGCACTGGGCGAGATGGAGAGGGAGACTGCCCTTGTTTTCCTCCCCTTTATTTATTCCTGCAGAGTCATCCCAAGAAACTATGCAGGATGATCAGATTTTACTTTAGAAAGTAAAAGGATTTATTAAAAAAAAAAAAGAACCAGCTTATTCCATGCTATGTACTACTTTTCACAGCGATGCAGGAGAAAGTGTCTATGGAGAAACACCCCTCAAATGCAATATGTTCCTGGAAATCCCCAGTTCCTGACCTCACTCCCATGTCCTCTGCCAATCATAGGATGCTCAATTCACTGTTTTTGGAAGCCCACTAGGTGCTCCAAACTCGAAATTCTCCCATTTCCTGAGTCCCCACTGGTGTGAGATGTTACATCTAGATCTACCCAGAGGGTTTTGGCAAGACTGCTTTTAACATTTCAAATTCTGGAGAAGTGCAGAAGGGGTATTTGGCCCCTTAGTTCCTCAAAATAGTCCAGAGTCAGTGTGGCTCCACTACAAGTCCTCTTTCAGTGTGTGTATTACTGGCTCACATTTTTGAATTGTGCCTTGATATGGTTTGGCTCTGTGTCCCTACCCAAATCTCACATCAAATTGTAATCGCCACATGTCAGGGGAAGGACTTGTTGGGAGGTGATTGAATTATGGGGGCAGATTTTCCTCTTGCTGTTCTCATGATAGTGAATTAGTTCTCACAAGATCTGTTGGTTTAAAAGTGTGTGTCACATCCCCTTTGCTCTCTCTCTCTCTTGCTACCACAGGAAGAAGGTCTTTGCTTCCCCTTTGCCTTCCATCATGATTTTAAGTTTCTTGAGACCTCTCAGTCATGCTTTCTGTTAAGCCTGTGGAACTGTGAGTTAAATAAAACTCTTTTCTTCATAAATAACTCCATATCAGGTAGTTCTTTTATAGCAGTGTGAGAACAGATTAATACAAAAAATTGGTACCAAAAGAATGGGGCACTGCTATAAAGATAGCTGAAAATATGGAAGCAACTTTGGAACTAGGTAACAGGCAGAAGTTTGAACAGTTTGGAGGACTCAGAATAAGACGGGAAAATGTAGGAACATTTGGAACTTCCTAGAGACTTGTTGATTATTTTGAGCAAAATGCTGATAGTGATATGAACAATGAAGTCCAGGCTGAGGTGGTCTCAAATGGAGAAAAGGAATTTATTGGGAAGTAGACTAAACGTCACTTTTGCTATGATTTAGCAAAGAGACTGGTGGCATTTTACCCTGCTCAAGAGATCTGTGACATTTTGAACTTGAGAGAGATGATTTAGGGTATTTGGCAGAAGAAATTTCTAAGCAGCAAAGCATTCAAGAAATGGCCTGGCTGTTTCTAAAACTCTATGCTCTTTTGCATGAACAAAGAGATTATCTGAAACCGAAATGTATATTTGAAAGAAAGCCAGAGTGTAAAAGTTTGGAAAATTTGCAACCTGACCATGTGGTAGAAAAGAAAAACCCATTTTCTGGGGAGAAATTCAAGCCTGCTGCAGAAATTTGCATAAGTAAAGAGGATCCAAATGTTGATAGCGAAGAAAATAGGAAAAATACCTCCAGGGCATTTCAAAGACTCTCATGGCAGCCCCTCCCATCACAGGCCTGTAGGCCTCAGCGGGAAAAATGGTTTTGTTGATTGAACCCAGAGACCAGCTGCTTTGTGCAGCCTTGGGACATGGTGCCCTGCATTCCAGCCACTCCAGCTCCAGCCATGGCTAAAAAGGGCCAAGATACAGCTTGGGCCATAGCTTCAGAGAGTGCAAAACCCAAGCCTTGGTGGCTTCCATGTGATGTTGGGCCTGTGGATGCATAGAAGGCAAGAGCTGAAGCTTGTAAACTTCCATCTAGAATTCAGAGGATATATGGAAATGCCTGGATGTCCAGAAAGAAGTCTGCTGTAGTGGCAGAGCCATCATGGAGAACCTCTACTAGGGCAGTGCAGTGGGAAAATGTGGGGTTGGAGCACCCACACAGAATCACCACTGGGGCCCTGCCTAGTGGAGCTGTGAGAAGAGGGCCGCCATCCTCTAGACCCCAGAAAGATAGATCCACTGACAGCCTGCAGAGCCAGAGACAGGGAGCTGCCTAAGATCATGGGAACCCACCTCTTGCATCAATATGACCTGGATGTGAGACATGGAGTCAAAGGAGATTATTTCAGAGCTTCAAAATTTAATGACTGCCTTACTGGGTTTCAGACTTGCATGGAGACTGTAGACCCACTGTTTTGACCAATTTCCCTATTTTGGAATGGGAGCATTTACCCAATGCCTCTACCCCCATTGTATCTTTGAAGTAACTAAGTTGTTTTTTATTTTATAGGCTCACAGATGAATGGGACTTGCCTGTTTCAGATGACACTTTGGATTTGGACTTTTGAGTTAATTCTAGAATGAGTTAAGACTTTGAGGGACTATTGGGAAGGCATGATTCGTTTTGAAATGTGAGAAGGACATGAGATTTGGGAAGGGCTGGGGCAGAATGACATAATTTGGCTCTGTGTCCCCACCCAAATCTTATGTCAAATTGTAATCGCCATGTGTCAGAGAGAGATCTCTTGGGAAGTGATTGGATCATGGGGACAGATTTCTTCCTGGCTGTTCTCATGATAGTGAGGGTTCTCATTCTCACAAGATCTAATGGTTTTTTTAAACGTGTGTTGCACTTCCCCCTTCACCTCTCTCTCCTGACACCATGTGAAGAAGATCCTTGCTTCCCCTTTGTCTAACACCATGATGGTAAGCTTCCTGAGGCCTCCCAGTCATGCTTCCTGTTAAGCCTGTGGAACTGTAAGTCAATTAAACCTCTTTTCCTCATAAATTACCCAGTCTCAGGTAGTTCCTTATAGCAGTGTGAAAATGGACTAAGACATGTCTGATGTGTAATTGTTGAATAAGAAATGGGTGTGCATGCATGCACACACACACACACACACACACCTGTGTCAAATGAAAAAATGAAATCTGTAGCATGCAGACTGCCTAAAATGCTTGAAAAAATAGAAAGATTTTCCCAAAGCCAGCACAACTTGAAAATTTCCTGAAGTTAACCCATCAAACTTAATTCCTTCTGATTTCCTCTGGACCCTTTCGAATGGGAACTTCTCGGTTCTTCTAAAATTATATGGGCCCAATTGCTGAGCCGTATATTTCTCAGGGACTAGTATATTATCTAAAAATTCAGCAGAAATTATATATATATATATATATATATATATATATATGTGTGTGTGTGTGTGTGTGTGTGTGTGTGTTTGTGTGTGTGTGTTTGTGCAGTATGGTGTTTGTATATAATTATTACTTGTAAAAACAAAATTAAATTATTACATATGGTTTCCTCCAGCTTTGGATCACTTCAAAGAGTATTAATGAATGGTTAATGCATTAGCAAAGTGATTCTGACTTTTGACAAACTAAAAATGGTATTCAGCTAAATCTTTCAAAATGAGTGGTTTAAGAAAGGTTTTCACAACTAAAAATATTTTTAATGTAAGACTTGAGTAGTTCTTAAGGAATTGTTTAGATGAGCTCAAATGCATGCCGTTAAAACAATGGAATGTTGCAATCACAAATCTAACATTGTAGGAGAGAGAAAAAAAGCCAACCACCAGAAAATTCCAAAATATTTCAGTTAGGATAATTAATCCAAATTCTGTTTAGACCTAGTGTTAATCTACTCATGAAAACAGCTTATTAAATGGAATTCAACCATCACAATAAAGAAATCATTGTGCAATTAATTACTCGTAGATTTTGTGGTGAAAATTTCACTTATGAAAGAAACAACATTTGCTATAATGAAGCTAAAAGATAATTAAAATCAACTGGCATAGAGGGCCACCGTGCCATACTGTTTTCTCAAATAACTTGAACCATAATTAAATATTTAGGTGTGATATTTTAATTGTTGACATTGATTTATAAATAGTATTATAATGTGTGGGAAATCTGTGCTGCTTATTCAGCTTTCTTCATTGGTTGTATTTTTAAAAGTTCAACTGTTGTGACTGGCTATACAGAGCAAGAGTTAAATGTTGCCCCAAATGAAAGTTTAATTAGAAATATTCTAACCTGTTGATAATATATTCTGAGTCCCAAATGCAAGTCACTTTTATTCAGCGAAAGATACTTTATACACCATGTCATTCCATTCTAAGTATTAGAAACAAGACTTCTTTTCTGTCTCTTAGTGATGGGTCAAAAAATAATATGAGTGTTATTTAATCCTATTTTTTAAAAAATTAAAAAATTGGCCCCTCATTGCTAGAAGAGGTTGTATATATACTGACTAAAGACATTGACTGTAGCTTTACAGACTAAAACTTTATGGTATCAAGCTCTCTTGATGTGTTTTTTCATGATGCAGTTAATTGGAGGGTGGCAGTTAGTTTTGGATTAAGAATACTTTAAACCTACCTGACACTGGTTTCTATAATTTACAATAATATCAGTTTTGATTCTCACTTCCAAGTTTCCATTTTTATTGATGACTGACTTGTTCTTTGTTTGATAAAATGAATTTGTACATTTGACCTAAAATAGACACATTTTTGTTCTTTCAAATGAGAGTAACGTTTTATTTTTTCTGCAATATTTATCTATGGATATATTGCCATTTATTGTCCTTTTATACTTCAGTTACCTGAAGTTGATATTTCTAAACAAATGTATAAGCCACAACACAGATTATCAAGTCCCTTCTTTTTTGTATATGAATTTGCATGTTATATATATCTTATTTATTATATATGCATGATTATATATATTTATAATGATATAGTCACACTTATGAGAAACAGAAAATAAATCACCTAGTATAGAAATTACACATAGCTCCAGTATTAATATTGTAGTATTTACATATATATGTTTACTGTTATAAATTTAGGTATAGCAAAGTTATAAGTAGCAATATAATGGATATCTACATTATTATATTAATCGGTATGAACAAATCAGGCCATGCGTATCCCTCCCATTCTATTGTGCTCACATTTTAAGATTATTATTCAAAAAAGGTTTATTAATGTGAAAAGTAAACATACTACTCTCAAACCTTTCTGAAACTTCTGAATTAAAGCTATTTACTTGCTCTGGGACTTTAAGATATATATTCTATTAAATACATGTAGTTTATAATATCCAACCTCATTATTTTTATAACTAGAGATGACCTGGTGGACTTAAAAAGTGAAAAGGATATAATAAAAAAACATTAGAGACCAACAAGCCATGTTTGAACTTGACATTTGCGTGTTTTCTATTCACAGTACCTGGATCTTTGTGTGTCTATAACAGAAGAATATGACTGGGCTTGGATATATGTAGGATGGTTAACAAAAAAAGAAGAATGAAGAACAAGAAATTTTTAGGGACACTCATGCGGTTTTTTAGTGGTGTAGTCTGAGCCCTCTGCCTCTGTATACACATCAATTGAGCAAAACAACCTGTCTTCCCAAAACATGTTAGTGAAATACTGCAAAAAAAAAAAAAGGCCTTCACTAATTTAGCACGTTGAATACTATCCACAGTTGATAAACGAAAGGGCTAGATTAACAATCTCGTTGCTTTTCTTTTCTGTAAACTACATTTGACTACATTGTAAACTACTATTTCCAACTAACTTAATCCAAATCTTTTATAAGGAACTATAAAGACAAATTTCCTCAAGAGTAGTCCCAGAGAAATCTGACCTCTCTTAACATAAAAGACCTATTTTGTATTAAGTAACAATAACAACATATAGTATAAAATCATTTTTTTGGTCTTTTTCCCTCGGATAAAAGGAGTCTCTGAGATAAATTTGATATTGTGTTGAATAATAATAGTACAGGTGAATATTATTTTTCCCTTCACCTTGATCACACATTTTAACATTATTATTTTAACTTTGAGATCCTTCTATTATTCAGATATAAAACATAAGAAACTATGGTTTCCATTTAGAACCCTTTTCCTGCTGCTAAGATTTTTTTTTTTTGTAAAAGGAGTCAGATGATGGAGATCTATCTGTTATTCAGAAACACATAGCAAAATTAATATGAAATTGTGGTCGGACTGAATGATTTTATTCCTTAATGGTTAGCTGTAATGCAATGTAATATAAAAATGTTAACAATTGAGAAAACACATATAAATAAAGTGACATGGCAGGATGCACAAAAGAAGGCGTCAGAACTAATGATCCTTCTTCACGTACTGAAATCATTAACCATTCCCTTTTTCCGTCTCTCTTTCTTGGGCGCTCTGTCTTATCCTCTCTTTCTTCCAGTCCTTATCATAAGACTTATCATATAAAGTACCTCTTTACAGACCGTATAAATTTTATAGCCTATATTGAGTTCAATACAAGGACATTTAACTATCCACTTAGCTCATCTGAGGCTTTGAGGGAGGAGGCGAGGGCCTTGAACTCTCGGTGTTTCATTCTTGCAAGCCTTTGTCGGGGCTTTCAGGATACATCATATCTGTAAGGCAACACCCTGTCCACGTTTCTGCACATCATTTGTGTACAAGACTCAGAACTGCCACTTCACATCACAGTACACTGATTTTTAATGTTCTTCTAATTTAGGCAAAGATGTAGAAATCTTAGCTCAGTTAGGCTGCATGCTGACCTGTGTTTGAACTTCCTCCCAGCTGCTCCTGGGTTCTTACCAACATTGTTTTAAGCTATACAATTTGGATGAAGCAATTTCAAAAAAAAATTTTAAGAGGTTTATGACTTTTTTTAAAAAAGTGTTTTCAAGAAAAACAGCAAACCACCATGGCACGTGTATACCTATGTAACAAACCTGCACGATCTGCAAATGTACCCCAGAACTTAAAGTATAATTAAAAAATCAATAATAGATATGAAATTGAGAAATGACAGTTATGCTGCTGGATTCAGGCAGACACGTATTTTCGCTCCCCGGTCTTATTTGGTCTTTAGAAATATTGCTATTATATCTTCCGCTACAACACTGCAGTTAGGTGTTCCTTTTGTAGACTGCACTGAGTTGGGTGCACCTACTTTGAAGAGCACAGATATGTCACAACCGTGCTAGCCAGGTGTTTTGTGGGATTTGAGGAGTGAAGAAGTGAATTATTTTAGGAAAGTAGGCAATACAGTGCCCAGGCATAGGTGTATGCAAAGAGATAATCCAGGAATTTTACAACTGAAAAGTTCAGTACAGTTGCAGTAATCGCTTTTAATAGAGATTGAAACACAGGGTTGTGGGGGAGATACAACATATAGAAAGCATTTAGGATATATAGGAACAAAAAACAGAGTGACAAATGCTTTGAACTTTGTTGTGTCTCTGTTAATTATAACAACTATACATATACTAAATGTGGCAATTTTCCTCACTACTGTGTCACCTTTCAAAACAATTTGGTAGAGCAAGGCAGAATGAAAGTGCTCCTAAGACAAAACAATTCTACTCTGTATGTAAAATTTATATTATAGGAAGTTTTATAATTTGAAAAATGCATCCACTCTTAAATTCTACTCTGTAGCTTGAAAGTAGTAAAAAGCTAAATTGAAAATTTATCTTTCAATTGTTGTCTTCTGAAAGATATGCCATATAGCTTTGGTTCATCTCCTGCAATACATTTAAATTAACAAGGGTTTGAATAAAGATTATTATATGACGGTGCCTAAGATGAGAAAACAAAATCACTCAAAAGTACTGTATTCTCCTGCAAAAAGTAATGGCACTAATAACACAGCATATTTCTTTTTCTTTTTTTGTGCCTTTTTCTGAAATAATTTTTTTAAGTCAGACATCTTTTCATTTGCAATATGTAAATTTGTTGTGTCTGACTTATAACTTTGAAAAAATCTTTTAAATTTTATATTTTTTATATGTTAAAGTTATATTTAACAAAATCAAAGTGTTCAATGAGTTTTCATGATTGAATATCGCTGTGAAAACACTGTCCAAAGCAAATTGAGAACATGTGTATTACCTAGAACGTTGCCTTGGGCCCCTGAGTCAGGCTCCCACTGCCCACACCATTCTGATTTCTATCACCCCAGATTGGTTTTGTTTGTTCTGGAACATCATAAAAATAGATTCACAGACTGTATGTATAAATGTATAAATGCAAAATATGCATATGTGTATATGTATATATATGTGAATATACATGTGTATATACATACACATATATGTGTATATGTGTATACATATATACATATACACATATATTTTTGTATCCAGCTTTTTTGCTCAACATAATGATTATGAAAATCATTCACATTTTTAATGTATTCACAGTTATTTTTTAATTGCTTAGTGATATTTCATTATGTAAATATAAGATATTCAATTACTCATTCATATATTGGTGAACACTAGTGTTGTTTCTAGTCTAGGGCTTATATGAATGAGACTACAATGACTGTTCCTGTATGGTCATATTTTAGGACCAATGTTTTTATTTTTATGGGGTAAATACCTACTAGAGGAATCATTGGGTCAGAAAGTGGGAGTATGTTTAACTTTAGATGAAACTGCAAAGAGTTCTCCAAAGATTTTTTTTTCTAGGCCCATAAGAAATGTAAATAAATACCAAAAACTCTTTCTTCCCACTGCCACGTATTATTGTCAATTTTTTTAACTTTGGTAATTCTATTTATTGAGAAATTATATTTTATTTAGATTAAGCTTACCTTCCCCGTAAGATAAAGATGTTGAGCATTTATTTCTTTAGATGCTAATTGACCACTGACATATCTTCTTTTTCAGGTTGTCTACTCAAGTCTTTTCCCCATTTTCAATTTGGCCGTTGTTTTTATATATTTCCTTCAAATATTCTGAATGCAAACTTTGCAGCTGTTTTCACCGAGTTCATGGTTTGCCAATAATTTTAATAATATTTTATCATAAGCAGAACATTTTAATTTGATAAAGTTTTATTAATCAATCCTTATACAGTTATTACTTTTAGTGAACACTCCAAAAATCTCTGCCTACCTAAAGGTCACGAAAATATCCACCTATGCTTACATCTAGTTGGCTTACAGCTTTATATTTTACATTTATGTCTGTGATTCACCTCAGATAAATTTATAAGTAAGGAGAATGGTAATTTTTTTTTCATGTTCAGTTATTCTAGCATTGTTTATTGAAAAGACATTCCTTTCTCATTAAATTATTAGGGAGCGTTTTCAAAAACAGATGTCCATATGGTGTTTATTCTCAGAGATATTTTAGCTTTTAGTGTAAAGGTCTTACATGTCTTTTTTTCCCTAAAATTCTGTTTTTATACTTCTTGTCCTGTTGATTGCTTTTCATATTTAGAAATCGTGATGTTTTTTCTCTGTAGACCTTGGATCAACTAACCCCAGTAAATTTATTTATTAGTCACTAAGATTATTTATATTTAGATTTCTTAAAACTTTTGCCTAAGTAATCACATCAATTGTGAATAGTTTTATTTTTTTCCTTTCAAAATTTACATATTTGCTTACTTATACCAAAGCACAGTGGGTAAGACCTGTGTTACATTGTTGAATAGAAGTGGTGACCGTGGAAATTCTTGTCGTGTTATTACTCTTAGGGGAGAGTGTTCAATTATTTCACTGTTAAATATGGTGCTAAATATAGATGTATTGTAGACGTCCATAGATTGAATGAAGTTCCTGCTGTATGTGAGTTGCTGAAAGAATTTATCATGAATATATATATATATTTTTTTCCAAAATGTTTCTTCAGTATGTATTAAGATGGTCACGTATATTTTTACATGATCATCTTAGTACATACTGAAAAAACATTTTAGAAAATTATTAAAAAGTCAGGAAACAACAGATGCTGGAGAGGATGTGGAGAAATAGGAACACTTTTACACTGTTGGTGGGACTGTAAACTAGTTCAACCATTGTGGAAGACAGTGTGGCGATTCCTCAAGGATCTAGAACTAGAAATACCATTTGACCCAGCCATCCCATTACTGGGTATATACCCAAAGGATTATAAATCATGCTGCTATAAAGACACATGCACACGTATGTTTATTGTGGCACTATTCACAAGAGCAAAGCCTTGCAACCAACCCAAATGTCCATCAATGGTAGACTGGATTAAGAAAATGTGGCACATATACACCATGGAATACTATGTAGCCATAAAAAAGGATGAGTCCATGTCCTTTGTAGGGACATGGATGAAGCTGGAAACCGTCATTCTCAGCAAACTATCACAAGAACAAAAAACCAAACACCGCATGTTCTCACTCATAGGTGGGAATTGAACCATGAGAACACTTGGACACAGGAAGGGGAACATCACACATCACACATCACACACCGGGGACTGTTGTGGGGTGGGGGACGGGGGAGGGATAGCATTAGGAGATATACCTAATGTAAATGACAAGTTGATGGGTGCAGCACACCAACATGGCACATGTATCATATGTAACAAACCCACACATTGTGCACATGTACCCTAGAACTTATAATTTAAAAAAAAGATAATCATGTATATTTTTAAATTCTGTTAATAATTGATTTATTTTTAAATGTTACACCAAGGGTGCATTTCTGGTATAAAGTCAAATTAGTCATGATATATTACCCCTTTTATGTACTACAAGATTAAATTAGCTATGTGGAGTTAAGGATCTTTGTGAGTCTGTTCATTAGGAATGTTGATCTATAATTTTCATATTTTGTCATTTCTTTGTTTGATTTTGCTATCATGTTGGCCTTGGACTTTAAAATGTAATGGAAAGTGTTCCCTCTTCTAAAATAATCTGTGTAAGGTGGATATTAGTTTCACAGTATCTATTCCTTATATGTTTAATCTAATTAATCAATAAAACCATCTGTGTTTGTAGTTTTCCTTGTTAGAAGATACGTTTTAGTACTAATTCAATTTAATTAATAGATACATTGTTATCTAATTTTTTTCTCTTGTTTTGTTTTGGTAAATTGTACTTTTGAGAAAAGTTTGTATTTAATCTGAGTTGCTAAATTTGTTGATACAAATTGTTCATAGTATCTTCTTATTTTTAGGATATTTAATGATGTTCACACTTTTATTTTTGATATTGGTAATTAATTGCTCATAGTATGTTCTTATTTCCAGGATATTTAATAATGTTCACACTTTTATTTTTGATATTGGTAACTAGTAATTCCCTCTCTCTATTTCTAGTTCTAACTCATTATAGCTGTTTTATACCAAATTTATTATCATAGCATGTCTATTTCTTCCTTTAGTTCTAGCATCTTTGCTCTGTGTATTTTGAACTCCCTTACTAGGTTTATCATGTTTAGGGCTGTTATGCCTTCTTGATGAACTTGCTTATTATTACTTTCCTCTATCTTTTTATTTCTACTAATGTTCCTTACCTTGAAGTCTGTTTTGTCCAATACTAGTATTTTCATACCCATTCTTTACAGCCGTTGTTATTATTTTTACTTTAAATATGTCTGTGTTATTTTACTTTGATGTGTGTTATATATAGTTGTTAAGCTCATTAAATAAATTTCTAATATCTGTTTACTTTTTAAAATGTCTATCCTTCTCTTTTGATTCTTTTAAAAATTATTTCTGTCTCTTTGCTTAAATTTCCCATGTGTTCCAAACATGATGCCATCTTGTATACAGATCCTTTATTGTAAGTTTTACTTGAAGATTTTTGTTTGATTATATTAACATCTGAGTTGTCTCTGAGTCTACTTCTGTTAACTATTTCTCCTATTGGTGATGGGTCACTTGTTATATGTCTGGTAATTGCTTTTACTCATGTATGTGGACTTTTTTAGGAAGACAATGGTATAAGTGCATAAATACAAAAGCATATAAAGGATGACACACATGATATTCAGCCCAGGAAAGGACACACGGCTACTCCTGTCAGTAATCTAACGTGTAGACCTGAGTAAATGTAGTGAATGTATTCTCTACATAAGCTCGTTCTCAAGTTTGTTGTAGCATTTTTAGATTCAATTTACTGATAGTTACACTATTTTGAAAGAAGAATCAGGGCATTTCCCTTTAATATTGCTTGAAATCCAAGTACCAGTAACACTTTAGAGAGATCATTGAGATATGCAGCCCGCGCACTAGTTTTCCAAACCACTTGAATCTATTTCTTTTTTAAAACCAGGATTGCAGCTTTTTGAACTACTGGGGAACTCACTTTGCTCTCTAGTTCTGTCCCTGGAGTTCTGTGCATTGAGAAATTTCTGATTTTTTCTGCTCTGATCTCGCCTTTGCAGTAGTTTATTTGTACCCAGCATGGGAAGGAGGCCTTCAAGGAGCTCTTTCTCCCTCAGCTCTCTGGCCTTGTGCCCAGCCTCCAATAGGCATTGCCATGCACTTATAGAAAAAGGACTTACAGAAGGTACTCTGCACTCTACTGACCTGTCCTCAATGTTTGGAACACTGCCCATGTGCACTTGGTGGAGGTCTGTGGAAAGATCTGGGTTTAGGTGTGGATTGACGGTGGGTTTGGAGTGTCTATGGACTTCTCCATCCCTTGCTAGCCCATATAAAGCTGCTAAGTCCGCATTCCAGAGTTCGCTGGCTCTCCTGACTCTTGTCCATGGCATAGCTTCTTACCAACCAAGAGTGAACGCAGGCATGGGTGTCCTCTACTCTCCTCTGTCCTAACGTGTCCAGAATTTATTCCTTCCAGTGGGTTCTTGGTCTTGCTGACTTCAAGAATGAAGCCGCCGCAGACCTTTGAGGTGAGGGTTAAACAGCTCTTAAAGGTGGTGTGTCTGGAGTTTGTTCATTTAGATGTACAGATGTGTCCAGAGTTTCTTCCTTCCGGTGGGCTTGTGGTCTCCCTCACTTCAGGAGTGAGGCCGCAGACCTTCGCAGTAAGTGTTACAGCTCTTAAAGGTGGCGTGTCCGGAGTTGTTTGTTCCTCCTGATGGGTTCGTGGTCTCTCGGACTTCAGGAATGAAGCAGTGTGTGTTACAGCTCATAAAGGTAGTGCGGACCCAAAGAGTGAGCAGCACCAAGATTTATTGTGAAGAGCGAGAGAGCAAAGCTTCCACAGCATGCAAGGGGACCCAAGAAGGTTGCTGCTGCTGGTGGCTCAGGTGGCCAGCTTTTATTCCCTTATCACGTCATGCTGATTGGTCCATTTTACAGAGTGCTGATTGGTGTGTTTTTACAGGGTGCTAATTGGTGCTTTTACAAACCTTTAGCTAGACACAGAGCACTGATTGGTGTGTTTTTACAGAGCGCCGATTGGTGCGTTTACAAACCTTTAGCTAGACACAGAGCGCTGATTGGCGCATTTTTACAGAGCGCTGATTGGTGCGTTTACAAACCTTTAGACACAGAGCGCTGATTGGTGTGTTTTTACAGAGCACCAATTGGTGCATTTACAAACCTTTAGCTAGACACAGAGCATTGATTAGTGTGTTCACAATCCTTTAGCAAGACAGAAAAGTTCTCCAAGTTCCCAACTGACCCAGAAGCCCAGCCAGCTTCACCTCTCACTAAGAAGGGCTCATCACTTTTTGTACTATGGCTTATTTTTTTTTTTTTTTGCAACAACAATTTTAATGGACTAAACAATCAAATCTATGACTTTTAAAGGCTTAGTTAGCCTTCCTGGTTCTGGTATTAGGGTAGAACAACCGTTTTTTTGTGATTGCTACATCATAACTGTAAGTGAATTTCGTGGTGTCTGAGTTTTCAACAAATTCTTACTGTGTGATTTTTGTATTTTGAGCTATAGCAAATAATATTTATGTGTACCATCTAAAATCATGTCTTGAGGGACAAATTAATTATAACCCAAAACTAGAATCTAAGAAAAATTGTTCTATCTTATGGCTAAAGTTCACCACAGAACACAGTAAAGTATAGGGGGAAAAATGTTTTAATATGTGAAGTCTTTCTTTTCATGTTCTACAAGAACACGAAATATGGATACTGATTAGAAAATGTATAGGTTCACTGTAGAAAAGATTTCTTAAATTCATATTTTTGTAGTCTTCTAAATTTAGAAATCTGATTGTTTTGCACACAAGCTTTTTCTTCTTTTTGTATATATATTTAATTTTTAAAGTACAATATAAAATTAGCAATAAAGAATTAAGGAACAAGAAGATGAAATTAGGAAATACAGCAAAACCAGAATGGTGAGTTAATTTCTAATGCTTGTGCAATTATAGTAGTATTTATTGCAACTAGAAGCACCAAAACAATGTTTGAGTACCTATATATTAACATAAGCATGATAATTTAAGCTTTCTTATTTAGTAAGGGATATTTGGAGTCCATCTATCTCTATGAGTCTCTAAAAAGGGGCTTTCATAATAAATTCAGTTAACACCAATACTGGGCTTTATTGACATATAGTACAGGGAGTGTCATTTCAGTTACAGGGCTCTGAGCAGATGCTGGTCAACAGAAGCAGTAATCAGAACTGCATCCTTTCTTTCACACCTAGACAGTAGCATGACTACCAGTGATATTTTCTGGCTATGTCCCACCCAATCTCATCTTGAATTGTAACTCCCACAATTCACACACGTTATGGGAGGAACCCAGTGGGAGGTAACTGAATCATGGGAGTGGGTCTTTCTCATGCTGTTCCCATAATAGTGAATAAGTTTCATGAGATCTGATGGTTTTATAAGGAGGAGGTCCACTGCACACGCTCTTTCTTTACCTGCCACCATCCTTGTAAGATGTGACTTGCTCCTCCTGGCATTCCACCATGATTGTGAGGTCTCCCTGGCCACGTGGAGCACATAAGTCCATTAAACCTCTTTTTCTTACCAGTCTTGGGCATGACTTTATTATCAGTATGAAAACAGACTAATACAGTAAATTGATACCGGTAGAGTGGGGCACGGCTACAAAATACCCCAAAATGTGGAAGTGATTTTGGAACTGGGTAAAGGCAGGGCTTGGAACAGTTTAGGGAGCTTAGAAGAAGACAGGAAAATGTGAGAATGTTTGGGACTTCCTAGAGACTTTTTGAATGGCTTTGCCCAATATGCTGACAGTGATATGGACAATAAAATTCAGGTAGAGGTGGTCTCACATGGAGATGAGGAACTTGTTGGAAACTAGAATAAATGTGACTCTGTTATGTTATAGCAAAGAGACTGGCAATGTTTTGTCCCTGCCTTACAGGTTTAGGGAACTTTGAACTTGAGAGAGATGATTTAGGGTATCTGTTGGAAGAAATTTCTAAGCAGCAAAGCATTCAAGAGGTGACTTGGGTGCTGTTAAAGGCATTCAGTTTTATAAGGGAAGCAGAGCATAAAAGTTCAGAAAATTTGCAGCTTGACAATGCGATAGAATAGAAAATCCCATTTTCTGAGGAGAAATTCAAGCCACTTTTAGAAATTTGCATAAGTAATCAGGAGCTAAATATTAATACCCTAGACAATGGGGAAAATGTCTCCCAGGCATGTCAGAAGTCTGCATTGCAGCCCCTCCCATCACAGGCCCAAAGGTCTAGGAAGAAAGAATGGTTTCATGGGCAAGGCCCAGGGTCCCAGTACTGTGTACAGCCTAGGGACTTGGTGTCCTGCATCTCATGTGCTCCAGCCATGGCTAAAAGGGGCCAACATAGAGCTCAAGCCATTGGCTTAAGAGGGTGTAAGCCCCAAGTCTTGGCAGCTTCCAAGTGGTGTTGAGCCTACGGGTGCGCAGAAGTCAACAACTGGGATTTGGAAACCTCCACCTAGATTTGAGAGGATGTATGGAAATGCCTGAATGCCCAGGCAGAAGTTTGCTGCTGGGGTGGGGACCTTATGGAGAACCTCTGCTATGGCAGTGCAGAAAGAAAATGTGGGGTTGGAGCCCCCACACAGAGTCCCTAATGGGGCACTGCCTAGTGGAGCTGTGAGAAGAAAGCCACCATCCTCCAGACCCCAGAATTGTAGATCCACTCACAGCTTGCACCATGCACCTGGAAAAGTCACAGACACTCAACACCAGCCTGTGAAAGCAGCTGGAAGGGAGGCTGTACCCTGCAAAGCCATAGGGGCGGAGCTGCCCAAGACCATGGGAACCCCCCTCTTGCATCAGAGTGACCTGGATGTGAGACATGGAGTTAAAGGAGATCAGTTTGGAGCTTTAAGATTTGACTGCCCCACTGGATTTCAGGCTTGCATGAGACCTGTAGCCCCTTTGTTCTGGCCAGTTTCTCTCATTTTGAATGGCTGTATTTACCCATGTCTGTACCCCCATTGTATCTAGGAAGCAACTAACTTGCTTTTGATTTTACAGGCTCATAGGCAGAAGGGACCTGCCTTGTCTCTGATGAGACTTTGGACTGTGGACTTTTGAGTTAATGCAAAATGAGTTAAGACTTTGGGGGACTGTTGGGAAGGCATGATTGGTTTTGAAAAATGAGGACATGATATTTGGGAGGGGCCAGGGGAGGAATGATATAGTTCGGCTGTGTCGCCACCCATATCTCATTTTGAATTGTAATTCCCACAATTCCCATGTGTTGTAGGAGGAACCTGGTCAGAGGTAATTTAATCATGGGGGTGTGTCCTTCTTGTGCTGTTCTCCTGATAGTGAATAAGTCTCATGAGGTCTGATTGTTTTATACAGAGGAGTTCCCCTGCACAAGCTCTCTCTTTTCCTGCTGCCATCCATGTAATGTGTGACTTGCTCTTCCTTGCCTTCCACCACGATTGTGAGGCCTCCCCAGCCACGTGGAACTGTAAGTCCATTAAACCTCTTTTTCTTCCCGGTCTCAGGTATCGCTTTATCAGCAGCATGAAAATGGACTAATACAAACCATCAAAGAGAGGAAATGTAACACTGAGGTTTCAACTCAGTTGCTGGAACCCTAGGAGAAAATAACATTTGCCAAGGAGACATAGTAGAACAGTGACAAAAGAGTAAATCAAATGCCCTAACCCAACTGCCCAAAGAATCATATGAAAAAAAATAGCAAAAACAAACTATAAGACACCAACATAGCAAAATAAATAAAAATAAAATATATCTAATTACCTATGGAACAATAACTTACTTTCATATTAAAGGATGCAAATGCACTTACAAAAGGAACTCAAAGCACTTTAAAAATGAAGCATTTGATTAATTTGAATCATATATATAAACATTATTTGAATGATAATAGCTGGATATTAGAGCAGACTTCCAAGTCAGTTTGTTTTCCTTATGCCCAGTGAAGTTGTTTCTCTGTTGCATTTTTAAAAATAAGACAAAGAATTTCCTTGTAAAAGAAAAAAGCAATAACCCCATCATTGGGTGTTCCTATAAGGCTTATGATCTGTGACTCCCTGATTGCTGCCATTTTGCCCTATAATATCTCTGTGTGCAGATGAAGGATGGATGTTATCTTCCTGCTGTAATAGTTGATTTTATTTATGGGAAACTTTTGGCCTAGAGAAGTTTAGCAAATCACAGTTTTTGCAGGGTGCTGCTGGGACCTTCTCTCTACTTCATAGATTCAGCTGTTCATAGCATAGAATGTAGCCGTCTTCGATAGATTTTTAAAAAGAGACAGGAATGTTGTAAATTTGCCAAGAGTAGATATTTATAATATCTACTTTAAAAGTACTAATTTCTAATTGCAGTAAAATAAAAAAGCATTAATAAATTAAATTTAATTTGATGCTTAAAGGTTTTAGCATTTGATTCTACATACAGGTAATGCTTCCTCCTCGTAAGCTTCGGCATTGTATTTTTACATATACAAATTACTCCTCAATCATCCTCTCCACATGGCAATAGCACTGAGATGATTCCAGCTACACGAGTGGTCATTTTTGGAGCTCATCACTTAGAATGTGCAAGATCCAAGCACACGTCCTTCCTGAATTTGTGCCTGCCTTTGCTATTGCGCAGAATGACCTTCTAAACTGTTTTTTCTGCAAGGCCTAATTATAACATGTTAATTTTTCGAATGAATGTAAAATGTTTCTGAATTCTTCCAGGCTTATTTCCACACCCCCATTTTCCAGTGATTTCTTCATCCATGTGTTACAGGCTTAATCATATTATACTGTATTATTTGTTTTATGTATATTTAAGTAATTAGGCTTAGAACCCCCGGATTAAACTGGTTCATTAGCTAAAAAATCAGCAAAATATTTGATTCATAGTCATTTATTATTTTAGATTATTAAACAAATGAGAAATGAATAGCCCTGTTAAGTGAAGTATCTGGATATCATGGGTCTATTGTAACATTAATTCTTTATGACTACACAATTGTCTACTACTGAATTCCATTTAGGGCAGTAGACACTGCACTTTCCATGATGTACAGTCTGTATTTTCAACTCTTCGGCTCTAGACCACCAGCACTGAGGGTAAGTTCTATTAATTCTTTCTCTTGAAAATAATCAATGTTCTCTGTTTGTAATACAGATATGGTGAGATTATTTCTACAGAGTCTTTAGAAATAAACCTTCTCAGCTATAAAATAGCAATTTAATATAATAGAGTGGAGAATATAATTGAATAATAAATAATGCTGCTATTTTTTGTCATTGGAATGATATAAACCATTAACAGATAAAAAAGAAAGGAATACATAATGTATCCCAGCAAAGTCATGAAATATAAAGGACGTTTCATTTTTCACAATAAGAAAAAATATAATTTTAAAACTATCAAACATTAACAAGCAAAATATTAGCAAAAAAATACAATTACTAATATACCTGTATTTTTAAGTTTATTAGACTTATTGAATGTTAATTACCAATATATTTATTGAATCTGATTTTGGTTGTTTTGTAATATTTGGCTATTTAAAAGGTAAAATGAGAATGTTTAATAGAGGCACTAGCAAATGGAAGCATTAATTCGCTCAAAATTAATAAAATGTGATAATGAGAACATTTAATACTTCTTTAGAGTACCATAAAATAAAAGATGAAAGATTATTTTAGCTGTGCAATAATTACAGTATTATTACAATTAACAGGAATTCATGATAAAGGAGAGTTTCAAAAGGATTGCCCACGATTTCACAGTTGGTAACCAGTGGTGCCAGAATACAAACCTTTTTAATTCAGTGCCCATATCACAGTTACATTGAGCAGTGGCACACTTTTTCAAGAACAGACAGAATGTGCATATGAGTTCTAGGGCATTTTTGAAATATATCCATTATTAAATAATAGAGAGATCAAACTCATGTCTTCTGTGTCCTAAGTCAGTTTACTACATACATGTGAATTGATGATGTAGAAAACAATAATACTAAAACGCCAAACATCACATCAACCTTCCAGTCAATCCAATGCTCTTGGTCCTAGTACTATCTAGAGAATTTTAAAAGAAAAAAAATTACTTCCATTGCTTCTTTTATTCACTCATGTATTTAGTACTTTTTAAGTTCACTTATTCATATTTTTTCATCAAATGCTGAATACACCTGTGAATATGAACTTGATGTGTATTTGATATCTATATCGGTAATAAGTTTATAACTGTAGGTAATGCTTATATTAATTAAGACATGAAAAATCTCTTTGAAACTTACAGAATTTTATATTAATATTAGGTAATGTAAATGATGATAAATGAGAGATAGCTTATACCCAGTGGCACAAATAAATTGCTCATGAAGGAGAAGAAAAACTCAAGCAGAATTATACAATTTGAAGACAACAAGGAGCACCAAGTAATGAGTGGAAGGAGTGTGTGATCATTGGGTAACGAAGTAAAAAATTTAATTTTACTAAAGCAAACAATGTTTCTACATGAGAATAGTAGAACACAAGACTTCATAAATCTGTAAACACACACAGGAGCATGCATAAATGTTGTACCCTAGATCTTGCTATTACTAATAGTTGCAAACCCTTCATAATCTTAATTGTAAGTACTGGGCTCCCTGAGAGCTCTCTCGCAATTATAACCCTTCATGGACCTCAAACTTACTAGGATCTTCCATTTTTCTATTCTCCTCATTCTAACTTTTCTGCTCAGCTTTAATTGATGGGTCAGTGATTACAACAACTCAGTTGCATTAACCTTTGCCCTGCCCACTTTGTCGAGTTCCTTTGGTACTAACAATCCTTGTTAAATCTTCACTACTTCATACTCCATACTCTGTGCTCTTACAGATGAACTTAATGTGGCTGAAACAGTTCCTGGGGTTTGGCACCAAACCATCCAATAAACTAAGAGAAATTTTGCGCTTTGTGTTGTTCAACCTCAGAATGTTTCAACAGTTAATTTTTTCAGTACCCATTAGAAACCTAAATAGTTTGCAGGTTTATAAAAGAGTTCTTACATGCATAAACATATAATAACTATTGTGGCAGTGAGATTCCACAGCCAGTAGTTATACTTAGAAAGTTGTTTCCACTCAGAAATATTTGCTTAATGTTGATCATGTTAATGGTAAAATTTTTAACGTCAAGAGCAGTATAAAACAGGTCAAATGACAAACACTGGAGAACACACATATTTAACTAACAAATTATTCACATCATCTATTAGAGCATATTTGTTAATTTTTTAGATCTTTTGTTAATAATCTATTAACCTGCTTTCTTTGGATATTTACCAAATTATAATTAGCCTGATAATTTCTCAAAAATTAAGGAAAAATAAAATCTGTTTTTGTATTTATTTTAAAGAGAACATTGTGCATGACAACTGTTTTTTCAATGCAAATTTTAATAAGATATTACTTAAATGTACAAATGTTTTTAATATCACTAAACAATTGGCTGTCTTTTTGAGAAGTTTTTTCTGCTACAGATCATATAGGCACAGCAGATATCTCAGAAGCTATATATGTATATATATAGTATAAATATGTGTATATATATATGGACATATATATAGAGCTATCTATATGATCTATACGTGTATATATAGAGACAAATAGCTGTATATACACATATACAGCTCTCTGTCTATATACTATCTAGATACTATCAAGAGAGTATGTGTGTGTGTGTATATATACATATGTATATATATATACAGCTGTCTATCTATCTACATAGTGTGTCTCTCTCTAGAGTCTTAGTCAAGATGCACTTGTGAATTGAAAAGTTCAGGATAAGGCCTAGAGCATTTAGTGACATAATGGTGAAAATACCACTTCATTAGCTTAGAAGCCACATTCACTTGTTTTTCTTTTTTTTTTTTTACGAGTTAATGCCAAATCAATTACATCCAAAGATAATATAACTTTAATAACAATTATTTGTAATAGTTCTACTTTTATTTTAAAACGTGGATTAAAAGCTACCAATATATAGCATTATTGTACCCATATAAAGATCAGATCTCTTTTTTAACCTTTGATAGATGTGATTTTAAATGATGTATTCTTTTAATATGTAAATGGAGAATTACATATATGTATATTATTTAGGTTTTTACTGTTGACATTTTTACTAGTGCTTAATCTTCAAAATAAGAAAGCAATAAGGAATTTTATGGAAATATCTTAAATATTATTTAACATTATGTAATACACATGACAATTATAAAACTATGAAACATGCAATAATGCAATAATGCTGAGTGTCTGATTCCGTATTACTGCATCAGTGCTAAGATGCAGAGTATAAAAGTTTAGATTGCAATGATATACACCGTAGTGTGGCCATGCCAAACAGATTTAATGTATACAACAAGTTATTCAGCAAAAGTTGTGTGATATTGAAGGATGTTCATAATCATGAAAAACATTTCCATTAACCATATCATCATTGAAACTTTAAAACCTTGAAGCTCACTGGATTTTTTTTTACCTTTATATGTCGTATTTCTACTAAAAACTTGGAAAATATGTTTTTATTTAATAATAATGAAATATATTATAAATCCTGGAGAAAGACATCTATATTGATGCTCATCTAAGTTAGCATTGACTGCTTTTCCTTTTGCCTAACTAAAAAACTATAGAAATAATGGATACAAAATATACTTAAGATGATCTTTAGGTACTGCAGTGGTGATGTGTGTCATTATATATTTGGCAAAACCCATAGAATGTACAGCACCAAGATTGAACCCTAATGTAAACTATGGACTTTGGGTGGTGATGTACCAGTGTGGGTTCATTGGTTGTAACAAATGCACCATTGTGGTGCAAGAGGTCAACAGTTGGGGAGGCTGTGTGCGTTTGAGGTTAGGAACTTAGAATCACTTCATTTTTCATTTAATTTTTCTATAAACTTAAACTTCCCTAAAAAATAAAGTTGATTAAATTTTAAAAACTATAAAATCAATAGCAAAATTATACCCATATCCAAAAACAAATATGGACCTCAAAGTCAGATTGGTAAACAGAATTGATGCCAGCATTGACCAGTGTGTATCCTAATCTGGGAAACGCAGTCTCACACTGTCCAAAGAAGGGATCTGAAACAAAGATCCTTTTATAAAGCCTAAAATCTGGAAGAGTTTCAGTACCTAAAAAAGCTCTAGAATCAACATAAGGAAGCCACAAGGATGCTTACTTTCTGCCCATGGTCGTGATTATGGGAGAATAAAAAAACAGCATCAACAGCCAACTACAAAAAGTCAAAACTCAAGACCTGTTTTATCCCTGTTCAGTGATTCCACTGTGCATTCCTCTGTAATCCTAAACCAAGAAATCAACGTGAAAACTGGTTCAGGAACAGAGAAATCCTTTTTGAGCCCAGACAAAAAAATGATATTCTATTAAGATGCTTTTGCAATATAGGGCAAATGGTACACAGAACTCCTTAGGGCAAAAAGCAACTTGCAATGAAAAAAAGATACCTGTGAGGCTTAATTACAACATGTAACAGAATATTTTGTATTCCTACAAATGTGGGTGATAGAAGAATCAGAATGATAATATAAAATAAATAAAATTAAGATAAAAAAGAAGACATGAAAATAATAATTTTAGAAAGCTTGCTGTATTCACAAAAAGGAATGCCATCATCCAATCAACAACAGAATTTGAGGAATTACCTCTGCATTACATGGCACTTGATGCTGTAAGAGGTATGCAATTTTAGATGTATTCATTTAATGTTTTATTAAAATAGTATATGATCAAGACTTTTCACAAACACAAAGTGAGAAGATTGAATTACCAACATAAACTTCCAGTATAAAAGCTGTATTGCCTAAAGTATTTGATGAAACACACCATTCAGAAGTCCTCAGCTCACGAGAAGATTTCCATACTTCAGAAGTCCAGTGATTACAGTGTGTTCTTATGAAAGAGTTTATCTTTCTTTCTTAAAAATCAGATTTGATTATGTTGATAACGTTGGTTTGCTTTTCTTTTATTGTGGCAGTAATACTATTGCAAATATTTAAACACGCATAGCATCTGCAAAATCCACATTATGTTGTCCATAGAATTGAACCCCTGCTCTTTAACAGTTTTATAGGAATAGAAAGCTAAATACTTTCTTGTTTTTAATATAGACGATGAAAATTTTTTGGATAGCATTGAAGAGTTCAAAAGGTCGTATGAAGTGTTTTGCCTGAAGCTTCAGTGAAGTAAAATTGGTTTCTTCTGAGAATAAGGTACAAATATGTTTGTATGATATGATTTTTACAAATCATTGTCTCATAATATTCTATTTTATTTTTACAACAGGGATATGTGGGGGTTGACTCCATGGTTTGACTTAGATTTTAAAATAATGACTATTATTGTAAATAAATTTTGAATTCTAAGGGGACAAAGGAGAAACCAGAAAATCCATTAAAACTTCAATAGAGTTAATGAAATATTATCTTTGCAAACAGGGTAAGCAGAGGAGACCAAAAGTTGGTAGTTCAAGAGAAATGTTGGGGTTATATTTTTTAACTATTAGGATACATTATATTGGCAGATAGGGCAATGAAATACCCAAAGATTACTTCCAGATTGCTACCTTAAGCAACTCATCGTCTAGTTCACTTCTCCATGTTCTCTTTCTGCACCAACACTATACTACTCTTTGATTCACCGAAAGGGACATGTTATTCCACACAGTGAAGGGTCTGTGAGAGACCGAGTCAGCATGAAGAGGAGTGTTCAGGGACCTGTGTGGGACATCATGCCTTGGCTTTCTCCCTATAACCCCATGTAGAGATTTATTATTAAATATTAGAGAAAATGGGTGCATAAATCTACATTTCATTCGATTAGAGAATGTGTATGTCAAGGAAGAAGACCCATTCCCTATTTACCGTCATAGAGGAAGTAAAATAAGAGAGAATTTTATAGAGATAAAAATATAGAAAGACATAGAAAACTCAGAAAGTAATACATTTAACAAGATGTATATGCAAATCTGATTAAAATATTGATAAACCAGAGATAGATTATTCATTTTAAAACTGACAGTAAAAGTTCTTTAGTAGCTTGATTCGATTGCATTTGAAATATAATTCTGTTTTAAATAATTGATTGAGACTAATATTCAGAAGCTTATTTTGTATGTACTGCAAGCAATGTTAGTGAGAGCTCATGAAAACTCAGAGCTATATTCCTTGTTTAATTTGTTTGCTGGTGGAAATACCATGCCTTGGATTAAGTTTTCAAATTACTATAAAAGCTAAGTTTTCAAGTGAATGCAAAGAATGTGAAAATTGGTAGTTCCACACAGCTCTAACTGTCACGCCTTTCTATGAGTGAAAGAACGAGAAGCAGATTCTCCCTATTTGATTATCTATGCATTTATCATCTGTCTTGTCTGCATTTTTCCTCTGAGCAACCTACAGAGGACTGTACAGATAAAAGGTTTTCCATTATATGTAATTTGAAGTAGAACAAATGATATGCAATCATATGCAACGTGAGAAAAATTATGACCATCTCCTCTCCACAGAGACTCACATTTAGCCTCAATTTACTCCCAGAAAGCCTGGGACAGACATCCTTGGTAGTATTCTGAGGGTCAGCAGGTTGGAGAAAGGGAGCTTTCCTACTATGTCAATAGGAACGTGTCAGTCCTCTGCTGGCTTGCATATGTTTTATCCCCACACACTATAGACTTAAGTGGAAAGGAAGACAAAGCACCAACAAAGCACGCAAAGGCTCTGGTCATTTCCCCGTTGTATTGTCTCCCTGCTTTATACCTGAATTTCTAGACATTTTCTGATTTCCATTTACACAGAAATACAAGTGGATATAAAATATTAGCCATTCCCAGGAAGCCAGATGCTTTAGACAAGTTGGGTCTATAAGGAAGAAAGACACACTCAAGTTATAAGAAAAACATGGTGGTGCATTTAGTGTGAAGAGACAGCTTCATCTATGCCCTGGCTCTTGAGAAACTTACTTTTTCTTTTTGCTTTTCAGGTTGTTTAGGCCACCATCCCTGGAACAAATATTATCCCTTCCTGCAATTCCATTGTCTGCCGGTGTTACCGGCAGAGCTACTTTGAGTGCTGGGCAGGAGCTGAAGCCACGATGGGCAGGGGGTTCATTCTGGGGAGTGGCTGGGAGGGGAGATTCTTAGACCTCTGAGCCTGCAGCTCTGAGCTCTGAGTTGAAGCTCTGCTCTCCAAAGCAAGGGTGGCTCAGAAGCGCTTTGGGGTCATCTGTCTTCGCCAGCCTCACCTCACTCTTATTCTCTGAGGATGTTTAGGAAGAAATGAAAATTATGTGGCTTAGTCTCAGCATAGCAAGAACTGTGGGGAAGATCATTAACTTTCTAACCTGATTTCTTCTGTGACTTCAGAGGCTTCCTTAACCTCCAGTTAGAAATTTTTATCAGGCATATTTGATTATTATGTATCAAGTATCTGCCTTGTGCCATTCGCTGTTTGAGGCAGTTAGAAACAGTGATGGGCATGTCAGATGAAACCCTGCTCTGACGGACCTAAAATCCTAGTGAGTGATAATTAATATTTATACTTTATCTTTTCACTTAGTGATTAATGTTCAAAAGAAAAGCACTCATATCAGAATGAGGTACTTATTCTTCAAAAATTATGATAGATTCTCTTTGTATTTTAAAAATATTTTGGTGGTATATAATAGAGTCAGTTTCTTCAACAGAGCTACAAGCTTGATCCCCTTGTTGGGAAATATATGTTACAAGGGCAACATTAGAAACCCCCATGATCCAGTCACCTCCCACCAGGTCCTTCCCCCAACGTTAGGGATTACAACTCAACATGAGATTTGGGTGGGACACGGAGCCAAACCATATCAGTTGTTAACTCAGCTCTCGTGTGCTATATCCTTTCCTTCGTGGGATCCCATTAAAAACATTAAATGAAGAAACATAACAGCCAAGGGAAAGATGGAAGGACCCTTCCACGGAAAAAAAAAATGGAACAAATAGCTTGAAGGAAAATGAGAAGGAAAACCTGTTGAAGGATGACACCGATCTGGAAGAGGATGCCCAGAGTGTAAAGAAGGAGATGGGGATGGGCAACAGGGCTCCAGAGGGCTACCAGGCTGTGCGTTCACAGGTCGGAGGAGCAGAAAATGCGTCCATCGCAACAAGAAGGGGGACTACTGTGAGTGGAAAGCTTGCTCATGGAGAGGGAGACATTCACTCCTCTCACTGTCCCCTATCCCTGCTGTCCCAAGGAGAGAGCACCCCAGTTATGTGATTGAGTGTAGTATTTTTTAAATGTCAGTACTGGTTTGATTTTTAACTAAGTAAAAATGGAAAATTAAACAAAAAGTACAGGGTATCTGTCAACTTCCCAGAACATATCTTTCGGGTCTTGTGTAAAGAAATTGATGTAATCTGCTTTTCTGAGAATACTACATTTTAATTGTTAATTATGATTTAATTAAATTAAAATTTAATTTAATTTTAATAGTTGCTCATGAAGTGAGGAAGAATTTTTGTTATTCAATTTTTTTTTCATTTTTATTTATTTATTTTTTTTGAGACAATGTGTCACTCTTGTTGCCCAGGCTGGAGTGCAATGGCGTGATCTCTGCTCTCTGCAACCTCTGCCTCCCGGGCTCAAGCAATTCTCCTCCCTCAGCCTTCTGAGTAGGTGGAATTACAGGCACCTGCCACCACGCCTAATTTTTTGTATTTTTAGTAGAGACAAGGTTTTGTCATGTTGGCCAGGCTGGTCTCTAACTCCTGACCTCAGGTGATCCACCCACCTCAGCCTCCCAAAGTGCTGGGATTACAGGCATGAACTACCGTGCCCAGCCCTTTGTTATTCAATCTTAAGAGTGTCAGTTGCTGAACAACAAACTTTTAAAAATATTCTAGCTGTAAAAGTAACGCCTTTCACTAGTGAAAATTTACAAAGTAGAAAAAAAATAAGTATAAAACAAAAATTAGCCAGCCATAAGCACTTTATTCAAAAAATAACATTTTATTGATTATCTTTAGGGTTCTTTATTGTATTAAACTTCATATATTTTGAGTTCATAGTGCAAATTACATTTTTTAATATAAGTTAATTCACATATTTTTGTATATTACTAAATATTACTTTGCTTTTCTTGAGACGAGATCTCACTGTGTCCCCCAGGTTGAGTACATTGGCATGATCTTGGCTCACTGCAGCCTTAACCTCCCAGGCTAAAGTCATCCTCCCACTTCATTTTTGTATTTTTTGTAGAGATAGGGTCTCGCTAAGTTACCCTGGCTGGTCTCAAATGCCTGGACTCAAAGGATCCTCCGACTTTGGCCTTCCAAAGTGCTGCAATTACAGGCATGAGCCACTGTACCTGGCCTAAATATTACTTTTATAGTTATTTGATAGTCTATGTTTGAATACATTATAATTTATTTAAGTATGCTACTGTTACTATACTTACAAAGTTGTTTCCAGGCTTACCTCTTCCAAGTTAAGCTATTGTAAGAATCTTTACACAATAATGGGTCTGACTTTAGTGTGGACTCTTAAAATGGATCATGTCATTTAAATAAATGCTTCAAGCCCCTGTTCTATATTCCTAAATTCTTTCCCAGAAATATTACATCATTTATGTTTCTCCACTAAATGGAAGCTTTGCCTTCTCACTGTAGCCCCACCAGCATTTGGTAATATAATTTAAAAAGGAAATCTCAATTAGAGAAATTTTAAAAAATATACACTGCAATACTGTTTTTGGATTACCAGTGAGGTTAAACTTTAAAAACTTGAGTTTAACGAGGCTGTACTTGTCAGGAAAAGGGGTCTCAATCCCTCTTTCTAGACCTTTGTCTATGTGAACCACACTTTCTGGTATAGTTGGCCACTCCAGCCATTCTACGTCCTTCTGCTTCCTGCTTGTGTGGTGTGGTGTGTGTGTGTATGTGTGTGTGTGTGGCGGGTGTGGGGTGTGTGTGTATGTGTGTGTGTTTGAGAGTGTGGTTGCTGACTTAGAAAGGGACGGCCAGTTTAAACACTATCTTGAAAGTTTCCATGATTTTCTTTGTTTCGTAAAGATTAGGGGTGGACGGTGGAAAGATTGTATCAGCGCTTCTGGTCAGACAACACAGAAAATGGCAAATTTTTTCTAGTTAATAAGAGGCCTACCCTGATTGTCCTATTTATATTTGCAGCTCCCCGCCCCCACCCACACACTGCTCTATTTTTTTTCTTAGCAATTATCACCTCAAAAATCCATAAGGTACTTATTTATTATGTTTATCGGTTACTTTCCTCTAAACAATAGTAGAATGTGAACGCTACAAAGGCAGGGATTATGTTGTTTGTTCTGTGTTGTTGACTGCTACAAGACATCAAACTGATGTAAGAATTGCATCCATGATAGGTGATCAATCAATATTATGGTATGGATGTGTGACTCTAAACACTGTCAAATGATATATAATCAGTTGACAGTGTTCTCTAATAAAGGGATGACACGTTGAGCATAGTGCTTCGTTGGTGCTTAATAAACTTACATTGAATAAAGAAACAAACAAGGAGTGAATGAATGAATTTTAGAAATGCCTACTCTTCCCATTTGATGATTAGGTTTATTATGCAGTTATTTAAACTAATTATCCAAGACTATCTGGTGTTAGTTACCCAATTTCCAAATACAAGTTAACTAGAAATAATAACCTGTCTTTGCTGGGTATACATTTCCAACTGAATAAAATGAAATATCTCCAAATGTCAGAAGCCTAAGACAAAATTAAACATTTTTTCACTGAAATTCTCTCACTTATATTTCCATTTAATAAAACTTTCATTACAAGTGCATATCTGTTATAGACTAAGTTTATATTTTTTTTATTAAAAAGAAAGCATCCGTGCACATTTCTAAAGCAACATAAGAATGAAGGAGATGTGTCTGGGCCGGTGGTGGGGAAGCCTCTAGGTGACTGCCCATGAGTGGATGCAAGGTAACAGATTCCAGCAAAGAAAGAAAATTAATTTGCAGATCCGTTGCTGTAGGACAAAGAAAATTTGTTTCAGGAGCTGAGCAGCTCGTCATTGCCATTGTAGCAGCTCTGTTTCCAATTCTGACTTTCTTAAGTCAAGATTCTGAAGATTTGGTACCCCAGGATATGCAAGTCTTCTGCGCCTGTGGATTTGATGTGAAGAAGAATCCCACTGTTCAGTAGCAGAGGCCTGTCAGAACAGAACTGACAACTCTTTTCTCTCATTTTTTGTAATGTGCCTTAGAACTAAGGTAAAAGAAAAGAAAATAAAAATTGTTATTTCTTCATGAAAAAATGAAACGCTTAAAATTCTCTAGTGATTTCTGGATCTCCAGTGGCATTCAGTTGATTCCCCGCTGTTACTACTTGCTTTTCTTGATCAAACATACATGTTCTTATAATCTCTACCTAGCTAGAGTGATACCAATGGAAAAGTCAACCAAGATGGGAAAGAAGATTCTATCTGGCACTTAAACACACTGAACAATTTATACCTTCATCATTATGGCACACTTACCTGTAAATTATGCTCTAATACTCTGGAGTTAATTTAGGCTCATGCTGTTATCACCGTGAAGACTGATGTCTGCATGATATTGAATTTGTGCATTATTAAGTTACCAACCAATAACCTCAGACCTACACAAATCAAGGACTCAAACAAGCCCCAGCAGAAAGCCTTGCAGACAGCACTCACAGGGGCTGTTCCGATGAAGGAATCAGCATGTTTCTAAGAAGGAAGGTCAATATGACTCCTACATGACATGTATCCCACGATATGCGTTGCTTGGGTGAGGGGTTTGGCTTCAGAGGGTTTTGTTGCTAGCACTTTTGGATTCTTCAAGTCGCCCAGGGCAGACTGGGCTGTGCCACTTCAGCGTAACCCCAATTCTGCTTAGCATGGTCTCAAGCCAATCCTCAGGAATCTTTTGTTTCTGTTCCCAAATTAGAAGTTGATCCTTCTAGTAAATAAATGTCCCTAGGGAACTCAGATTAGGGAAACCATGTAAATGTCAGTGCTTATCTGATGAAAGGTGCCTCCTTCTAAGGTGAACTGTTATTTCTTGGTAGCCAGACTCCTTGCTCCTTGTCCGTCTGTGTTCGTGCGTGTGTGTGTGTGTGTGTGTGTGTGTGTGGTGGTATGGGGGGGGTGTGGGAAGGGGTAAGAGAGGAATCTAACATCTATAAGCTACAGCAAAAAGAAAATGCAGTTCCCATTTAGGGTTTGATAATAGAAAATGAGATGTAAGGCATACAGTTGTTGAGATAATCTTACACACTTAGGCAGTAGCTTCCTTAAAGCACAAAGCACAGGAGAAACGTCTCGTTTTTCTAATTGTTCTAATAAGTTAGACAAAAAAAGATAAAACCTGATACATGTGTTTGAACTAAGCGTGTATCGTAATCATGATAAAGCATTGCCTTGCAAAAAGCTACTGAGAAAGTAGACCAATGACACATTTTTCTCATAAGTTATTTCCCCTTAAATGTATTGTTTGTGTAAACTGAGAAAATTCCCACTATTTGAAAGAGGGTGTTTCCTTCTTTTAATAGAGAGCACTCAAAGCTCTAACAAAAGAGTGCAGCACAGGTGTTCCTCCCAGTGGTGTTCAGGGCCATTTTGGAGCCATATCCTGCCACTGCGCTCAATGGAGAGACCCGTGTTGCTTTTTCTCCCTTGCGATACTAACCAACCACGTATTGGGCAGAGCTTCCTAAAATCATTACACGTGGAGTCAAATTGAAGACTGTTTTCAGCCTTCTTTTATTTATAGATGTATTAAAAACAAATATTTCAGCAAATAACCTGTACTTTAAAATTAAAATGAAACAATCTCTATTTTTGGTTTTAGGGACATATTTGTTAACTTGTTTAAAAATAGCATTATTAGCTACATTTTTGCAAAATATATGCTAACAGATATAGATGTTAAACATATTTGATAACTATATTAATAGTATATGGCAAATCTGGATTCTGTCAAAAAGCACAGCTGTAAGTTGAAATAGCATGAAACAGAACAATCTACATAAAGAAATTGCCAACATTCTATCAAGTTAATAAAACCTAGCTAACTTGGCTTATAATTCCTCATATGTAAAACAAAACATTTTTCTTTTTAAAGTTTTAGTGAAATGTTGCAAAAAGAAACACCATTTTCAGGGTTATTTTGCAGCACGCTTTTGTTGAACTAATGTGCATTTCTTTTTAAAAGGTTCGACTTCAGTTTTCCTACACAATTTGAGCTTTATCTTGACATTTTGAATTAAATACATGGGTTTAAAAGGTAATTAGTTTTTGCAGTGTTATTTCTGGAAAAAATATAGAGAAATGTAATGATTATTCTTACATTAATTAAACTATGTAGTAAAAGAATTGTTTATTGTAAATGTTACAAATCTGAAGAGACCCATCTATTGAATAAGGCCACACAAAAGCTAAAGTCTGTTTTAACACTTAAAATTGTCTAAAAATGGATAGTATAATGAATCACAACCTTATCTTGACTAAATACTTTCATTTTGAAAGACACTATATGTAAAACTTTTTAAAGCTTCATGAAATCTAATTTTTCATTTTCCTATAATTTTTCTATATATAAATAATTGTGTATTTGAACAAGGTTTTAATGTTTATTCCACTATGACTGTTAAAGAGACTGTTTTATTTTGGGTCTGATCATACTAGTTATCCTTTTGTAGATAAATCAACAGTTTGCAATTAACTTTTTTTTTTATTAAATAAGACCACTGATGTTTCTTTTTGAATTAGTTATTGGGCATGGAATTAAATAATAAAATTTTGTGAATAGTAATTCTTTTTAAATAAAAGTATACTATGATGAAACCAATTAAATAGAAATGAGTCATATCTATTAAATAGAAATGATTTTGATAGGAGAAAGCCTTGAAATGATACCAATAATTTCAGTACAATTGTTAATATATTACATTTTGTTATATTAAAAAGAACAATAATTAGGCATGAGTAAGCCATTCGATTACTTTTTTTCAATAGTTTTAACTGTTTAGCGATTGACCTATAATACACAACTCAGATAATTGCGAATAACCTCATATAGATTGCTTTATCAAACCTCTAGGTCAGCCACTATCATTTTAAAATTACACAAAACATTACCAAATCTTGAACAAAGTAATTTAAAGCCTGAAGAGGAATTTCTTCAGGAATGTTCTCTACCCATACAGTTTGTTTTCATTGGTGTTAAAGTTGATGCTGACATGTGCACGGTATAAGAGGCTTAGGTGGCATATTTGTAAAATCATTGCCCCGGCATACTATGTCCATTTGAGATGTATTCAATGGCTTACAAGTTCCAATGTCTCTTAAATAAATGACAGACAGGAGGATGCACTCTGCTCTATTTAGGTGTCTTTTCAGGTAGAAAACCAAAAAGGTATTTTCCTTGTGCCCTTTCCTATTTGTCTCAGAAACAAATGTTAATGTTTTATATATAATTTACCTTAACCGATAATTGGCAATAAAGATAAAATAATTTACTGTTTTAAGATTCCTCCTTGTTAACTAATTAAACCAGCGGCAGGCGTGGGGCACAGGACAATGGCAAACTTTCAGCTGAATTAATTTTATGGAAGACCAGCTGAGTAATTGGACTCCAATTACAGGCAGTTTAGCTCCATCATCACCTTCATATATAATTAAATGGAATTGGTTGATACAGCTTCTATTTTTATGAGGGCACTTACCAGCTTTTTGAACCCCACTGTGACTTTGGATTCAGGCCAGTCAATTATTAGTCATTTCTCTTTCAAATGGAAATGCTTTGGATTCGTCATATCTTTTGTAATGCTTGCATTGAAAATCTCTCTCTTTTGCAAAGTTGTGGTATATTGGAATCTCTCTTTATAGTTCTACATAGAAGGCATATTCATTTATGTTGGAATGTAGTCAGAGGAGCACCAAAAGGTCACAGCTACATGAATTCGAAGGTTTGCTGAGATGACAACCTGTGTCATCTCAGTGGCAGATGAACCTGGTACTTTTGGAAAAACTTCAGAATGGACCTTAATTTATGTATTTATTTATTTTTGCAAAACTCATCCGGAAATCACTATGCTTACTTTTCCAAAGTTCAGGTAATTTGATTCTCTTGTAAGGGACACTTACTATATTTTGCGAAATATGTAGCAATGCTATAACAAAACTCTGTTTATCCAAATATTCTATAAATAAATTTTCACATATATATAATGATGAATTGATTATGAGGGTTTGATTTGCAAGTGTACAAATTTCCATTGTTTTTATTGCAAATGTTTACTAAGCTGAAAGAATATTTATAGTATAATAAATTTTTGAAGACATACCACTTATTAGGTTTTATTCATTAGTCTGTAAGCTCAGATTTGCTTTAGATGTCTAAAAAACATTCTTGGTAAAAGAGAAAATATATTTTTTAAATGGCAATTATTTTGGGAGAATATCTTTGTTTATTCTAATCTAATCTGTTAAAGGATATAATTTATTAAACAAAAAATATTATTTCTAAGTTATATTATCAATCACAATGAAGTACAAATTACTACACGGGTATATGCAGTTTTGACTATACTGTACTGTAAGCAGCATATTTGTTCTTAATAGTTATTTTTAAACTTTGTAGTAATTTATCAGTGACAAAATAAAATTTACCAATTACAAAGTGCTACCAGTAATGACTCTTCATAACTCACTATGATGACAAAATCATTTCTAATTTTATCTAAGAAAAAAGAAGGCCATCAATTTGCAAGACATAAAACTGGAGAAGCAAAGAATGGTCTGACATTCATTAAAGAAAAAAATTTATTTTAACCAAACAGTATAATTAAGTGAAGTGAAAGCATTTTATTTCATAGCCTTGTAGCTTTAGTTTGAAAGATTGTGAATATGACTTGAAGTCTTCCTTTCTAAGATTTTCTAGCTTCAATTTTCTGAAAAATTTATTATTTGGAATTCAGCAAATTATTAACAAGGTAGTGAAACTTCTCAAAGCTATATAAATTCCAAATGATAGGTTAATAATTAATATTGATCTCTAGGATTGTGAAAACTCTGAGTTATAACAATAATTTTCAATAAAGCTACCCAACCAAAATTATAAGGATTGAATCTAATCATGTGGATAATTTAGTTTTCATATTTACTTATATTTTTAAGGCAACCTTGATGCTAAGTACCTAATTTAAAAAATAATGTTAACATGTAAAAAAGAAGTGTAAGTTTAGTCTAATAATGTATATATCATAAAATTATATTTTAAAGAGGATGTGTTAATAATATCTATCACTCATAATCTTGGTACCCAAGTACATAATTTAATTTCACATTCTGAAAATAGCTTTATATATTTAATAAATATATTCTACATATTTAGCAAAACACACTAGGCTATTTTTTAACTATACTTTTGTCAACTGTTGCTCTTTTCTATTTGAAGATAAATAGAAAAAGTTATTTTGATATGGCTATTTTAAAAAAAGAAAATCTCTTTTACATTATTATTTTAACAACATAATTTTTCTACTGAACTCACTTTTTAATTGATTATATCCCTTATAAAAATAGGAAATATTTTCAGAATATATCTAAAACCCAGTGCCATTGGCAGTAGACCATGGTAGATTATAATTGCCTTTGGTAAAAACTTAGTGTTTAGCTTTCTGAGGACACATTACAGTATCTGACATCAACCTCCCGTCCATTCATCTACATTCTCATTGAACCCTCAAACCTGAATGGAGAAGCATTAGGTTTCTTACATGAACTCCCAAACATTTAAAAGCCTTCTTGGATTGAAGTTACACCAAAGACTCCTGAGTAGTTAATATCGAATGCAGCTAATATATTACACAGTCCCAAATTAAAACGAGGGAATCCAGGCAGTAACAAAATAATTCACAGTGCAACGTCAGAGTTGTCCTAATACAACGATTTCATTTTATAGGAAAGCGGGACAACTCAGTTATCTCCTTTGTATATACAGAACAGGTCGGAGTTAAGTTTTGATAAAAAACATAAGCTTCACAATTAATAGACCCTACTTTGGAGGGTGTTTTTAAAGTATTTTAAAAGCACTTTTAATAAAACACAGAAGCAAAGATTGCCTCCGCAGTCTTAAAACACTTTACCTTGTGGCCCTAAATAAGTGGATTGATGGTTTATTTAGAAAAACAGTTGTAAAAACTGGAGCATGAAAAACAAGGGAAATAATTAACTTTGCCCCAATTTTTTATTATAATTTTATAATCAACTTTTGTTTTCTGAATTATGTTATAAAGATTGTCATTGTTGCACTTAGTTGTATGTCTGAGAGCTAAATGGGACATTAGAATTGATATAATTAAATTCAACCAGTTTAAAAATAAGAAAATTGAACATGGAAGAGAAAAAGGACACAGCAATATTTGGTCAGAAAACATAATCATGTAATACATTTTTTGCAATCATTAATGTTAATTCCACTATATTTTGTGTAACCCCAGCTTGATATTTTTATGTTTGATTTTAATATTTGCCTTTTAATGCAAAATATTAATTTATCTAGTCAAATATTAAACTCTCATGGTAAACACTTTTACATAGCACTAAAAAATACCTGGAAACTCCATTTTGAAGATAGCCTTATGTTACAATCATTAAATCTGTTTTTGGGAGAACAGGTGTAAAAAATTGGATCTCATATTTGGAGTATAACATTTTTATGTGCCCCGATATTAATGCTGTTAAATTTTTTCTAAAAGTTAATCAATTCTTACTATAATATTTGTTTTAGTTCTATAAGAAGCAAAAAAAGATGATGATTGCTTTTAGGCAAATTGCATAAACCCTGTTTAAATCTAGACAAAACTTGGAGAAACCCTTCTCAGAAAACACAGGTGATTAACGGTAGAAGTACACATTTACTGCTGTTAAATCAATGCAGGTTTGTCTTTAGTTTTGCAGACCTCTTAAGTCGCCAGTTTCACATTATGCAAAAAGGACTCTCTTGATCATAGGGAAGAATCGACCTTTGCCTTCCCTGGGAACAGAATAAACTTTCAGGTATCATCTGGAATAAGGAGAATGTGTAATAAGATGTTTGCCCGTCTCTCTCTAGCTTCCCTAAGAAATAGTTTAACTGGGATATTCGGCCTCCCCGTCCACAAACATTCTTCTTTGCATACAGTACAACAAAAGCCTGTGTTTGCCCGTGGTGTCAGCTTAACAAAGTGCAGGGTGAGCACCAGCTTCCTGGGCAGAGCAGAACATCAATAACCCAGTAGGAAGTGGCGGGGACAGAAGACAAACACGGGTCAGTGAGGGAAAGCCTGGTGGGTGGTGGGACACAGATCTTCAGACACAATAAAGAGAATGACATCAGAGGGATTCATCCTTCTTTTTAATCTGAATTCTCAGTTATTAACTGAGACATAACATCATATAGGAACAACAAAGGAAGGCTCAGGCACTTTTCAGCTGCCTTGCAGATGGCATCTAAATGGCAGACTCAGTGTTCCTGTGAGAATTTGCCAGCGGCCGTTGTGCTGGGAGAGTTACTCAGCTTAGGGGAAAAGGGGCACATAACTGTGCCGGCTTAAGTGGATATTATTCTGTCATGTACACCGCTAGGCCTCCCCCGTTTTCTGTCATTATTTATTAGGTGCACGTGAACCCCATGCAGAATTTTCAAAATTCTGGCATATTTTTTCAGTGAACAGCTGGCAAAAGAAAATAATGCTATGTAGCCATCTCATGTATATAAGGACATACATTTTTTAAAAACAGCTGAGCAGGAAATCATTAGTTTTTACGTCAACTGGATTTTATAAGACCTGATTGCAAAATATTTCTCTTGATATGCATATTACATCAAAGAAATATTTATTGTTTTTCTATGTTAACTGTATCATCAAGGGGAAGCATAACTGAGAAGTGATAATTCAATACATTGAATGGATTTCTTCAGGATATGGAAACATTTGCTTTTAAAAAAAATTCATGATGCCAGCAAAGTATATTGGCTCTGTAAATAGAATAATTTCTATGAGAATTCCCACTTCTTTGTTCAGAATTTTACTTAATCAGGGAAGCAGCATAGCGTGTTGGATATTTGTGTCTCAATAAATAGAAAATATGGGGGAATGCCATTATCAACACAACACTACTGCATCAGACAAACTGAAAGCATCACCCTAAGTGTTAATTCAAATGTGTAAACCACATAAAGATTTACTTCTAACTATTTATTTTGAGGGGTTTTGAAGAAATGTTTACAGAATTTTTTTTTAATAAAAACACAGTGAAGTAGAATTTTCCGGCAACAGTTGTAAAACTACAAATTCCAGGTAACTTCTTCAAATATTTATACACCTGCGAATCATACAAATTTGATGTAATCCACCTTCTTCCAATTTCATTTACTTAACAGATTAATAATCAACCTTATTGCTCTTTATATCTGATAATTTTTTGAATAAAATCTTAATGTTTGGCCAAATATTGACTTTCTTTATACTGAAGTAAACACCATTTTGGTTCCTGTTTTATTTTAAATATAGTGAATTGTTATAATAACACTATGTTTTAGGAGCAGCACCGTAGTTGCTTTATAGAACAATATTGTCCCGTCGGCTTTCATCATTAGGAAGTAGATAAAACATATCCGTGTTATATTCAAATGCATGCGATTGCAGGGTGCTTAATGACCTAGTTCTACCTTATTAAATCTGTACAGGATATTTGAAAAACAAAGTTTTAGAAACAGGAAATCAATTCACAAGAGATTTTAAGCAAATAGTACTCATCATTGCTATATTTAACAAATGAAATGGAATTCTGTGATGGAAATTTATGAATATGTTCAGAAGTATAGCAATATAAATATACATTAGAATTTGTTACTAATTCAATTATTCTTTTTCACCTCATCTGTTAGGTAAAAGCTTAACTAAACAAATTAATATTGAGTGGTTCCCAGGAGGCCAAGAACCATAGACTTTGCGGTAATGCAGAGGAAATGAGTTTCAGATATGTGTGTCCTTTGGGGAAAATGGCTGAAGTTCAACTCAGGAGATCATGGGCAGTAGTGCCCTATTGATCTCTCTTCTGCAAGTGTAGCTATCATGAAAGTGAGTAAGTAATCTCCAAAGTAACTAGGGACTCAACTATTATATAGGCGAAAATCAATATTCTTGAATTCCACAGTTAAAAAAAAGGTCAGGTGCAATTCTAATATCCAGATGCAGTCAGCTCATTAAGTAGAACAGAAATCATATCAAAGTTTCAGCTGGGGGAAGGGAGATGACAGGCTGCTTTTTTCCACAATTATGATTCACAGGATGTTTGAAAGCATAGATATAATACTATATTTTAGAAATTGTTCAATGAGAATGAAGGTAGCATTCAATTGGGTAATAACAAAGTATCCTTCTATACTTTTACAGTTGTCTTCTTTAAAGTTGTCAGAAAAAGTAAAAACCAGTGCAATCAATTCACCAATGTGCTCTTCTTGTACAGAGATATTTCTTAATGAAATGAAGAAAGTGGCTGTCTGCAATTTTGAGAAATCAAATTAGTGGAATGGTTCTGTCTGAAAACCTTAAAGGCTTATTATTGTCATGTATTCCTCTTTTGATTTTTTTTGATCCATTTATTTCGATTTTATTTTTGATTCTTTTTTTGATTCATTTATTCATTAAACAAATATTTGCATAAGCAATTTTTACTCAGAATTACCCCAGGCACTAGAAATACAACATTGAACTGAACAGATGTCATGTCATGAGACAATTGACATAAAAGGAGATGAGATTTTTAACAAGTGTACAAATATATAATGTTAGTGATAAATGCTACGAAGCAAAATAAGAGACAAGGAAGTGAGGAAGACTCCATGTATATATATGGATGGTGTTTTAGTTTGGACTGCTGTTAAAAAATGCCAAAGACTGGGTAGCTTATAAAAAACAAAAGTTAATTCATCACACTTATGGAGACTGGGAAGGTCAAGGTCAAGGTGCAGGTAGATTTGGTGCCTGGTCAGGGGTCCATTTCCTGCTTCACTGATGACACCATGTCACTGTGTGCTCACATGGTAGAAGGAAGAAGGCAGCTCTCTGAGGCCTCTTTCAAAAGGGCATGAATTGCATTCATGACAAATTTACCTTCATGGCCTAATCACCTCCCAAAAGGCCCCCACTTTTAATACCATCACCTTGTGGGTTAGCATTTCAACATATGAATATGAGGGGAACACAAACATTCAGATCATGGCATTCTGCCCCGTCCTCCCACATCATGTACTTCTCATATGCAAAATGTATTCATTCTGCCACAATCGGGTCAAATGTCTTAATTCATTCAAGCATCAACTGGAAAGTCTCAAGTCCAGAGCCTCGTCTAAATATCATCTAAATCAGATATGGCTGAGTCTCAAAGTCTTGTGGCAAATTGCCCTCCAGCTGTAAACCTGTGGAATCAAACATAGTATGTGCTTCCAAAATACAATGATGGAACTCGCATAGGATAAATAGTCCCATCCTAAAGAGAAAAATAGGATAAAAGAAGGGAGTAAGAAATCCTAAGTAAGTCTATAACTTTAAGGCCTGAGAATAATTTTTTTTTTCACTAGAAGCTCTGTCCTCCAGGCTCACTGGGGTGGAGGTTCCACATTCTGGACCCACTAGGGTGGTCCATTAGGGCAATGGCCCTGTCCCCGTGGCTTTGCACAACCCCATCCCTGCAGAGTTTCCCTGCAGTAGTCCCACTTCCATGGTAGCTTTGTCCCTGGGTTTGACATCTGCAGCCCTCCCAGGTTGGAAATCAGCTCTACCAGTCTAGGGTTTCAGGGGCAGCCTATCCCATGATTCCATCAGGTATTGCCATAATGGGGACTCTCTGAAAACCCCCATGGTGGTTTTCTGCTTAGGCTTTGTGGTTATCTGGGCATCCTCTGAAATCTGGGTGGAGCTTTGCTGAGTACTGTGCGTGCTGTGCAGGGACCCACCAGTGTAGCCAAGGAATATAGCGAAGAGTTCAAGTAGCAGAGCCTTGAGGCAGCATGGGGAGCCAGCACCAAGATCCCATGGGCACTCCTGTCCCCACTTTTAAAATCAGGCTCTGGAACTCTAGCCCTGTGATGGGAAGGGGAGCGCCTATAGTCTCTGAAACGCCTTAAAGTTCATTCTTCCATTGTCTTGTTGAATACCACTTCAATGATCCACATCAATTCCTATCCAATGGTCCCTTGTCTACCCTATTGTTTTTCTCTCCCAAACACATTTTTCTCATTTTTTATAATATGGATAGGCTGAGAAGTTATTTTTAAGCTTTAAGTTTTTCTTATATTTTTAATAAAAGTTCTTTCTTCATATTGCTTCTCCCTTCTTGTATTTTACTATAAATATTCGAGAGTATCCAAGCTGCACTTTCAACACTTTGCTTAAAAATTTCTTCAGCTAAAAATCTTATTTTACCACTTGCAATTCTACCTTCGATAAATAACGAAGACATAAACATAATTCAGCCAAATTCCTTGCCACTTTATGACAAAGTTTACCTTTCCTCCAGTTTCCAATTAAATGTTCATCATTTTCATTTTAGACTTCATCAGAATGCCCTTTACTGTGTTATTTCAACCAACATTCTGATCATAACCACTTAAGTATTCTCTAAGATGACTGAGGCTTTCCCTACACCTCTCTTCGCCTTCTGAGCCCTCACCACAATCACTCTGAATAGTTAGTCCATTCACTGCAATGTGGGCTTCTTCTAGCATGCTCCTCACAATTCTTGCAAACACTACCCTCTACTCAATTCAAAAACCACTTCCATATTTTAGACATTGTTATACCCCAAACATGGTACCAATTTTGGACTTAGTTTGTTGAGGTTGCTATAACAAGATATCATAGACTGAGTAGCTTATAAAACAGCAGACATTACTTTCTCACAGTTCTGGAGGCTGGGAAATTTAAGATCAACATGCTGGCATATTCAGCATTTGGGGAGTACTCATTTTCTGATTCATAGATGGTGACATCTTGTTGTGTGGTCACATAGTGGAAGGGGCCAAGAGCTCCCTTGGGCCTATTCTATAAGCTATAAGCACACTAATTGTATAAGGAGGACCCTGGCCTCATGACTTTATTACCATGCAAATGGCCCCACCTCTCCAGGAATTGCAAGATATTTGTTAAACAATTAGCCAGATTTATCAAGAAAAAAATAGAGGGAAACATAATTTACCTATATTAGGAAGGAATGAGGGGATATTATCACAGATCCTACAGACATCAAAAGAATAAAAACATGGTGAAAAACTTTACACCAGTAAAGTTGGTGAAAGTGTTAAAACAGACAAATTCCTTAAAAATCACAACTTATTAAAATCAACTCAGGATAAATATAAAATCTGAATAGCCCTACATCTGTTAAATATGGTGACTTCAGAATTATTTGTTCTCACATTCTTTCCTACAAAGAACACTCTGGCTTAGATAGCTTCCTTGGTATACTCTGTCAAACACTTAAGAATGAAACAATACTAATTTTATGCAAAAACAAAAAACTTGAGAAAACAAGATAATGCAACAGTTTCCAAACCATTATAATGAATCAGCGTAATCTGGGAAAGACTTTACATGGGAAACAAAGAAAACAAAGAAATGGAGGGAGGAATTGAGATGGGGAGGTAGGGAGAGGGAGAGAGAAAAGAAGCCTACAGAACAAAATATCTTTTATGAGCATAGACAATGACATTTTAACAAAATTTTAGCAAATTGATCCCAGCAATAGGCTTTTATGCCAGGAATGCACAGCTGGTTGGTTTTACATTAAAAAAAAAAAAATCTTTCAGTGAAATGTACTGCACTGATAGAGTACAAGATAAGTATGATTTCCATAAATGTAGAGAAATAATTTGACAAAGTTCAACAGATATTCATAATAAAAACTCTCAACAAACTAGGAGTGTAATAGAATATTGCATGACTTGTAGAGTACTGCCTCAACATTTGCTAACTATTTAACTCTGGATATTTGATAGACATTTCCACTGTAGGCATTAGAGTCTTCGCATTCTATACAGAAACATTTTCACTATTTATTCAAGTTATTTAGTAGTATAAGATGCCTTTAAAAATTTTTAAATGTAGGTAAGACCATAATATAATTATATGCATTTCCTCAGATTTGTCCATTTTCTCAAAAGTTTTACATTTGATATGAATTTGTTATGATATCCTCTTTTTATAATGCATAAAACATCTACAATAATGTCACAGCTTTTACTCTTGCTATTGTTTATTTGAGCCATTTCTCTCTCTCTCTCTCTTGCTTTAAATCCATCTTGCAAGTAAACTGTAAAATTTTTTAGGCTTTTTAAAGAACTATATTTCATTTTGTTAATTATCTTTATTTTATCCCATTTATTATTATACTAAAATTTACCTTTATATTTTTAATTTTAAATCGAATTTAGTTTTTCAAACTTACGGGCAAAAACTTCACTGGAATCAGTACAGGGTTACGACAAACCGAAATGTAATTGACTGATTGTTGAAGGCTCACTGTGAACAAGTCTGAGAGTTAAAAACTCAGGCTTAGAGGGGTCCCACACTCCTGTGGTTTTTACTTCCAGTAAACCTACCAGGTTCTCACACTGAAGAGCTGAGAAAAAAATAAATAAATAAAGTCCTTCATGCTTTCCTTACTGGAAGGGAGAAAAGTATCTATTTCGAATTTTGGACTGAACATTCTTTTCTTAATGTCTATCCTGAAAGGAAACTATTTCACTAGAGCCTAACCCATGGAGATTTTACCAGAGCCTAACTGACCCAGGAGAAGGGAAATGCCCAACTGCAGCCTGCTTGTAGTAGTTAGGGTTCACCAGAGTAACATAAACAAAAGACATACACACACACACACACACACACACACACATAAACACACACACACACATACACACACACACACACACACACACACACAGAGAAAGAGAAAAGAGAAAAGAGAAAAATGTAAGAAATTTAGCTTAAATGATTATGGAGGCCAAGGAGTCTCAAGATCTGCAATCTAAATGCTTGAGAACCAGGAGAATTGATGGTAAAAGTTCCAGTCCGAGTCCAAGGGCAGGAGCTATTCTCATGCATCTCTGGTTATTACAGGGATATAGCACAATGAACGTGGTGACTTTGTACTTTGTCAACCTAGGTAAGCTAGAACTACATTTTCCAGAATGCACTATCCTGCAATGGGGCATGGATTTATTGCTATTCTCTGAGGTGGTGTTAGGCCCAGTTGCTGTTGCAGCTCACATACTTGTCTTGGCATGGGGTTCACCTGCTTTGTATGGAGCAGGTCTGTTCTCCCTTGGGCTCCCACTGCAACTCCTTCAGATCTTCCACATCCTAGGGCAAGGATGTGTTTGCAGCTTTATGTGAGGGGTAACCACTTCTTCTGCAGGTCATCCACATTTTCAGGGCTGAAGGTGTTACTGAAATGCCAGGGGTTTGATCCAGATCCTGCTGCTCACCACGCCATACATACATGTGTGTGTATACATATATGTATATGTATATGTATGCATATGAAAGTTAATATCTATAATATTTTATATACATATATATTCCATTAATTCTGTCCCTCTAGAGAACCCTGACTAATACAATTAAACTATATACATAAGGGCCATGACGTTTCATCCATTTTCTCATCTGGCAGTAATTTCTTGAAGGTGTGCTTCATGCATTCCCAGCTCTTCCACTGGCTAGCCTGGAATCTCAAAATCAGTTACTCAACCTCTCCAGACCTCGATTTCTTTGGGAATTGAATTAAACACAGTTGACTCTTGAACAACGTGGAGGGTGAGGTGTGGACTCCCCATACAGTTGAAAATCCACATATAATTGTTGACTCCCCAAAAACTTACCTACAAATAGCCTACTGATGACCAGAAGCCTTATCGATAACCTAAACAGTTGACTAATACATATTTTGTACATGTATTTTATTCCGTCTTCTTACAAAAAAAGAGGCTAGAAACAAAGATTATAAAGAAAGTCATAAGGAAGAGAAAATACACTTAATATTCATTAAGTGGAAGTGGATCATCGTGAAGATCTCCATCCTCATCCACTTCATGTTGAGTAAGCCGAGGAGAAGGAGGAAGAGGAAGGGGTGGTCTAGCCGTCTTAGCAATGACAGAGGCTGAGGAAATTCCGTGTATAAGTGAACCCACAGAATTCAAACCCGTCTTAACTAAGGGTCAACTGTAATTCATTATGGTCTCTTTCTACTCTAAAACTATTATTCCATAAAATCCTAAAAAGGTATATATCACACTAAATTTCATACGTAGCGCAATATTAAATTTATAGCAAGGTCCCAGGGCAAATAGATAAATTCGAATTGATACACTTCACATTTTATCTTCAAATTATATTTTAAAATAAAACTTTAGCAATCACCAAAACCCTTCAAGAAAGAGGAGGATAAATAGAAAATTTAAAAAAAAAAATAGAAAGAGGAGGAAAGAATATTCTGAGCTATGTATAGCCAATGAATCCCTGACAAATTCTTAGAGCTCATCAGGTTACAAAGTGACAGTGAGAAAACACAAATCTTGCCAATGTGCTGTAATTGATTTTCAATTATAAGGTCCTTTCCCCTTTCTCTTGGTTACACTGTAAAATTTTGTCATTTTTGGTGGATTCCAAAACATGGATTAAACCATATGGATTGAGAAGGGTTATTATGCCTCAAAGTTTCACTGATATGAATTGCCAAAATGTTTCATATTGAGATGTATCAAGAATGCAGCAAGTAATTGAGTCAGTTTTGCTGTTGTTGCCATTGTTACAATCTTTGGACAAAAAGACGGAGGGGTCACTATGTAGCAGGTGACTCTAGGAATAGAAGTCAGAATAATTTCTTATGCAAAATAAAAACCTGTTGGAAAACAAGATATTACAGAGTTCTAAAGTTATTTGCAGAGGGAAGGCCTAAAAGTTCTTCTCTGTGCATTTTAAAGACTCCTAATTTGTTTAGGGAACTTCCACATTTATTTCACAACTTTAATTGCTTAATCTAAATGGAGTTCAAGTTTTTCCAGGGGAAAAAAACTTGGTTTGTCTCAACAGTTGTCAGATTTTGTAAAAGAGACTTAAGCCAAGCTGTTCTAGCAATTATCATTTTATTTAAGAAGCTAGCATTGAAAAATAAAACAACCTTGGATCACCAGCCTGAAATGCATGAGATTTTTAATTACTTTTAAAGACATGAATAATCTAATTTGAAATGTTAATCCTTGAGTGTGCATTGGGACAAAAGTTAACAATTGTATCTTGTTAGTGATAACCAATACTCAACGGTTAGTAAACTATTTGTTACATGAGAATCACTGGTGAGAATGTAAGGTTTACATGAAAAGGCAAGAAATAAAAGTAAATTACTAATGGATAACTTCATTTCTCTAACAGTTTTATCTACACCACTCACTTTAAGAGATAGCAACAGTCACACCACACACACTCTTCGAGGGAATAGAAATAAAGTCAACATTTTGTGATGTTATAATAAATACATTTTCCATGGAAAATAAAATTTCACCTAAACTAAATTAAAATGACATTATCATTATCCTAGGAAATAAAAAAATTCTAAAAGACATTAAAATTTGTATGCGAATCTGTATTCATTAACAGTTAATCACAAAGATATGAATGTAATTGCCGTTAAGTACAAGTAAGAATGTTTTTTTAACAAAAGGGAGTGAAATTGACTAGGGAATTTATTAACCAATCAATAACCAATTTAATAACCTACCAATTTATTAACATATATTGAAAACAGAATAAGTTGTACTTTTTAAATAAGAAATATCTTTGCTATGCTATGTGATTTTTAGCTGTTTGAGATTTATCAAACATAGATTTGTTTTTTACTGTATTGCATCAATAATTCTATCTGGTATTCGATGTATTAAATATAACAGAGTTTAGCACATCCACAGCTTAATAATTGGTGTTATTTTACAAATTCAGTAAGCTGCATCTAATTGAAAATACCTCTGCCAGTGAGAATGGAATGAGGCAGTAAAAGTGAGAGATAAAGCAGATTAGAAAATAATTGGGGAGGCATGTTTCAAAATTGGGGAGGCATGTTTCAAAATTGGGGAGGCTGAATTAAAAGAACTGGGCTAACATTTGATAGGACAATCAACTGTGCAATTTTATGAACTGAGAAAGTGTACTGACACAAGAAAATGTTATGAAAACAGCAGAGTTAGGAAGGGCATAAGTTCTTTTTATACTCAGAATCTATGATTTTATGGATTCCAGAGAGGAAAGCTGAATGCATAGTGGAGCAGTATTAGGGTTCTCCAGAGAAAAAGAACCAGTAGCATTAATGGATAGATAGATACAGTATATATATAAAATATATATGTGTATATATATTATATATACGTATACAATACATAGTATATATAATATATAGTATATATAGTATATACATACTATATATAATACACTATATATCACTATATATAGTATATATTATATATAGTATATATAATATATAGTGTTATATATATGATATATAGTATATATATAATATATAGTGCACACACACACACACAAACGGAGAGAGGTTATTTTAAGGAATTGGTTTATGTGGTTGTGTGGCTGGCAAGTCTAAAATTTGCGAAGTAGACCAGCAGGATGGCAATCCAGGGGAGATTAGGTGTTGCTGTGTGAGTTCAAGGGCAGTCTGGAGGCAGAATTCCCTCTTCCTTGGGGGATGTCAGTCTTTCGCCTTAGGACTTCAGCTGATTGGATGAAGCCCATTCATGCTTTGGAGGATAAACTGTTTATTTAAAGTCTACTGATTTAAGTGTTAATCTCGGGGAAAAAAAAAGGTTTACTGCAACATTCAGTTGTGTTTATCCAAATATTTGTATATGGTGGCCTAGCCAAGTTGACACAGAAAACTAGCCACCACGGGCACTGTATTGGAAAACTTGAGAGAAAACAGTAGTCACAGTTTTTGCTTTTAAAGATGAGTATGAACAGTAGATGGAAGGAGAATCAGCCAAGTAAGCCTTTTGCAATAGAAAGATACAAACTCCAATAAAACACCTGAAGTAACATAAAAATAAGGCAAATGCCCAAAAGATAAAAATGGAAAAGAAGCTACAAAAAGAGTATTTGGTTGGCATTCTCTGACTATTCTCAGGATATTTGAAGAATCAAAGGTTCTGGAATAAGGAATAGAGAAAAAAATCTTTAATCGAAAAGGGAGACTGAACTGGTCACTAGATTTTATGGTGTAAAATAATATTCTAGTCTCTAGAAGGAAAATCTGCCAACTAGACAGGGAGAAGGCAAGGGAATTTGTCTGTTCTGCTCTAGACAGTAGTGAAAATGACATAAAATAAAGTAACTCTCTCAAAAAATGTATGACCAGAGACTTACCTTTGGAACAGTAATTCACATCATCTGAGTAGTTCAGGAAGTTTTACATAGAGAAATTAGCATAAAATGTATAACATATGATATCCCTGACATAAATTAACACAGCATCTCTCCAGCGATAGGTCCTCAGTACAGGGTAGAGAGAAATCTCAAGGATAAAAACTCAGAAAGCATAAGCCTCCATCCAATACTACAAATACATGAGGGGGAAATACCCACTCTCAGAGAAAATCAGTGAAAAATAAAAATAAAGTTTGGCCCTCATTAAAATTAGAAAAGGAGGGTTTTTTAAAATATTAAATATAAAAGTAAGTGTGCCTAAAATAAATCAATATATAAATGTTGGAATAAAAATATGTTATTAATAAAAAATATAAGACAATGTAGACAAACACTTAATAAGATAATAGTAAAGCCACTAAGAGAAATTCTGGGAGGCAAAAAAAAAAATATTCTCACATATTAAGACAATAAAACTTGTTAAGTCAGAAAATGTTTGTGAAGGTATATTGTTTAGGAGCAAAACAGAAATTTTAACCACCTTCTCTAACTATAATGATATTATTACAAGCAGTAAGATATAACTAAATATATCTTATATAATTGAAATTTTAAATACATACCATGATGGGTCAATGAAGATATTTTAATACATATTTATTTAAAAATATTTTGTATTGAACAAAAATTATATTGAAAAGTTTAGTTTAGTTATTCATATAAGGTGCTACAGAGATCAAAATTTCTAGGAAAAATGCTTATAATCCAAAGGAAGAAATGAACTTATGTTTTAGGTTAAGAAGTTCTCACAGAGAACAGATTCACTAAAAAAAGGTAGACAGAAAGAAATAATAAAGATGTGTCAAAATTAATAATATTAATATAAATAAAATTGAAAAATACAGACGGTCCCTTGACCATTGAAGAAATGAAAACTTAACTGAAAAAGGTACACATAAGATTCATCACACTCATGTCTCATTTTATGGGCTAAAAGTTTCTTCATTCCAAAATCTGACAAGGACAGAACAAGAAAGGAAAATTATACTCCTATCTCATTAAGAGTCACTAGCCCTATATATAATATTATCAAGCCAATCTTGAATTATATGTTAGAAAACATATGATTAGGCTGAATTAAATCACTGGAGAGTGAGGATGGCTGACCCTTAGAAATCCATGAAAGTAACCTACCACATTAAGTAATTCACATAAGAAAATAAAAGATTATCTTTAAAATGCTGCTATGGTCTGAAAGTTTGTAATCCCCTGAAATTCATATTTTGAAATCCTAACCTACAAGGTGATGGTGTAAGGAGGTGGAAGATTTGGGAGGTGATTAGTTCATAAGGATAGAGCCCTCATGATGGGCATAGTACCCTTATAAAAGAGGTCCCAGAGATCTTCCTCACATCTCCCACCAGAGTGCACACAGCAAAATGGCACCATTTGTGAACCAGGAAATGGGCCCTCACCAGGCACAATGCAGCTTGATCTTGAACTTTCCAGGCTCCAAAACTGTGAGAAACAAATTTCTGCTGTTAATAAGCCAAGCAGGTTATGGTATTTTGTTATAGCAGCTTGAACAGACTAAGACAGATGCAAAAAAAGATCTGATGAAATGTCCTCACTCATTCACATAAAAAAAACTACTTTCAGAAAATAAGAATAGGTGGTCCTTGCATAAATATTATATTTTCTAGTAGCAATATTTTTAAAAAGTAAAAAGAGTTAGGTGAAATCAATGTAATAATATACTTTAACCCAATGCATATTATTATTATAAAAACTGTCAGCATAAAAAAATCGTTAAGATATTTTGCACTCTTTTTTGTACTCTATGACTGCCAGTGAATATTTATCACTTACAATAAACCTTAGGTAGATGTAGCTGTATTTCAAGAATTCATTCGCAATGTGTGGCTATTTGATAGCATGGATCTCATGTATTCTAATACAAACTTACAGCAATTAAAATACCAAAGGGTGAGATAAATGGAATGAAGCATAATGCCTCTCACTGATACTTTTATTTAACTCTATAATGAGAAGCCTCAGTAAAAAGATATAAGGAATGAAAAGAATAAAAGCTACAGATATTTTAGATCATAAGATAATCCACATAAAAAATTCAAGAGAACCTTAGACAAACTATTAGAATTCATTTGATAACTTACAATGATTAAAGGATATAAATCATATGCAAAAAGCAATTGAATTTCAATACATTTATTTAAGTTAGAAAATACCACAATAAAGGATAACATTTACTACAGGAGTATCTAAGGGAAGGAGAAGTCAGTAGCAAAATATGTTCAAATCCTGTGTGGAGATAATTATAAAACATTATTAAATTATAATGCAGAAAATCTAAATCAAAAGAGAAAAATGTTATTTTAATGGTTAAAACTTAATGTCATAAAGATGTCAATTATTTCCAATTAAAATAGCAGTAGCTTTTTAATTGGAACTTAATGAAAACATTAACTTAACATTTTCTGTATTTGGCCAGTGTTAACCTTTTTTTTTTTTTTTTTTTTTGTGCAGTTGAGTGATTCCCATGACTGTAGCAAAAACAATGAGGAGAATGTTTTAAGAAGGAGTGGCATTTTACTTTTTAAAAAATTACGTTTGAAATTGTGCTTCTATGCAGAACCAGAACTGTGTTCAAGTTATGCTTTTTATTAGGCTGAGACTTAATAAAAAGTAAAAGTAATATATCACATATTTTCGTTTTAGTAGAAAATGCTTTATTTCTATCAAATTGAAAAGTCGGATTCATTCTTCAGGCAAGATGCTTACCAATAATAAATTGTGTTAGTCCATTTTCATGCTGCTATGAAGAAATACCTGAGAATGTGTAATTTATAAAGGAAAGCAGTTTAATTGACTCACACTTCCTCGTGGCTGGGGAGGCCTCAGGAAACTTATAATCATGGCAGAAGGGAAAACAAATACCTTCTTCTTCACATGGCAGCAGGAGAGAGAAGTGCAAGCAGGGGAAATGCCAGACACTTATAAAAGCATCAGATCTCATGAGACTCACTGACTATCATGAGAACAGCATGGGGGAACTGCCCCCATTATCTAATCACCTCCCACAGGGTCCCTTCCCCAACACATGGGTATTACAATTCAGATTACAATTCAAAATGAGATTTGGGTGGGGACACAGAGCCAGACCATATCATCAATGATACAAATAACCAGACAACACAACAAGATTAGTGTCATAATCTAATCAGGCTTTTATAACAAAATACCATAGACTATGTGGCTTCTATACAATAGAAATGTGTTTCTCACAGTTCTAAGAATACGAAGTCAAGGGGCTGCCAGAAGTCAAAGTGTTGCCAGGGTGCTGACAGATTCGTAGTCTGATGAGTGTCCACTTCCAGGCTCAAAATGGCTGTCTTTTTCCTGTTTCCTTAGATGGTAGAAGGGAGAGGCAAGAGATTACTCTGGAATCTCTTTTATAAAGGGAGTAATCCCATTGACAGTGGGTTCTACCTTCACAACCCAGTCATCTTTCAAAAGCCCCCACTCCCTAATAACATCACATTAGGGGTCAGGATTTCAACATGTGAGTTTTAGGGAGATGTACTAATGTAATATATGTCAGTTAGACTGCAGGTGCTTTGAGTTAAGCAAATAAACCCAAATCAAGATGGCTGACAACTGGTGCCCAAGGAAAAGCACTCCAACACATAGTAAAAAGACAAATACCTTCTAGAAGATTTCAAGGAACAGTAAACCAAGAAGATAAGTTGTTATTTGTGTTAGGCCATTCTCTCATTGCTATAAAGAAATACTTGAGACTGGGTTTGGCTCAATGATTCCTCAAGCTATACAGGAAGCACTGTGCGGGCATCAGCTTCTGGAGAGGCCTTGAGAAGCTTACAAGCATGGTGGACAGCGAAGTGGGAGCCAGCACATCACATGGTGAAAGCAGGAGCCAGAAAGAGAGAGAGAGAAAGTGTGGGGGAAGTGCCACTCACTTTAAAATGACCAAAATCTCCTGTGAACTCAGAGTGAGAGCTGACTTATCACCAAGGGGATGGACCAAGCCACTCATAAGGAACCCACCCCCACGACCCAGTCACCTCCCACCAGGCCCCACCTCAAACATTGAGATGACATTTCAACATGTGATTTGGACGAGGACAAATATCCCAACTATATCATCGTTGAAATAGAAATCTGGTTTCAGTGTGAGAGGGGTTCACAGTAAATTAGAACATGCCTTTTTAAGACCACTTTTGTAAGATTATTTTTGTTCTTTGAGCTAATACAATTTTTCTTGTATGGCTAAATTTGAATAAACTTCATTCATTCCTTCATTCATTCACTTGTTCACTCATAAATCTATATGCCTGTATATACATAGATTTACTTGCCAATTCAAAAAGGCCTTATTGACAATTCTGTCCTCCTTAAATAACAACTACTGGGTACTAATTCTATGAAATCAGAGCAGACAAATGCATGGGCTTTACCCTTGAAGAGCTCCAAGTCCTAGGAATATGTGACAAGTGCAGTGAAGAGTCAATAGTCTTTGTCTTGAGACCATAAATATGTAAAAATTTGCTTGTCAATTAAAAAATAAATTTAAAAGAAAGCACTGAATAAGAATGAGATTCGTATCTTTTCCAGCATGAATGGGTAGAGAATTTCCTTAAAAGTGATGCACGTGAAGAAACAACGTCTGAGGAGCTGTGGCGTAGTGAATAGAGCCAAATGAAGAACAGGAGTCACTGTTTATTGTAAGTGCAGCGTAAGTCAGAACAGTTTAGTAGGAACTATTTCAAATTTCTTTCTAAAAACTTTCAGAAGCGTTAATCTTGATAGTTAATTTTAAATGAAAAGTTAATAGATATATTAAGTCTCAGCCTCATTTATATATATTTTTTCTGGTAAAGAGCTCACAATCTGAATGTGTGCTAGGTGCCAAAATTACCTGTAAATCAGTACTTGAATGAACAAAACAATTGTAAAGGACAAGCAGTTTTTAAACAAACCTAATCCACAAGAAAGCTAATTTTGAATAATTAAAATTATAAAAATTTACCTCTCCCTGAATTATGTTTCATTGATTTCCTAAATGTTACATTTTCTGATCTGTTTCAAAATTGTTCATTAAAAACAAAACCAACACATAGCTAAAAAGAAACTGATGACGCACAATGGTAGGCTAGTTTTTATATTTTATGTACCTTCTTTTCAGAACACACAAATCAGTCTTCTCAAAAATAACCTTGTAATTGGACCTATGTTAAATGCAGTATTTTAACTTTTGAGTGGTTAATGAAAAACCATAAATACTATACTAGCTACTGAAGAAATAAATCCTTCCCATACTTGAAAGCTTCATAGCCACAGGGTTATATAATAGAAGGAAACTGTAGACCACAGAAGAAATTTCCATGTATTTACTATAATATTGAGGACAGAAGAGAAAAAGCTTTAAACTTTCAGTTGTTAAGACATTGTGAATAACAGCCCAGAGTAAGTAACAAACAGATGAATAATGTTAACTTAGGGGCTAAACTATAATAGTTGCTGTCCGTCAAAAGAGTGTGTGGAACTATGCTCCTGAAAAAAAAAGTAGTATGTTTAAATAATTTATGGCATATAAACCATATGGTGACTCTTTATAAAACAAAATACAACTAAAAAATTTTTAAAGGTTGTTTTATTTACAGCAATGACTGAAATACTTTCAATTATTTTTTAACAATATTTATTGAATTTGCTTAGAATTGGATGTGCTCTTTATTATATTGGGTGAATCATTACCTTTAAAAGTATTAAGAAGTATTAAGTATATATAACAATTAAACTTATTTTAAACATGTCAGGAATAAGTTGTGTCCTTCTTTAAAATGTTCTGGAATATTATAAAAATTGCACTGGGAAACTCTACTTTTCTCTTTTAACTAGAGAAAGTCACTTTTGTCTATTTAAGCCATTGACTGTATTTTTTCTTTCCTTTTCAAAAAGTCAACATAAAATTAAACAATTCCATCAGACATTTAATAAAAACATGTAGTTTCTGGTATTTGAAGTCCTTTGGTGCTTTTTGCTACCTTAAGTTCCACTGTCTTCCTAGTGAATTCACTGTGCCATGGCATGGCCTGTCTTTCCAGTACAAAGAGGTTTAAGGAAACAAAAATCAACCCTTCCTGGAACATGTTTTTGACTGGAACAGGAAGATCACTGTATTCCAGAGGAAGGAATATTATAATTGTAATCATGATGTCTGCAGTTCATTTTTGCTTAGGAAAACAAATATATATATTAACAAATTTTCTATTACAACTTCAGAATATTGGTTTTATGTATAAAGTTTTACACAAATGTGTATTAACACATTGATCTGAATGCCAATGTTGGGGGGAACTTGAACCTCATCTCTGAGTTTTGACAGAACTTTATGCCACTCTTGGCAGATACATCAATGCCAAATTCCCTTATTATTCAAAAACTAACCCTATTAAAGTCTAAATTTAAGGTTTTCATTTGCAAGGCAGGGATTTAGGAGATGTATGAGTCCATTTTCACACCGCTGATAAAGACATATCCAAGACTGGGCAATTTACAAAAGAAAGAGGTTTAATTGGCATTACATTTCCACATGGATAGGGAGGCTTCCCAATCATGGTGGAAGGCAAAGAGACCAAGTCCCATCTTACGTGGATGGCAGCAGGCAAAGGGAGAATGAGGAAGACACAAAAGGGGAAACCCCTGATAAAACCATCAGATCTTGTGAGACGTATTCACTACCACGGGAACAGTATGAGGAAAACTACTCCCGTGATTCAATTACCTCCCATCAGATCCCTCCCACAATATGTAAAAATTATGGGAATACAATTCAAGATGAGAGTTGGGTGGGGACACAGAGCCAAACCATATCAGGAAACATTGATAACTTTAATCCCGGTTCATCTCTTTGGTGACCCAACACATCACTAAGTCACATTTAGTTTTTGGTGTGCCAAAAATAATTTGTTTCCACTGATAAAGTGAACTTTTAAATTTTTAAGTAATTGTGGTAGATTTGGGATTATTGCTACAAAAGCATCAGCTCATTTTCATGTTGCTACATTTTTCTAAGAGGAAAAAATTGCAGTTACAGGTTGATATTATTTGGATTTGTGTCCCTGCCCAAATTTCATGTTGAAATGTCATCCCTAATGCTGGAGGTGGGGACTGGTGAGAGGTGACTGCATCATGGGGGGTGGTTTCTCATGAATGGTTTAGCACTGCATCCTTGGTACTGTCCTCATCATTGTGAGTGGGTTCTCATAAGATCTCGTTGTTTAAAACTGTGGAGCACCTCCCACTTCTCTCTCTCTTGCTCCTGCTCCCACCATGTGAGATGTCTTGCTCCCCGTTGGCCTTTCTCCATGGCTGTAAGTTTCCTGAGGCTTCCCTAGAAGCCATGTAGATAACAGAATCATGCTTCCTGTAGAGCCTACAGAACCATGAACCAATTAAACCTCTTTTCTGTATAAATTACTCAGTCTCAGATATTTATTTACAGCAATGTATGAACCACTACTATTGGAAATTGGTACCAAGGAGGGGGGCAAGTACATGGACTTGTGCATATACTAGAGCCTAGAGCAATTGGAATCTGTCAAGCAATGACACATGTGTGCACGTCTGGAACTTGGAAGATGGCTGAGATACAGCAATAGATCATGCATATTTGGGTATTGCACAGCCTAGAGACGGACAGCCCAGGACTAACATTAGAACAAGTCATAACATGGGATTATTTTCTTTCCTATTATCAAAGGATTTGGACACAGGAATGTTTTCTGGGGCTTGTAACTTACTCAAAATACTCTGCTGTCCTAGTTCCTCTAATTAATTGCCCCAAATTGTTATTTACATGTAATTTTCATATACAGATGCTCCTGAACTTATGATAAGGCTTTATATTTCCAGGGAACCCATGGTAAATTAGAAATAATTTAAGTCAAAAATGCATTTAATACACCTGACATACTGAACCTCATAGCTTAGCCTCGCCTCCCCTAAAAGCGTTCAGAATACTTAAAATAGTCTAACCTTGGGTAAAACCATCTAACGCAAAGACTATTTTATAATAATGTTATAACAAATTTTGAATCAAAATTCAATGTTCAAAGTAAGATTTTATTAAATACATATCACCATAGAAAAGTAAAAAAAAAATTAATCAAAGGAACCACCAGAAATCAGGGACCACGTGTAGTGTATTTAAAGTGTATAGTAAATTTGCTTCATAGAAAACAGACTTCTGTGAGTTTTGACTTCCACTTTAGTTCTCTAACATTTTCGTCTTCAGATTTGCTTACTTGCCTCAACATAATATGCAAAGGCTCCATGAAACATCTCATATTGATTTTTCCAAGACTGCCTTACTTGGATATATTTTCAAGTTAGGTTGCATACACATGGTTTATTATGCCTGAAAAATAAATATATTTCTACCCCAACTGCCCTTCCCCAAATATAAGTCCTTTTGCTAATGTGAAGATGAGCTGTTAGTTATGTGTATGTTCACTTTTCACTCTTAATATAGAGCATTCTCTCAATGCTCTTTGTACTTACACTTGATAGCAATGAATAGTTCCATTCATTTTACAAGTTGATCCTCCCCTGAGTGCCTTTAACAAGCCTTGATTTTAGAGAAAGAGGACTTGATTTAATGGATATTGAAGCAAGGGACACAGAGAAGTTAGAGAAAAGGTTTCTAAAAAAGAGACTACAATGTGCCTTTCTGATGTTTATCTGAATAACTACTTCACTTTAGTATTATAAGAGGAAAGAAAGCACTTATTGAGAACCACCATAGCATTTTAGCTAATCAAATCCCCTCTGTATTTTTAAATATATGATGGCTAATCTAATTCATAGGATGAGTCAGTCTATTAGGAAATACGAAATATAAAATTAATGGACTTACTAAATGTTTTGTGATTGCAGTTGGCCTTTCTAGGCTGGGCTCCTCAACTTTAAATAGTTCCTTATTTAAAAAGATTCATCCTGGTACGTTCAAATATGATAATATAATTATTTTTATTTTTTTCTGATAATTCTCTGTTACAGCCATAAAAACGTATCTATCACTTCTGTTTTCCATTAAATGGACCGTAAGTGGCACTATTTTTAAAAATCTCTAAACCCAAATCTTTAAAACATTGCTTTAAGATAGGGTCTAATGTCACTGTGACAGCTTTTATGCAACGGTTAACCATTATCATTTTCTACCTCATTTACTCCTTCAGAACACCCTGACATTAGAAAATAACTTCACCCAGCAAGTTAATTCATTTAAGTACTTGGCAGACCATAGACAAATGACTCTTCTTGGAAGACCCATGAACAGAGAGCAGTGTTCTAAATCAGACTTGCTATGGGGACCACACTGAAGTTCTTTTATGACACAAAATGCTGAAAGTTAATATCTGTCTCAAATTTTCTAGCCAATAATGAGCTCAGCTATGGCCTAGGCTACGTAACATTTTGTGTCTCAACTGGGTACTTGTTAATGGACTTAAGCAGGAAGCAGTACAGCAAAGCCATAAAGCAGGGGCACTGAAATTAGGCAAATGTGGATTTTAGTCTTGATTCTGCCACATAAATGGTGTAATATTTTGAGCAAGGTTCACAGTTTCCCTTAGTCTGTTTCTTCTTCTGTAATGTGTGAATCATCCTTTGACAAGTATGTTAGAAATACAACACATAGGGAAAGCGTTAGTAAAGTGTTCAACGATAAGACAATCACCTTAACTTCTATTGATATTTTCATTACACCTACTGTTATTTGACCTTGGGAAAATGCCTTTATTGATGTAAGATTCAGTGTGTCTCTGTGAAATGGAATTACAACACCATGTACATAAGTTGTAGGTGTGTGTTTCAGTGATGATTAAATGAGCTAATAGCGGTACTTAAGGAGCTCTCTGCTCATCCTTAATGATGGGTATTTATATTTTTAAATACTAAAAAAGACACATGATTGCAAACAAAACAAAACATTGCTTTAAAAGGCTGTGGATAATGATATCTAAAACAATGGTAAGTTACCCTGAGACTATTGGCAGGTACAGGCTTGGAAGTAACACAGATTAAGGTTAAAATCCGAATTTTATCACTTGTTTGCTCCCTGTCCATGAGCAAAACACTAACTTCTTCATGTCTTACTTTTCTCATCTTAAACTGAAGAAAATGTTACTTATCCATAGAAGGTCTTAGAGAATGATTGACAGTATAGATAGGTATATTACAAAAGTTTCAGACACATAATTATAATAAGAACCAGGATAATAACAGCGGACATTTGTGGTACACATATTATTTCCCAGATGCTGTGCTAATCAATTAACATAAATCAATTTATTCTTCACCACAACATGACTATCCACTGTATTTTATATATGAGAAAACTAAGACATAACAAGGTTTATTAATTTGTCCAAAGCCGCAGAGCAAGTGGTATGGCACAAAAAATTGAGTAGGCACTCAAAAACTAATTATTATTATTGTACTCCCGATAAGAATGTTAACACCTCTCAAGGGCTGGGAGAGCGCTAGATCTTGTGGTATATTGGAAAGATTACTGCAAGGACTCATGCTTCATTATCATCTTTTTCCTCCACTAGTGACTATGAAATTAAGTAATTCAAACTTAAAGCTGTTGGAACGAAATTATTCTGAGCCTTGAGAGCAATGTGGCTATGTGGCCTGAGTCAAGTAGCATGCCGCTACAACTTATGCCATTTTTTTCCTGTGAATTATTAGGAAGACCAAACAGCTCCACAGATAAGACCCCCTAAGATCACTACCCCTCCTTACAGAGCAATAAGGTAATTTCCTTGGAATCATTCAATCTGAAACTGATCAAACTGCTGTAACATATGCACTGGTCTCATATGGAAAGTGTTGTAATCCTGCCAAAATGTCTCTGTGTCTTTCTAGATAAATAAAATCTTGGCTTGTACACATTGGAACACTGATCCAACTTGTTAGGAGTAGGTGTTTCCAGGTAACTGTCCCCAAGCATTGTACTCAAGTAAACTTTATACTTAATCATGTTTTCTGAGTCTCATTATTTAAGGTTGACATTACCTACCTAATCACTGCTTAAATCTTTACTGATAAGACACCCTTGATGAATAAAAATAACAGTGATTGCTTATTGACACCTCACGAGCTGGACACTTTATATTTATACATTATCTCTATTCTTTATAATGTTCTTGGTAGTTACTATAATTTTCTTCATTTTTCAGATACTAATAATGAGACTCAATGAGGCTAGATTACTTTTCCAGATTTATATCAAGGGATTTGAGAAAGTATGAATAAATAAATCCAGGTCTTTCTGACAGTAAAGCTTGCATTTGTTTCACCACAATATATTTCTTATTAGAAGTATCTCATATGCAACCATGAACTCCAGAACTTTTAAGAGCCAACAATTCAACAAGCAAATGATACTATAAATATGTAAAAGATGAACAAGATTTGGCTTCTGTCTGCTAGATATTAGTGATTCTTTAAAGAGCAATCCTAAATATGCAACTCTTTAGTATCACTGCCTTAGTTTTTTTTGTACTGCTATAACAGAACACCTGTAAATGGATAATTTATAAAGGAAAAATTTATTTCTCACAGTTCTGGAGGCTGGGAGTCCAAGATTAAGTCACCATCATCTGGTGAGGCCCTTCTTGCTGCATTCTCTCATGGCAGAAGGCAGAAGGGGAAGAGAGAACAAACTCCCTCTATCAATGCCCTTTATAAGGGCACCAAATCCTATTTGCAAATTTTGGACAGGACACATTCAAACCATAGCAATCACATGATATTGCTATAACTATCATAAACAAATCAATAGTATTTATTACTATATGATTAAGCAACCATTTATTATAATATGTTGTTGGAGCTATGTTACATAAAAAATACAAAATAAGCTTTTCCCTGTATATTGTAGTTGGAAAGATGGTTCATTTACAAAATTATAGAAAACCAAATAACAGTATCATTGATAGATACAAGAACGCTGAAAAAATAAGACAAGAAATAAATTATCTGACAAGGACATTAGGGCAAAGCAGAACATTATTTCCCAAAAACGAGCAGAGAAAAGTGTTTTTGGAAAGAGGGAGTAGCTGATTCTATCATGCCCTGACAGAGGTTATATGATTTGATTTTAAATGGCTTCAAGGGATTTAACAAGTGATCATTGGTGATCTTGATTGGAGGGTTTCAATGGAGAAGTAAACTTAGAAATCAAACTAGAATTCATTTGCAGTGAATGGAAGGTGAGAAAGTAAAACACCCAAGGTAGACTAATTTTTCAAAAATATTTTATAATTTTTCTGTGAAGAAGAGTGAAGAAATGCAGCAGAAGCTGGAGGAGGATTTGGGGTCTGTCTCACCTTGGTTTACTCAAAGAGTGGGAAGAGTGACTCCAAAATATATAATTTTAACCAAACTCCTCTGGTGATAAACATGAACACATGCGGCACTTTGGGAGGCCAAGGCGGGTGGATCACAAGGTCAGGAGATCAAGACCATCTTTGCCAACATTGTTAAACCTAGTCTCTACTAAAATACAAAAAATTAGCTGGGCATGGTGGCATGTGCCTGTAGTCCCAGCTACTCGGGAGGTTGAGATGGGGGGAATCACTTGAACCCAGGAGGCAGAGGTTGCAGTGAGCCCAGATCATGCCACTGCACTCCAGCCTGGCGACAGAGCAAGACTTGGTCTAAATAAATAAATAAGAATGACATACTGCATCGACATACTGCAGTGACATGCTACAGACACCTCTGTTGTACAGTGTTAAATGCACACACTGAACTGCATATTTTTATATCAAAATTATGGAAAAGAGTCATCATTATTTTACCCACAGTGTAAAATATTTGAATGCCCTCTCCCTGGGAAGGAAGTTTCCAGAGGAATATCCTTATTTTGTTTATCCTAGATAAGAAAAATCTTCCTTATAAATACAATCTGCTTTCTATGCTCGACTTTGGCCAGTGGCACATGCTATTCACACACTCCTCTCTCCCTGGACAGCCTCTACACCTCCTTGCCTTGGCATTTCTGAGAAGTCCCCCACTTCTTATGCCACCGCCCCCCAACCTCAAACCTAACCTCTCTTTTGCAGGCGCTTCAGCTTTGTAATCCTCTTGTTATGAGCGTTCTTCCTAACACTTCACCACAATCTTATTTTTTATTACTCTAATACAATTCTTTTGCTTCATGTACAGTGGTTAGAATAGGCTTTGTAACCTCAATGTTATAGATCAAAATTATATCCGTTGTGCACACGTCTGTTACCTTGATTGCATAAGCTTCAGTTTCCTCCCCTGTGAAATGGGAGCAACAACGTCTACCTCATAGTGTTAAGAGTTAATGCACTGATGTTCTCACTTATATGTGGGAACTAGAAAAGTGGATATCATGGAGGTAGAGAGTAGGATGATAGATATCAGAGGCTGGGAACGGTGTGTGGGTGGGAGGAGGAGAGTATGAAGAGAAGTTGGTTAATGGGTACAAACATATTGGTAGATGAAAGGTGTAAGTTTTAATGTTAAATAGCAGAGTAGGGTGACTATAGTTAGCAACAACGTATTGTATCATTCATAGCAGCTAGAAGAGATAACTTGAAATGTTCCCAACACATAGAAATGATAAATCCTCAAGGTAGTAGATACCCCACACACCCTGTCTTGACCATTACATATCCCATACATGTAACAGAATATCACATGTACCCCATACCTGTGTAAAATACATGTATCAACTTTTTTTAAAAAGTTAAGCATTGAAATATTTGTAATACTATCCTGGAAGAGATAAGTAGTATGCAATAGGCATTCTTATTTCTCTTTAATGGAAAATATCACAATGAGGAGAACTACTTAACATGTTACAGTCTTAAGTTACTATGTCTCTTTCTTAATGCAGATTCTGAAAATCTACACTAATGAAATTGTTTCAAAGGGTTTGCTTTCCTGAAAGTGTATAACTGCTTCTAAGCTCAGTGCCAGTAAATTAATTAAAGCATCACTAATCTTTCACAGTGAAAGAGACAAAAAATTCTTTTTCATCTTGGACTAATTACATGGAATAATTTTGAAAATCTGCCTATTCCCTAAGAGTTTTCTGTTTCCTGAACTTCAGCAAAAGTGTAGCAGCTGAATTTAATGATTGTTTATACTACTTGATCCTTCCTCTCAAATTAAAATAACCGTAGAAGCGTAAATTGTGAAGAATGTCATATGAATATAAAAATAAAATACTGTATGTAATAAGAAATACCACTACACATAAACGTCACATTAAGATATCCAATACCATTGCTAAAAAGGCTTATAACAATAAACCTTTATTGTTTCTTGGATAAACAATAAAGGCAGGAGAACTTAATATTATTAAGTACACACATGTAAACTTTTCAGTAATTATTAGTGAAATAAGATATATGAAGTTTCACAAATTTTTCATGTCTTGTTTTGTAACAATATGCATCTAATTATTTAAAAAACTAAAAGATAAACAGATTTAAGTTAGGTCCATGCGTCTGTGGGCCCTAAAGAAATGCATATTTTTGAGTCTATTTTAAGAATATTTGTACCATCATACCCTATTCAATTAATACCAAGTAAAATATTTCTACTTGAACCTGTAACACTAGGAATTTGCATAAATCACCTGAGTTGAACACCATCACGATTGGTTATTTATGCATTTGCAAACCATGAAACTGAAATAATTACATTTGAAAATGAGTGAAAGCTTTGAAAGCCACATAACATTGGCAGCAATCTACTGCCTTGAAGCATCTATTTCTCACCCTGGTGGTCATTTTTTTTTTTAACTGAAAACCAAGAAAATGGTATATGCATGAGAAGCATTTCCCTGTAATTAGCAATACTTACACATCACTACCATATAATTAGAAGTACTAGATAAAATGTGTGCTTCTAGAAGGAGCAAGCACATAATTATTAGAGATAGTTCCATTCCCAGTTCTCTCAACTATATCACGATTTACTCTATAAGACATAGTGCATGAATAATTCTGACTTTTTGGAGGGCAAAATGCCAAGCTACAAATAGTACAACAGGGCATTATTATGTTAGCAGAGAGAACCATTAGATTTGTTTTTTATTTTTCTGCCTCTAAACTCAAAAAGCTCATGTTTTTTACTCTTAAAAAGTTACATAATGATCTTTGCCTTGCATTATTAATACTAGGCATGTGTCATGATTCCTCCACAAGATGACAAACTCACTGAAATCAGGGGCTGTCTTACACCCTCTGTTTATACTTCGTCTTGACTAGAGAATTGCCTTCAATTTTGTAAAGGTCAACAATTTGCAAGGGATTGAACGAGTGGTTGAGGGCACATGTTGAAACACCTGTGACTCCCACAAGTTGCTGCAAATGTAGTTTCAGGTGGAAAGCGTCCCTCCCTCCATTAAATTATTCAACTCCTAAAGGAGTTTTTCCCTTTCACTTTTTATTTCCTATAATACTTCTTCATTGCTCCTTTGATATTCATTTAATTTGGCACCAGTAACCGTTCATGGAGATGTGGAATACAGTTCTCCCCTTCACAGCATTAATTTTTAAGTGTGTTTGGGTTGGGAGTGTGACTGTTGCTTCAGCTCTGTCTTGCAGTCTGCACATAGGTCGCATAGCCTAAGTGTCATAACTGAATGTATCACATTTGAACAGCCGGCCATTAGGCAGTGCATTACACAAAGCCGTTCCAGTAAAAGCTCTGAGAATGGCTCGATCTTGGAGAGGCCAGACCTATGCAAACAGAGCCCTTGAGATCCATTTTCTTGAACTTCCTTTGTTTGTATTCTCTGATGTTTGCAGATGCTATGTGTGTCTTTTGATTGATTCTATTTGGTTGCTTCAATGAGTACACCCAGTGGGCTTTGTTCCCTGTGAGTTAAAATAGCAAATGACCATGATGAAATATTTCCACCTGCACATAAAGATCTTATCATATGTTACAGCCAGCTTCATCACGTTTAAAACTGGTGGATTTTCTGAGAGTCGTTAACTATTAACAAAACGTTCTTTAAAATCCTCTACAAAGTTCACAGATATAAAATATCTCTCATCAAATAGCTATAAATATCATTTGCCCCATCAGAAAAAGCAATCTTCCATCTCTTGCGTTCAATCATCTAGATGCATCAAATATAAATGTTTTCAATTAACGAGTTTCTGAATAATTGCCTCATGTCTACATGTATTTTTTATGTTGTTGAATGGTCCATGTGGTATATGACACATTTCTAAAAACTGACCTGGCTATTGCTAACTTTTAAATTTTAAATGTAGACTTAAACAATTTGAACAACAATGGGTATGTGTATCTGCTTATTCCAAGAGGAGATTTCTCTGTGATTCAAATTATGCTGGGTAAGAACAGAGTTCAGAGTTTCATTTCATTGATTTTATTTGCTATGACCATTCTCCTCCACCCTTTTTGCCCAGTTCTATCAAGTTCTTCATTGCACTGCTTCTTGATCTAAAACCACTTAAGAATTTTAGCTTTTTTTCTCCCATTGAGACATTTTCTAAAGTCTGATGATTAAACTTTCCTCCATTTGGTTCCCAATAACTTCCCTAAATATCATTATAACTTTTTTTCCTGTAGAAGTTTATTTCATAAGTTCTCTTTTTAGTGGTAGTTGAATGAACAGGCACAATGACATCCGAAATGTCCTAATTTACAAGATGTGTTGTGATATTGGCTGGAAAAAAAATGCCAAGCATGCAGCACCTACACAGATACTACACCAAAGAGAAAACTGAGTAAGTTCATACGTTTGTGCAAAACAAAATTATACGGATAAAATATAAATGACCAAAGCAACTGATTTGCCATTTTGTACTTGCTAAATTAGCAAAAATATAAAATATATATAGGTTTCAAACCCAAGACTCCCACGTACTGTTGGTTGAAATTAAAATGAGGAGAGAGACTTTTTAGAAATGAATTTGATTAAACTTTCAAAAAGTCTCAGAATTGTTCAAATCTTTTGACCCACTTACTTCATTTCTGGGAATTATATAAATAATCTCAAGTATTACAATACTGATAGGCATGACAACCTTCATTGCAAAGTGATTGATAGAAGCTGTATTAGAAACAAAACTTAATACAAGTATCCAAAATGTCCATAATGAGAAGATACTTGTTACACATTGGGAAGCAGTACAGTGTTGCCCTTCTGAGCCAGGGCCTGTGATAAGTCTGTGTTTAAATGCCAGCTTTAACCCTTGCCAGCTGAGCTCCCCAGTGTTTGTTACTTAGCATCCCCTGTTCAGAGGCAGCCACTGCATCTACCTAAGTCTGTGCTGCAACAAGACCTCCAAAGTCCAAAGTACTGCAGAAAGCTTTTAATTTGCGTCATTTATTCCCAGGTCATTCGTAGTGGCCCTCTATCATGCTTACCTAGACTCTCAAAAACCCAAGTCACAAATCACTGTATATGTCATCTGTTGGAAAATTCTGAATCCCCCATCTCCCTCCTCCAGGCAAAAGTTATTTTGGCTTCACATCTCGTCTGTATAACAAAAGCTTGTCATAAAACGTATGTTCTACTGCCTATTCTAGGTGACCCACAGACAGTTATTTAAAATTTAATTATTCATCCTTTCCCTTCTTATGTCTTCAGGGGAATGATAAAAATATTCAGGCAAAGATCTGTGGATAGGTGAGGTGTCACCTTTAACCAGGGTAGCAGAATTAAATACAAGCTCTCACATCAAATCTCTCAGGATCAATATAATTACTTGATCTAATTGTTTTAAGATGAAGACTATTATATTGTTTGTTTTTCTCTGAATGTTTTTGTCTTTCCCAAAATACCGATTATGACTTTCATTAATTTTTCTTCATCATGGATCTGATATTATTTGAAAACAAATGTGTCCAAAATCCTTTAAAATACAGTTGAAGTGACATTGGTTGCAAATGCATGCTAGTCCACAAACTCAGTTACTGCAAACAAAATGCACATTAATTTTTTTTTTTAGATTAACTAGGCACCCCAGCACAAACCCTTGTAACCATGCCCTTCACCTTCATATCAAAGGCCTATCTCACTCTGACATGTTCTGGCCAGTGGATGCAGGGAGATGGGAAGAGCACTGTATCAAATGGGGCTGGCCTGCACTTGTTCCTTTTCCTTCCCATGAGAGAAGGCCAGGACAAAGCCCCTGAAGGATAAAACATATGGAGCAGTGTTAAGTTGCCTCAGTTGTCACAATCCATCCCAGACACAAAGCCAGCTGAGTGACCTCACCAAAACCAGAGATCTACTTAACCAAGCCCAGCCTAAATCACTGATGTGTAGACCCGTGAACCAAATAAATGAGGATTATTAAAGTCAATGTGTTCTGTGATAGCTTCTATACAGCATTATAATGACACTAGATAACTAATACAAAAATACACAAAGCATATTTTATGCATGTTTAAAGTAAAATAAATTTTTTAAAAAAACTGCAGTGACTGTGGAAATCAAAACAAAAACATACCTTATTCTGTTTGGAAATTAACCAAACTTTTTCATCATTATAGAAAGTCACATCAACAATGGCAATGTTATCCATTATTTTAAAGTGACAGATGCAATCTGTCTGCATCATTCTATATTCAGGATGCCATATACATCATTTTACAGGTAAGCGTGCATGTGCAATAATATATATGCAGTCAATCTTCATTCTTTGCAGATTGCATATCTGTGAGTTTTTCTTACTAAAGTTTATTTTTATCCCCCAAATGAATACTCACAGTGCTTTCATAGTCATTCACAGATATGCTTAGAGTGATAGAAAATTTGAATTTTTAAGAAGCATGTTTGAATGAGGCTGAGTTGAACAAGGCAATGTCTTCTCTCCTTGTTACAGCTTTCATGCTGTAAACACTTGTTCTCCTCATGGTCTAGTGAGTGGCACTTTTTTTCAGCTTTGTGTTTTTGTGAGTAATTTTACTGTTTAAAGTGGCCCCCAAATGTAACACTAAAGTGTTGTATAGTATTCTCAATCACAAGAAGGCTGTGATGTGCCTTATGGGGAAAAATTCATATGTTAGAGAAGCTTTGTTCACGTGTGAGTTATAGATAGTGTTCTTGGCCATCCGATATTGGATTTCAGGGTTAATTATAAACAATCTATTAATAGCATATCCAGAAAAGTAGAAAAGAAATGTATCAATTTGCCTGTGAGGCTGCCCCAGAAAGTGCTAAAGTGATCCCTGGTGTGTGTAATAATGGTATGGAAAAGGTGGACAAAGGACCAAATTTATGGATTCATGAGATGATAACTGACTTTTAAAGATGCATTTGGCAGCATCATTATGAAGCTGGAGGCCAAAGGAGCTTATGGTTACATGACCCAGCGTCAGAAAAATGTGAAACCCTGTTCCCAGCTAGCACTGGCTCACACACTTCATAGGGTGATACAGCATGAACACTTTCAGCTTGCAGGCAGGCAAGGTAGTCTCTCCAGATCAGGAGGCAGTGGAAGCATTTTTCAAATCCCTAATAACTGTTATGTGAAAGAGCAGGTTTTCAACACTGATGAGACTGGCTTGTTTTACAAGGATGTTGGGAAACAAACCTGTATGAAACAAATGCATTTCAGTTAATGAAAATGTTGTGGCCAGAGGCTTGCAGGACCCTAACTCTGTACTTCTCCTAGGAGCAATAATTCAGTATTCACTAATTCAGTATTCTCAGAAACTCTATAGAAAATACCTACCATGAACAAGGAAGACTGCGTGTGTTGGGGGGCGGGGGTGGCAGGTGTGTTTGTGTGTGGGTGTTAAATATTGTTTCACTTCTCATACCCATCTTATTCATTATGAGCAACTGTAAAACTTTATCAACGTCATTACGGCTATTAGGGTTATCATGCCTGAACATTAAACATATGAATATGTATGCATATATAGACACTTTTAACATGAATTACTCTTCTTTTTTATTTTACAGTAAGTATACAATTTTACTAATTTTTAGAAATTACATGTGAAGTAGCTATATTAAATGTAAGTTTTATTGCAGAATTGTAAAGGGAACCCTATACAAAACAATTTAGTTCTCCTAAGATTAAACACCACTAAGGTAGATCACTCATGTAGAAAAGGAAGGCTAGATTCTGTTTAAATTTTTAAAAGAATATAAAATTGATTTTACTGAGAGAATTAGAGAAGTAGAGAAAAATTTAAAAATCATGGGTCAACTGTTGATCATTTGGAAATTGCAAGTTTAGATATCAAATGCATATCTTACATCAAAATGAAGTCCTCATGAAATAGATACACATGTGAAATCTGAAATAATAAAATAAGAAGGGATTTTAAATATGTGTTTTGGAAAGACAAAATTACCTGAGAAACTGTAAAGACAAACAATAATTATACAAAAATTGTAACACTTTGTGTAAAAAATTACATAAAACTGAAAGATAAAATGGGAAGTGATAGGATTTTTGCTGATTAAATTGATAAAGACTAGGTTGAGTGTTGAGGACAAGTATCAGTAACTCTGTAAGAGATGTGTGGTCATATGATGGTACATTTTTATAACTTTTCCGAAAAAGCAGTTGGTCATGTATCATACCTCAAAATCCCTAAAATTCTTGACCTAGTGATTTTACATTTAGGCATGTATCAAAAGTATACAAACATATATACATAAGTACATAAATGTATGCATATATATACACATACACACATATATATGATATTCTTTACAACCTTTTTTATAATAGCGTAGTATTAGAGGTAACCTACATCTTAGTAATTAAGGATTCATTGAATAAAACTGTTGAAAATATTGTATTTTAATAAGTTGGGAAAACTGTTTATAGGCTGAAAGAAAATACTGAATAAGAAGGAGATTGATGATACAGGGATGGAAAGAAATAGATGATGAACCACTATTTCAGAGGACATAGGTGAATGATAAATATTTACAATGTACTAGAGGATACAGTAGAGTGAAGGAAGTGGAGGAGAGCATCTCCTTCATTACTAGTTAGACAACCTCTGGATCCGTAGTGTGAGAGAGTAGAATATAAGAGAAATTAAGCCCAACAGGCTCTTCTTTATGAAACATGAGATAAATTAACTGCTGAAGTTGACAGAGTAAGAGTGTGAGGAGGACTCTGGTTATGACATCAGTATAGAGCTCCGTCCCCCACCCCTAACACATATTTTCACTGGCTTTATCCTTTGATATAAAAAACTGATAAGGCACAGCCAGATGGAAGAGGAGTTAGTCATTCAGCTGTGCCAGGGAAGCTCCAGGTGCCTTCTGACTGTCACACTGATTAAACGGAGCAGGTTATACAGAAGAACTCCAGGGATGACACAGGATTCCATAAGGAGGCAGGTGGAGTGTGGTCCTGCTGAGGAAGGTAGTATGAAAAGTCTGCATATTTCTGGTTAAAACTCAACCCAGGATTGTCAAAAGATGATATTGTTCGACCTTCCTCTGTGTCCATGCCCCTCCATCATACTGAAGCTAATTGGGTCTCAGAAAATAAATGATTTTTTTTAAAAAAAGCAATGGCAAAAGACCCTGGACTTGAAGACAGGTAGTCTACAAAGGTGAGATGCAGGCCTAAAAAATAAGAGATGAAAAGCAATTAAGCTAATATCTTCATTATCCTATTTTTTTAAGTGAATAGGCAAACATGAAGTACCAGATTTTGAGAAAAGTACCTAATATGATAGATTAGAGTATACACATCAATTACAGGTCTGGAGAAAGAGAACACAATGTAGGTAGGATGTAAACCAAAACTCAGATGCTTAGCCCCTCAATTGACTGAATGAACCCTGCTCTAGGCCAAACAAACACAAGGAAACTTGGAGGTCATCATGGGAAAGGAGTGGTCAGACAGGCGCACGATCATTGTGTGCTTGGGAGTTCAAGCACACAACTGACCAGCATTAACATTAAAATAGAGATGCTAAGACTGACAGAACAGACTCTTTGTAGCAATAAGGTACCAACTCCAACCTAATGCTGGTATATCACATGACAGATAACAGAACTTAAAAGGAAATCAAAGCATTCTACCCCAAAATGTATTTCTTCAACATATTTTGAGGTGGCCCTGCAAAGCTATCTGGTGTGGAGGGAAATCTACATTCTGTAGAGAATCGCCTTCCTTTACTAGTTCTCTTCAGAGAGTCTGACACCCTTGGTAAGAGACATTCACATCTATTCTCCCTAATGACAAGAACCTTGGCTCCCACAATCCCCCCTAGCTACCTTAACTCAAGCTGATTTCAACTCTTCAGCCAGAGCTTAATGCTTTTAACCAATTGCCAATCAGGAAATCTTTAAATCCACCTATGACCTGAAAGCATCTCCCTCCCCTTTTGAGATGTTCTTCCTTTCCAGGCTAAACCAACACATACCTCACATGTATTGATTTATGTCTCTGCCTATAAATTCTATTCTCTCTCCCTAAAATGTATAAAAATCAAGGTATAACCCAACCACCTTGGGCACATGTTCTCAGGACTTCCTGAGGTTATATCACAGGACGTGATCTTTTACCTGGGCAAAATCAGCCTTTAAATTGATTAAGATCTGTCTCAGATACTTTTGGTTTACAAGGACAAGGTAGGAAAAAAAAAAACTTTTGTTTATTATATATAAAGACTTCATAGTCATAATCAATAGGAAGACTTCAAAGAGTAACTAAATAGTAAGAACTCTTACAAGTAAAACCATGGCCAGCAAAAAATTCAACAGATATTTTGAAAGATAAGGTTGAGAAACTTTCCCTGAAAATAAGAGTAAAAAATTAAGTTATGGAGAAATATGAGAAAAAATATAAAAATGAGGAACATATATATTCAATTCTGAGTCATTCTAGAAAAACAAGGAAAGAAAAGGATTTTTTGGATGTATTAGTAGGATAATAATTTCTAAAATCTAACACATATGTCTTTCAACCAGAAGGAATAACTGTGTACCTAAGAATATAATTAGGAAGTATCAAAATACTCCAGATAATAAGATTTTGAAAACGTTCAGAGAAGTCAGGTAAAGGAAAGAATTAACTTTCTCTGCAGCAATGCTTGAAGCCAGAAAAAATATAGGACAATGATTTTAAAAATCTGAGTAAAAAGATTTTTAATCTTAGAATTGTATACCTAGCCAAATTATCGTGCCAATATGAGAAGCAAAGAAAGACATTTGCAGATATATCAGGATCCACCATATGTGTCTCTTTCTTAGGAAACCACTAGCAATTGTGCCCTTGGAAAATAAAGAGTTTAATTTTTCAAAAAAATTCATGGAAATAGCCAGGTAAGTTATATAGAGATGTCGGGGAATAACAATAAAAGAAAATACGGGGATGATATCTATGCAATGTGCCAAGAGAACCTTAACTGAAATATCAACTAATCATCATCATCATCATTATCATCATCATCATCATCTATCTTGGGTCTAGATAAACATTCAGAATGTGTACTGACAGGCGTTTACAGATGTAATGAAAATTTGTAAAATATATATAAGTAGTTATCTAAGGCTACCTAATAAAAGGATGAAACAGATGCAAATTCCGAGAAGTGTGCAGATTAATCAGACTATCATATAATCACTGTACGGCTAGACATTTACATAATTAGTTTTTATGTTTACATGAAATTTTTTAATGAATCTAATCCAATAAATTTTGGTCTGAATTTCTATTTTAACTAGGATACAGTTCTGAAAATAGATAATCTGGTCAAAGTCCAATGCTTTTTTTTAAGGCATTTGAAATATAAAGGTAATTATTTTTGCAGGCACATACGTACACACATACATATGCACATACACATATATATACATACATATATACACATATTTCAACATACTGTTTTAAGGAGAGTGTGTAACTTATTCCTTCTTCATTAGCACTAAGATTGATATTGATATATGTTGTACATATTTAATACTCAAAATAGATCTAAATTTTGTTCTAAATTTTTCAATTAAAAAGGTTACATAAGAGTAGATGACTCCATGATGTTTTTAAGAAAAGAGAATGTTCTTTCATTTCCTATCAAAGACAATCATCTTTTTGTCTCTTCTTTCTGCTATTTTAAAGCATCAATTTAATTCAGGGAGCTGTTAAGACAGAGAAAATAAGTTTCAAACTATATACTTTTGACAGAGGTTTTATATTTATTCTGCTATTGCTAGGGCTCAGTGATACTCTATTGAATCTTACATTTTTCTTTATATCACTGAGAATGCAATTTATCAGATGGACTGTAAGTGCAATTTCATGAAGAAAAAAACTATGAAATTGACACTTTGGTTCTCAACATATCTGTTACTGGTGTTCTTTTAAGTTATAAATCTGTTTGCTGTACACAAGAACAAGTTGTTTTTGCTGCCACTAGAAGTAAAGAGTCAATAGAGTTATGGTAGAGTGAGCTGAATTCCATACTTCCCGCACATCATGAGCTAAATTGTCAATGAAGTAAATCCTAAGAACTTGTGGTATCAGTCCCTGTGTGAGAAGCAGAAAGAACGGTTTGATTTTTAAGGTCCCAGACTGAGTCTGTAGTGCTGTCAGTTATTGAAATCTCCTTTTTCTTTATAAATGTTAAACGTTACTGTAAGTCATTGAGAAGGAATAAGTACAGACCCCTTCACAATCATATTTCCATGGAAGTACTTTGCCAACTCTAACTGCATTTGGAGAAATACTTTTTTTCTTCACTTATACAATTTCTTTCAATCTCTATCAGGATTGTTCCTTGGTCCCTCAAGCTCTTTATTTTTCAAGGTTATAGGTTTCTCTGTTCTACTTCCATTCATCATGTACTGTTTCAAGTAAAATTTATTAATAATATTTTAGATATTTGTCTTTTTTTACTGTTCATAGGTGCATTGATCATATCAATTAAAAAGTATAGAACTTTTAATTCAACAACTGAGTTACTATAATTTCCTTCCACACGACAGAACTGGCAATGGGTTTATTGAGTCAATTCCAATCTCCTAAAGCAGATTCTTTATTTACATGTAAATACTTAGATTGCTTAAGTTCAGAAGCATTCTGAATACCTGTGCTTTTTGCTATACAAAATTCTCTAGACTATGATTTCTTTAAAATTAAATTATATGTGGGTGATTCTATTCCATAAAAATGGCAACGGCGAGTTTGAGAAAAATCACATTCTCAGTGCTATCTTTTATGCCTTCTCATGCATTAATTTAACTTTTTTAAGGAAAAAATAGTAATTGTTGAGTCATAGTCTGTGCTACATGCTGAAAGTCAAAATGAAGACAATTCTTACTTACGTGATTACCAAGTTGTTGCTATCCCACCAAGTATTATCTTTAAGGCATTATCATTGGGAAATGTAGAAAGTCTCTGTTGTTAAAAAAAAAAAAAAAAAAGGCCTGAAGAAAAAGAACACATAAAATAGTTCTAAAAAATATGAAAAAAATATAATACAAACAATGACTTTTAGCTTATCTTCGCAAGAACATCGTGACAAATAATGAACTTGTGTATGGTCATTTCCAAACCTTGGATTTACTAGATTGTCACTTGACAAAATAATGACGGTCTCTACCCTTATGCTCTTCACTATGGCAGACCCCTGTCATGATCAAGTCCAATATCCATCAGTGCCAAATACTCATGACAAATGATCTTGATCTGTTGATAAGTCCTAGACTTACCATTCTAGTACCATAGTTGATTGCTTGTAATTCCAGGAAGCTACTCACCATTCCTCAGACACACAATGCATTTTTATGCCACGATGCTCTAATTGGCATAAGAATTAGACCTGAGGAATCCCCCAAACACCCATAAAAAGGGGAAATAAAATTGCCCTTGGAGATTAAACTGTAAAATCAACATGTAGGGAAGAAAATTCAATTTAAAGAGATGGAATGCCTCCAGGGCCAGAAGGATTTTATTCTGAAGGATTAACTACATTAACATCTCTAAAGAAAAAGTGTAGGGAATTACAAACAGATGTCAATCAATACATGTAAGGTGTACATTGGTTTGGTCTGGAAAAACAGGACATCTCAAAGTGGGTGAGGGATTTCTAGGTCATATGTGGATTCAAAGATTTTCTGACAGGCAACTGGTTGAAATCATTAGGTTTTTCTTAAATAGTTGAAGTCAGCAGAAAGAAATTTGAGGAATTCAGGGGAATTGTGGAAGCTAAGGTTATGCAGATGAAGACTCCAGGTAGCAGGCTTCAGAGACAGTAGATGACAAGTGTCTTCATATCAGACCTTAAAAGGGGCTAGACTCTCCTGAAAAGACCTTGTAAGGGAAGGAGATTCTCTATAGAATGTAAATTTCCCCCATAAGAGGCAGCTTTGCAGGGCCATTCTAAAGTATGTCAAAGAAATATATTTTGCGGTAAAATATTTGAATCTCTTTCAGGACCTGTTACCCGCCATGTGATGCTATACTAGAATCAGTTGGAATTTGGTATCTTACTGCTACCAAGAGTCTGCTTTGTCAGTCCTAAGACCTCTGTTTTAATGTTAATACTGGTCAGTTGTGCCTGAATTCCAAAGGGAGGAGAGTATAATGAGCCATGGCTGACCCTCCTTTCCCATCATGACCTCTACTAGTTTTTCAGGTTAACTTTGGAATGCCCTTAGGGATTCATTCAGTCACCTGGGGAGCTTAGAATTTTATTTTTGTTTTACACCATGTATCCTCACATACATACATATGCCTAGGGTGGCGAGATATCTCTTCTAAAATTAGACCATCAGTCATTCTGAGATGCATGAACTAGAAGATGAAAGTTAGGCTTAAATTTTAAGATGAATATTCAATGTTCTGCTTTTAATTAAGAATTTAATAATATAAGCATATATATCCCCAATTTTTAACTCCAAAATTTCTTCATTCATTCATTGAAATATATTTATTGAATAAGGACTGTTTTAAATATTAGAACATTAATGAAAAATTAGGATTTGTTTTGTACCATACTATGTATATTCTGTTTCATTGTTGAGTCCAAATGTTGTTCAGAACACTAAAATATTTTCATGTCATTACTTCCATGATGAAAGTCTGTGTATAATTCTGAAATACTTTTAATAAATATAAGTGAATAAGGAGGACAATATTTTGCATAATTTATACCATTTGCTTTTGCACTTATTAAAAGAAAAAAAATTTATGTCTTCAGTTCTGCAGTTGGTTTTGTTTTGTTTTTCATTTTCTTAAACTAATATTAGAAATAGCTACAATGTGTCTTATATTTATCTGTTAGAATTTTGGTAACTTGAGTCAATTTCCTATACTCTTTCTGACTGAAAATGTTGAATTTATCTGAGCCTATTGCTCTGGGAAGACAGCAAAGGTTAAGAAATCGCTCTTCCCATTTGTGTTTTTAGACTAAACACAAAGGATCACCCTGCCCTTGTAGGAAGTAAGGCTCACCTCCACCCTTCCACAATGTCTTCTTAGTTTCATAAAATCTCAAGTTTTCCTTGTCTTCTTTGAGACATTCCTAATTAATTAACTTTCTTTTATTATTATTATTATTATTATTATTATTATTATTATTATTATTATTATTATTATACTTTAGTTCTAGGGTACATCATGTGCTCCAGGTGCAGGTTTGTTACAAAGGTATACATGTGCCATGTTGGTTTGCTGCACCCATCAGCTCATCATTTACATTAGGTATTTCTCCTAATGCTATCCCTCCCCCAGCCCCACACACCCCGACAGACCACGGTGTGTGATGTTCCCTTCCCTGTGTCCATGTGTTCTCATTGTTCAACACCCACCTATGAGTGAGAGCATGCGGGGTTTTGTTTTCTGTCTTTATGATAGTTTGCTTAGAATGATGGTTTCCAGCTTCATCCATGTCCCGGCAAAGGACATGCACTCATCCTTTTTCATGGCTGCATAGTATTCGATGGTGTATATGTGCCACGTTTTCTTAATCTAGTGTATCATTGATGGACCTTTGGGTTGGATCCAAGTCTTTGCTCTTGTGAATAGTGCCGCAATAAATATATGTGTGCATGCGTCTTTATAGTACCATGATTTATAATCCTTTGCATATATACCCAGTAATGGGATCACTGGGTCAAATGCTATTTCTAGTTCTAGATGCGTGAGGAATTGCCACACTATCTTCCACAATGGTTGAACTAATTTACACTCCCACCAATAGTGTAAAAGCATTCCTATTTCTCCACATCCTCTCCAACATCTGTTTTTTCCTGACTTTTTAATGATCACCATTCTAACTGGCGTGAGATGGTATCTGACTGTGGTTTTGATTTGCATTTATCTGATGACCAGTGATGATGATCATTTTTTCATATGTCTGTTGGCTGCATAAATGTCTTTTTTTGAGAAGTGTCTGTTCATATCCTTTGCCCACTTTTTGATGGGGTTGTTTGTTTTTTTTCTTTTAAATTTGTTTAAGTTCTTTGTAGGTTCTAGATATTAGCCCTTTGTCAGATGGGTAGATTGGAATAATTTTCTCCTGTTCTGTAGGTTGTCTATTCACTCTGATGATAGTTTCTTTTGCTGTGCAGAAGCTCTTTAGTTTAATTAGATCCCATTTGGCTATTTTGGCTTCTGTTGCCATTGCTTTTTGTGTTTTAGTTATGAAGTCTTTGTCCATGCCTATGTCCTGAATGGTATTGCCTAGGTTTTCTTCTAGGGTTTTTACGATGTTAGGTCTTACATTTAAGTGTTTAATCCATCTTGAGTTAATTTTTGTAGACGATATAAGAAAGGGATCCAGTTTCAGCTTTCTACATATGGCTAGCCAGTTTTCCCAGCACCATTTATTAAATAGGGAATCTTTTCCCCATTGCTTGTTTTTGTCAGGTTTGTCAAAGATCAGATGGCTGTAGATATGTGACATTATTTCTGAGGCTTCTGTTCTGTTCCATTGGTCTATATATCTGTTTTGGTACCATTACCATGCTGTTTTGGTTACTGTAGCCTTGTAGTGTAGTTTGAAGACAGGTAGCGTGATGCCTCCAGCTTTGTTCTTTTTGCTTAGGATTATCTTCCCTACATGGGCTCTTTTTTGGTTCCATATTAACTTTAAAGTAGTTTTTTTCCAATTCTGTGAAGAAAGTCAGTGGTAGCTTGATGGGGATAGCATTGAGTCTATAAATTACCTTGGGCAGTATGACCATTTTCATGATATTGAGTCTTCCTATCCATGAGCATGGAATGTTCTTCCATGTGTGTCCTCTTTTATTTTGTTGAGCATTGGTTTGTAGTTCTCCTTGAAGAGGTCCTTCACATCCCTTTAAGTTGGATTCCTAGGTATTTTATCCTCTTTGTAGTCATTGTGAATGGGAGTTCACTCATGATTTGGCTCTCTGTTTGTCTATTATTTGCGTATAGGAATGCTTGTGATTTTTGCACATTGATTTTGTATCCTGAGACTTGGCTGAAGTTGCTTATCAGTTTAAGGAGATTTTGGGCTGAGATGATGGGGTTTTCTAAATATACAATAATGTCATCTGCAAACAGAGACAGTTTGACCTCCTCTTTTTCTAATTGAATACATTTCTTTCTCTTGCCTGATTGCCCTGGCCAGAACTTCCAACACTATGTTAAATAAGAGTGGTGAGAGCAGGCATCCTTGTCTTGTGCTGGTTTTCAAAGGGAATGCTTCCATGTTTGCCCATTCAGTATGATGTTGGCTGTGGGTTTGTCATAAATAGCTCTTATTGTTTTGAGATAAATTCCATCAATACCTAGTTTATTGAGAGTTTTTAGCATGAAGGGCTGTTGAATTTTGTCAAACGCCTTTTCTGCATCTATTGAGATAATCGTGGTTTTTGTCATTGATTCTGTTTCTGTGATGGATTACATTTATTGATTTGCATATGTTGAACCAGCCTTGCATCCCAAGGATGAAGCCGGCTTGATTGTGGTGGATAAGCTTTTTGATGTGCTGCTGGATTCAGTTTGCCAGTATTTTATTGAGCATTTTTGCATAGATGTTCATCAGGGATATTGGCCTAAAATTCTCTTTTTTTGTTGTGTCTCTACCAGGCTTTGTTATCAGGATGATACTAGCATCTTAAAATGAGTTAGGGAGGATTCCCTCTTTTTCTATTGATTGAAATAGTTTCAGAAGGAATGGTACCAGCTCCTCTTTGTATCACTGGTAGAATTCAGCTGTGAATTCAACTGGTCCTAGACTTTTTTTGCTTTGTAGGCTATTAATTATTGCCTCAATTTCACAACCTATTATTGGTCTATTCAGAGATTCAACTTCTTCCTGCTTTAGTTTTGGGAGGGTATGTATGTCCAGCAATTTAACCATTTTTTGTAGATTTTCTGGTTTGTTTGCATAGAGGTGTTTTTTAGAATTCTCTGATGGTAGTTTGTATTTCTATTTCCTCTATTTCAATAGTTTGACTACAATCACAGGACAAAGAGCTAGAGTAATTCATTTTATTGAATTAGACATTGATTAATTCATTGAGGAACTCTCATGCACACTCTTCCAGTATATGCTACCTTCAAAATCTCTATAGCTGGAATCCCCTTCCCATACATCCTTGTTGGTAACCTACTTAAATTTCTTGTTTTGGAAAAAATGTCACCTTTTTTATGAAGACTTTTCTCATCCATTTAGTTCCAATTATTTGTTTTCTAACAATTTCATATACATATCATAAATTATATAACAATTGGTCATGATTGTTTATGTTTGTGTCTCCACAATCAGAACACGGTTGGTATTTCTGCTGTGAAGCTCACTGGCAAACACATTCTGGGTGATCAATACATGTTTGTTGACACCCAACATTGATGAATGAATGTGTGATTAATGAACGAGTGCATTAGGAACAGTTCTCACAACTCCCAATGGCCTTTCTTTTATTTGTGTAAATCCTACCAAGACTTTTATCTATATACAACAATGGTAACATTATGAGATCAGCTAAGTTATTCTTTTTACCATATTTTTGTTCCATATTATATACTTTGTAATTACATTCACAGCTACTGTAGCTCCTTCATTTCTCATTAGGAGAATAGAGAAGGAATCAGTGATACTTGGCATTCAATTGACAACTTCTTTGATGACTAGAATAACTTACTATGCCTGCTAGTGCATATAATACCACCTGACAGTAACTAAGACATGTCATTTTCCAGAGTAGTTGTGTATCTCAAATAAATTATTTTACTAAGTGTACCACAAATCACTAAAACATTTAATAATGTCATGAAGAGAGTAGTATCCCAGGTAGTAATTTAACTATAGAGAAAATCTGGGTAAATATTTGTAATTTAAGACAGATACAATGAAACTATAGTGTGAATGGACATTTAAAAAGTTGAAAATGTAAGACTTTGAGAAAGACCCCTGGTATTGATTGGAAAGATTATATCTGGTAGTTACAGAGGAATGTGTGGTATGGAGCTGATGTGAGCTTCATGGAATCCATTTTTTAGCTAGTTTAGAACATGTATGTTTCAAGCTGCTTTTATCCCTAGTTAAAATATTATTTTTGGATTTTTAAAAATGCCTAATTTAAAAGCTCAACAGCAATTTGGAGCAATTTGGACTATAAAATTGCACTGTTGTTATAACCTCATGATGAGATAAGATTAAATGAATCAGAAATGATGCATTAACTCCATATTACAATATGCAAGCGTTTAAAACCTTAAGAGGGTGAATGTTCTTGGTAGATAATCAAGGATTTGCTATTTCTAAACATTTTAAAAGTGGCTGATGTTTGCCAGAAAAAGCTGTTTCCAGACCTACTAATCTCTATTCATTAAAGTCTTCTACAAATGCAGGGTAAAAAGCAAGCTTCGAGCTTCACCTGTTAATATGCCCATGGGACATTGCAACACTCTTACCAGAGCCAGCCAAAATCTTGATTGAAAAACTAAAAGAATTTTCATGCTAGTAAACCCAGTTTATATTCCAAACACCATGCCATGGCAATCCACAGGTCTCACTTTTTAATTCTCTCTGCTCCAGCTCTATCCGATGCTTGACTTTTTAAGTCTGGGACACACATATTATTATCATACAGACTTATTCTTGAAATGTGCAGGGCTTTCTGTGATAAAAGGTAAAATCATGATCGATTACATGTGAATTAAATAGAAAAATGTATCTTTTTATTTTCAGGTAATATTATTATTTTTACAGTTTTTTTGTGACAGAGTGCTGAATTAATATACATGAACAATTTCAACTTTAGAGGTAGACAAGAACAGGAGTGATATAGCACCATTTGCCAAAGGGTTGCTCTCAGTTCTTTCTGGGGCTGTTTTCCTGGCTGTTTTTGCATGCCAGAGCTTGTGCAAAAATTTTTTTTGAGATTAACTTTGAAATGCATTTTTCCCATGCATTAATCAATATCAAAAATTATGTTAAAACAAAAATAACTAGTCACTTGTATAATTTTAATAGATAATATTTATAATACATTTGATTACATTATTTTTAATTAATATTTATTAAACTGTAATTAAACATTTGTTTTAAAAATCTGCTAATTTTTTTTTTCTTAGATGGAGTTTCACTTTTGTTGCCCAGGCTGGAGTGCAATAGGGTGATTGTGGCTCACTGTAGCCCCCACCTCCTGGGTTCAAGCGATTCTCCTGCCTCAGCCTCCTGAGTATCTGGGATTACAGGCACCTACCACCATGCCCTGATAATTTTTTGTATTTTTAGTAGAGACAGGGTTTCGCCATATTGGTCAGGCTGGTCTCGAACTCCTGGCCTCAGGTGATCCACCTGCCTTGGCTTCCCAAAGTGCTGGGATTACAGGCATGAGACACCACACCCAGCCAAAAATCGGCTAATTTTGGCAGTCCATTTTCTTTCCCTCAGAGAGTTACACTTTCTCCCTACATCATTCTGAGAACAGACATTCTTTTAAGTAGCTGGATCTTGCCCACCTTGGGGATGCCTCTACAACTCAAGGTAGCTGAATTAATTCAAAAGTTGTTAAAACTGGGTCATTCATGGCTCATTGGGTACTTAATTTTTATACTCCCTTTTTCCCATGTCTGCATTCTGTAAGAAGAGAGACCCTACTTAAAAATAAAATTGGCAATACTCAAAAGAGGAGAAAAGCATAGAGTCAATTCCATTACATGAAAGGTAGATAATATAATGCCTGTTTTGTCTTTAGAATGCACATGATGGACCTTTCAGTACTATAGCTGTAGGAGACTGTGTAGAGAATTTTAGGACGTTGAAGACTGTTGGCTACCACTTCCAGCCTTCTGCAAGTTTTCACAAGAAAATGAATTTTGCCCAAACAGGCCCATTGGGAAAAAGGGAAATAAGAAAACACTTCCAGATTTCTAGAAATACTCTCTGCTGCTGGTCAGCAAACAATATGTCTAAAAATCATAATAATATGCTCTATAGCTGTGGAAAAAATATGTTAAATGCCCTGCCCAAAGCAGAGATATGGAGGTGCAAATCACAAGACACATGTATTTCAGTGTAGGAGACGAAAAACTGGAGAAGCCTAACCTCACAATTATTCTGAGTATTTCTTGCTTGAGAAAGGCTAAAATTATTGCACTGAAGAAAAATAAGTCAGCTTCTGTGAGTGTAATCCAGCCTCCTTGATGCCTCCCAATTTCAGAGGCAGGGCCCAAGATGGATGCAGACGAGCTGAGACCTGCGAGTGATGAAGTCTGTGTAGCACCAGGTCTCCACGTGGGTGGTGCATGAATGGAGATCTTCGACTTCGCCAACTGGCCCTTTGGCTCAACCAACAGACAATGAAGGTTGAAAGAAATCGTTTCTGTCATGTCAGCCTAGAAAATAGTTGTCTATGCACCTAGCTTCTGTTGTGGCCTCCATGCCTCTTTCACATGTATCCGTGCAGGACTGAGTAAAGGTGTTCTCTTAAAGAACAGATCTGAGGAAAGTAAGAATGACTGACCAGGAAGTTCACTCCATGATAAAGGCAAATACTCTCGACGTATCTGTTCTACATGATATAGTCTGAGCAATGCAACTGTGATGCTCTTTTTCCAAATGGCAATTTTTTTCAGTTACATGCTTATTATTTATGCTTGCTTTGCTACATTTTTATTGTTCCCATCCAATATAAATTTTGTGATTTGAATGATTAAATGAATCATTTAGGTATAGGTGGCTGAATCACGAGGACTTGCATTTGGTTTGGAAGAATGTCTTCTACTCAGAACAAGGACAAGGTAACTTTTCTCTTTTTGCAGCGAGGATGATCACGTCACCTGTTTTGGATTATCATCTGACATGTGGGAAAGTTTCAAATAAAGCTTATATATGTCTTCAAAAGGTGATACTACATGAACTTCAAAGCCTAATAGAACTCTCACTGCCAAATGCATCCTCATTCAACGTTGTCTTTGCTGTTTGCTCTGAGTCAGTGCATCTTCAATTATATGTGATAAGAGATCAATTTTGTTTTGTTTCCAATCATCTGGAACCAATACTTTCATCAAATATAAAAAGGTACAGGAAAAGTGAAATTTAAAAGTCCTAAAACATAAGTCTTAACAACTTAGGAGATTTAACAGGCATAAACTACTCTGTCAAACTACTACAAAAATTTAGAATCATTCAATTTCTAGACATATTTCACTGCAGATTGGTAAAAAGCAGGTTGCAGATGGCATTTTGAGTGGCACTGGTTTAGGTCTTTAGGGGTCAGTAGCTTGTGTGGTTCTGTCTACACTTAGTTTACCGTGGGCTACTCAGCTGGAGAGTCACAGTGGAAAGATTGACAGGTAGTGAATCTCTACTGATAATTAACTTGTGAATAATAATAAATGAGTGTATAAAGGAGCTTATTAAATAAATGTGTCTGAGAGTTCTAATTGCCTACCCCAATACGCATCTTCACTTTTAGTAAAAGACACCTACATTTTAGCTGGATGTGCTGCCGCTCATTTGAAGAACGACTTTTCATAGCTCCTCTCGTACACACATGTGTGGCCATATGATTAATCTCTCTGTAAGATGTAGAAGAAACGTATCATGGAACTTTGATAAACTCTCCAGAGAAAAAGTGGAAACACCATTCTGCTGTCTTTCCTCCAGTTTGCTGCTCGGAAGGTGAAAATAGGGGTTGAAGTTCCATCAGCAATGCTGGTTGGATGTAATCAGAGTGGCATGTGAGGCTCAGCAGAGGACAGTGCTGTAGTGAATCCCTGCCAGGGATGCTTGGTGACCAGGGAGCAGCCATAACAAACCTGGATTCTTTTACTGGAAAAAATGTTACAATTTTACATTTTTCAGTCTACATATTTGTTTTTTTTCTTATGCAGTTAAAACTTCTCTAGTTGATAATGAAATTAAGTTTAAAAATCCTTTTCATGCCTCTATGGAATGTCCCATTATTTATTTCTGCCCTCTGGGACAGCTCATCATACTCTTCCTCTTTGTCTTTTTAAATACTGGAAGACATTTGTCTTCTAATTTAGGCTAAATAAAAATACTCATTGATCACAGTGATTACTAAGTTTTATTTAATATTTGTTATCTCTTTGAATCCTCTCAGTGAATGATGGTTATATTATCATATTATTATCTCCTTTTTACAGAGGATGAAATTGAGTCTCTGAAAGATTTTGTGACTTGCCCAAGTTTTGCAGAACCAAGAAGAAGTGGATTGGGCTTGGATTTCCATCTTAATCTAACTCCAGAGGACATGCACTTAACCAGTGATCTATTCCAATTGTTTCCTTTTGTTAACAAATGACTGCCTTTTTTTTTTTTATAAGAACATATAATGTGAGATCTATGCTCTTAACACATTTTTAAATGTATACTAGTTCCCCTTTATCTGCTGTCTTGGTTTTACAGTTTTAGTTACCTGTGTTCAGCCATGGTCTGAAAACACTAATTAGAAAATTCCAGAAATGTACAAATTAGTAAGTTTTAAATGGTGCACTCCTTTGAGTAGTGTGAAAAAAATCTCGCACCGGAAAGTCAATCCTCTGTTTGTCCATTCCCGCTGCCTAGAGGTCTCCTCCCTACCTGGGAATTTATGCATCTCTATCCATTGACATCATGCCTTTTACCTGATTTGCTTTGACGAACAAAATGTTTGCAGAATAGACTCCTGTCCCTTAAAACTAGACATTTAAGGTATAGTTCCCGGTCCTTCAGTCTCTATTTTTTCACTGCTAGGAGACTGGCAATATCCTAGAGAGGGCCTTCTCCACAAACAGGCATCCCTGACTGAAGACATGGAGCCAGGCCAGACAATGGATATACAGCATATATAAGAAATAAACTTGTCTTGTATGATTCTGACTCTGAAGTTTGCAGAGTTATTTTGCACCTGCCAAGAACTAAGCTTTAGCATACTGAAACAGATTCTATTCTGACAGTCTCCTGCCATTTCCCTATCGCTGGACTCATTGGCATATATTTACCTTCAGTGGGGTGTTTTCCCTGAGGCATAAGACTCAATCAACCCCAAATTTTGGCAGTTCATCCACTGGCAAACATGTAATGACTGGAAAGGCATGTTTCAGTTCCTATGTGTTTCTGCTTTATTATGGGACAAAGACATTGAAAAATTTAACCATGCACAGGAAATAATCATCAATAATTATAATAAAAATGTCTCTACCCTATTAAAAATCTGGAAAATAGAAACTATTAATTAAATGTTTTATGTTTCACATGCACATCTTTTATCTATGCTACCTGAATATCCTTACTTTTCATAAGCAATGTAATTATTTTATAATTGACAAGACCATAATAGACAGTGTTTATTTGATTTGCTTTATTAATACAATGTTAATGATAAATGTGTTACAATAGAATGCAAGACTTTTTAGTTAGACATGTCCCTCTCACAGTTTTCTATTCAACTTTCTGATACTTCTTTCCAATAACATGTACGAATTTTCTTCATCTACTTGTATCTTAAATGTTCACCTTAATTTTTATGTTTTCCCCAAGAAAACTCACATAACTCTCATAAATTTATGCATAGTAGTTGACATGGTTTGGCTCTGTGTCCCCACCCAAACCTTATCTTGAATTGTACTCCCATAATTCCCATGTTTTGTGGGAGGAACCTGGTGGGAGATAATTTGAATCATGGGTGCGGTTTTGCTTCCTGCCATGATTCTGAGGCCTCCCCCACCACGTGAAACTGTAAGCCCAATTAAACCTCTTTTTCTTCCCCGTCTTGGGTGTGTCTTTATCAGCAGTGTGAAAATGGACTAATACAGTAAATTGGTACCAGTACAGTGGGGCATTACTGAAAAGATACCCAAAAAAGTGGAAGCCACTTTTGAACCGGGTAACAGGCAGAAGTTGGAAAAATTTGGAGGGCTCAGAAGAAGACAGGAAAATGTGGAATAGTTTGAAACTTCCTAGAGACTTGTTGAATGGCTTTGACCAAAAGCCTGATAGTGATATGAGCAATAAGGTCCAGGCTGAGGTGGTCTCAGATGGAGATGAGGAACTTGTTGGGAACTGGAGCAAAGGTGACTCTTTTTATGTTTTATCAAAGAGACTGGTGGTATTTTTCCCCTCGCCTAGAGATTTGTGGAGCTTTGAACTCCAGAGAGATGATATAGGGTATCTGGCAGAAGAAACTTCTAAGCAGCAAAGCATTCAAGAGGTGACTTGGGTGCTGTTAAGGGCATTCCGTTTTATAAAGGAAGCAAAGCATAAAAGTTTGAAAAATTTGCAGCCTGAAAATGTGATAGAAAAGAAAAACTCATTTTCTGAGGAGAAATTCAAGCCTACTGCAAAAATTTGCATAAGTAACGAGAAGTCAAATGTTAACCCCCAAGAGAATGAGAAAAATGTCTCCAGGGCATGTCAGTGGCCTTCATGGCAGCCCCTCCCATCACAGTCCTGGATGCCTAGGAGAAAATGATTTCATGGGCCGCACTGAGGGTTCCCATGCTGTGTGCAGCCTGTAGACTTGGCGCCCTGTGTCCCAGCCACCCCAGCCATGGCTGAAAGGGGACAACATAGAGCTAAGGTCATGGCTTTAGAGGATGCAAGCATCAAGCCTTGGCAGCTTCCATGTGGTGTTTAGCCTGTGAGTACACAGAAGTCAAGAATTGAGGTTTGGGAACCTCCACCTAGATTTCAGAGGATGTATGGAAATGCCTGGATACCCAGGCAGAAGTTTGCTGCAGAGGCAGGGCACTCATGAGGAACCTCTGGTAGGGCAGTGCAAAAGTCAAATGTGGGGTCAAGAGCTCCGACACAGAGTCCCTACTGGGGTACTGCCTAGTGGAGCTGTGAGAAGAGGGACACTGTCCTCCAGACTCCAGAAAGGTAGATCCACCAACAACTTCCACTGTTTGCCTGGAAAAGCCCCAGACACTCAATGCCACCCTGTGAAAGCAGCTGGGAGGGAGGCTATACCCTGCAAAGCCACAGGGGTGGAGCTGCCTAAGACCATGGGAAGCCACCTCTTGAATCAGCGTGACCTGGATGTGAGACTTGGAGTCAAAGGAGATCATTTTGGAACTTTAAAATTTGACTGCCCTGCTAGATTTTGGACTTGCATGGTCCCTGTAATCCCTTTGTTTTGGTCAATTTCTCCCATTTGGAACAGCTGTATTTACCAAATACCTGTACCCCCATTGTATCTAGGAAGTAACTAGCTTGCTTTTGATTTTACAGGCTCATAGGTGAAAGGAACTTGCCTTGTCTCAGATGAGACTTTGGACTGTGGACTTTTGGGTTGATGCTGAAATGAGTTAAGACTTTGGGGGACTGTTGGGAAGGCATGATTGGTTTTGGAAGGTGAGGACATGAGATTTGGAGGGCCAGGGGCAGAATGGTATAGTTTGAGTGTGTGTCCCCACCCAAATCTTATCTTGAATTGTACTCCCAAAATTGTCATGTGTTGTGGGAGAGACCCAATGGGAGATCATTTGAATCATGGTGGTGGTTTCCCCCATACTGTTCACATGGTAGTGAATAAGTCTCATGAGATCTGATGGGTTTATCAGGGGTTTCTGCTTTTGCATCTTCCTCATTTTCTCTTACCACCACCATGTAAGAAGTGCCGTTCACCTCCCGCCATGATTCTGAGGCCTCTCCAGCCATGTGGAACTGTAAGTCCAATTAAGTCTCTTTTTCTTCCCAGTGTTGGGTATGTCTTTATCAGCAGCATGAAAATGGACTTATACAGTAGTAAAAAAGTCAAAATTGTAATACTTCTGTTCAGGCTGGAGTTCAGAATTTATTTATTGCCCATCTTCATTGAGACATCTCACAGCCACCTGAAATAGAGGTACGTATCCATCTTATGTCAGTAGGCCGCAACCTTTTTGGTACCAGGGACCCATTTCATGGAAGACCATTTTCCTACGAATGGCCAGTGGGAGATGGTTTCAGGATAAAACAGAACTGTTCTATCAGGCGTTAAATTCTCGTAAGGCGCATACAACATAGATCCCTCTCAAGGGCAGTTCACCATAGGGTTCACACTCCTGTGAGAATCTAATCCTGCTGCTGATCTAACAGGAGGCAGAGCTCAGGAAGTAATGCTTGCTGGCCCACCACTCACCTCCTGCTGTGCAGTCCCTTTCCTAACAGGCCACAGACCAGTACTGTGGTCTGAGGTCTGTCTATTCACATCATGCCTGTCTACCTGATTTGCTTTGACAAATGAAATGTCTGCAGTATAGACTCCTGTCCCTTGGAATTAGACATTTAAATTATAGTACTGGTCTGTGGCCTGGGGTCTGGGGACACCTGATTTATGTAACAAAAACTCTGGTACATAGAATATGTTCAATAGATATTTCTGAAAAGATAAATGAATGTCTTAAAGTGAATTCATAAACATACTCAGCAGACAAACCCAGTAGACCGAAACTTCACTCAGTACCCAAAATATACTTTCTCAGAGAATACTGTTAAGACCCACATCATTGCCTTTCTGGACAGCTGATGGCCTCCTTCCTCTTCTGCCTCATCCTGTTGTTTCTCTGTCACATTTGGTTGGACAAAAGAACATTCAAATCTGCCCAATTGTTTCTTTATGATGGCACCACTGCAGTTTGCCAGTCTTAATTTATTCTTAAAGTTGACAATACATATTTTTCTTTAAAATAGTTATTTTCTTATTTTTATAAACACTCGAATGATTCCTTACCTGCAAAATAGTGAATAAATTTCTTACCTTTTCCTATGGGTCTGCACAATCAGGATCCTGCCTTCCTCTGTGATAGCACTTTGTGCCAATAAACACAAAGCCTTCACCTGAAATGAATTACTTGCAACTCGATGAAAACATGATCTCTTATGTCTAGTTGTCATGACACAGATATCCCGACTGCCTTTTTCTCACTCCAACTTCTTGGTGATCTTGTGTTAATCCGTCATTCCAATTTTTCTTCTAATATCCCCACCTCTGCAATTTCTAGTTCTCCAGTCTCTGCTGAGCCTGCTGAGCAAAACGCCCCCTTTGTTGCACATTGAGTTATGATTGCACATCTAGATATGTTGTCTGTCTTTGCTGCTAATGATGAATTTCCCCTGTATCCTGCACATTTTAGGTGATCACTAAATGTTTCTGGATGCATAAGTTATTGCTATGTCAACTTGGTGGCATCAAAGCAAAAACAACCACAGAGCCTAAGACAGATTTTAAAAAACACTAGTGTTGTATTTAATAGATTTTTTAAAGTTTATACTAGTTTTTGCTTCATTGCTGGATAAAAATATTATGTAATATAATAGATAACTATTTTCTAGCAAGCTCCATACTAGAGAAAGTTAGAGATTATGGTGCTGTGAGACTCAGTGATAGATTGACAATATGTCTTGAAATGTCAACTGTTTCGGTTATTACATATTACCTTTGTGAATTGAATTGTATTTTTTAAATGCCAAATCCATTTTTGAATATTACATTCACAATCTAATATTTTTTAAGAAACACTGAAGAGCTTTACTACTAATTCCTTATTTCTGATATAGATAGAAAAGGGCATGGTGTATTGAAATTTTGGAATGTCTGGGCTGAGTAGAATTTCTGTCTCTCAGCCCTTCTTGCCATGGGTCCGTTTGAAAGTTATTTAACCTCTAAAATTATTATTTTTATTTATATATATATATTACCTATTTTTTGTATCAAAGTAGTATACTCACTGTACTAGTCCAATCCCACACTGCTAATAAAGACATACTCGAGACTGGGTAATTATAAAGGAAAGAGGTTTAATTGACTCACAGTTCAGCATGGCTGGGGAGATTGGAGGAAACTTACAGTTATGGCAGAAGGGGAAGTAAACACATCCTACATCACACGGAGGCAGCAAAGAGAAATGCCCTTTATAACACCATCAGGTCTCTTGAGACTTATTCAGTGTCACAATAACAGCACGGGAAAACACACCCCCACGATTCAGTTACCTCCCACTGGGTCCCTCCCATGACACGTGGGGATTATGGGAGTACAAGTCAAGATGAAACTTGGGTGGGGACACAGAGCCAAACCATATCACTGACCTACTTTTAAAGAAGTGAAAAGACACTAAAATTAATGTAATTATAATTATGGGAAAAAAAAGAAACAGCAGCTTCCTTTTGCTTTCCTCCTTCCTAAGAATCATGTGGTTACTCGCTGACAGTGATTCATTGGGGACTCCTTCAACGTCTTCAGATAAAACTCTTCCAAATGTCTATATGGGCATAAAACCTACCAGACAACAGGGAGGGCATAGGTGGTTTTACTCTTCAGCACGTAGGGCATACAGAACTCTGCACCCTACCCTTGCTTCTAATAGGGCTGATCTTTTCCGTGTCTTCACAAGGGACTTTCTAGGCTTCTGTGGGAGTGGAAACACCTGCCTGCGCAGGGTGCTCATAAGGACCCATCAGCCCAGCTCCTTACATAGACTTTAAGCAAATCCCTCTTCACCCCAGCCCGCTTCCACCCTAGTCTTGCTGTCACTTCTAGAGCACCAGGGGCTTGATTATCTTTGGTGGCTTCTTTTTAGGCTTTTAGACCCGGCCTCCTCCCCAAACCCCCCGCCACGTCAGTTACCATGGCTCTGCTGCTGTCTGCCTCTATTGTGGGTTGCAGTAAATATATATTTTCCATGAAGACAGAATTTATATATTTATTCTCATTCTACTTACATTTTAGGGCATATTTTTAAGAGACTAAGGGATCAGGATATTCTTTATTACATCATCTTGCAAATGGGAGTTGGTTTCTAATTCTCAGTGTGAAGATTCTCAATATGAGGATGATAATGCAAGGATCATGTAATTGCTTCCCAGATTAGGTTAAAAAATGTGCAAAGCTCTTAAACTTTTAAAGTTTGAGGCTGAGTTGAGAATTAGTTCAGCCTGCAGGGCTCTAATAACTAGCTTTACTGGATAAAATTTCAAGTACATACGGGAGCACTTTCTAACTCGGAGGAGGTATAATATATATTTCTTTTCCCTTTCAATTTGGTAAATATTTTCACATAGAAGAACAATTATAACCTTGTATAATTTCATTGTCTATATTTTAATTGCCAAATTTAAGTAGAATGCATTCAAAGTTTTATTTTGGCTTGCAGAATCAGTATTCAATCACAACTTTTACTGCCTGTTTGAATTAGCCTTCGAACAAATGAGGGGAAAAATGTCTAAATAACTTTGTAATATTTTAAAGTTTTCATAGAATTAATGGTAATTAAAGACAGCTCACTGTTTATTTCCTACTTAATTATATTTAAAGCTAGATCAGGAAGAATAGAATTCTAGTATATTAAACAGAAGAAAGAGAAAATATTTCCTAAGCCACCAAATATCCACAATTTATTAAAGAAAACATTTAAGATTTTAAAACTTGGCATTCTCCACAAAGGCTGAGATATTTCAACTTTAATATCTGAAGCCTATCTGAAATTAGCTCTTCTATTATGACAACTTAAACTAATTAGTGCAGATAGCCAGCTTTTATTTTTTCCCCTCACAAGTGAGCAATGATTAGATTTCTGCACATAAATATAGCAGTGGGTTTAATGCCCATGAAAGATGCTCAAGATTAAAATAATTTCAAATTCAGCCTATCATATAGAAAAAAATAGACGTATAAATTGTATCATTTGGCAAGCAAAAAGCTAAATAAAGTCAGCCAGAGTGGAAAGCAGAGGCAAAAATGTAGTTAAAATTAAATGGGAAATAAACAGTAGTAGTAGAAGAGAAAGAGCTTAAAATTAACTTTAGAACTTATAGAAGGCAAGGTAGAGTACAGGACAGAAAAAACAAATGTATATTCATAGATGAGCTTTGGTTGCTTTTATCTGTTTTTCTTTTTGCTAATGCTTCTGCCTTCATACATGTGCACAACACACAAACACACAAATCAGGGTAATCACAAACATCTCACTCCTTGGTCTACAGTTTTTTAATTCTATATTCTGGTCAGATGTTTCTCTTGGCACTACAGTGAGTGAAGCAACGAAGGCTCAAGAGAAGACAAATCCTGGGGAGAATGGGAAATGGAATATTTGGTCCCTTAACTTGGGCCCCAGGCTTTTCTCCCTGGGTGGACTTAATCTTTAACATACCATGGGATATAGTTTGGAGTTTATACACAGCTAACATTTCCATTCTAAACAGCTGCATTTGTGTTGGCACACTTACCAATCAATTTGATACACTCTTTCATTGGGTAGAGAATGCAGAATTTTAACCAAAGAGAAAATAATATTTTCAAATGGTGCTCTGGGTTTGATATTTTTAAAATAGAATCACTGGATTAAGTTAAACCTGCCACCAAAATGCTGCGGATGTAGCACTATCCGTTGGTTTAATAATGTTACCGGTTTTCATACAGAAATAATTTTTATGCTTCCATGTAGAAACAGATTTAAAAATCACTAAGAAAGGCTAGCAATGTGAGGCTTAACAAGAATCCTGATTGGGTAAAACACAGATTAGTCAAATTGGATTAACTTAAATCACTTACATCATTTATTAGTGAAATGATTTCCATGGTATATAAAGATAAATTTAATAAAACTGAAAGATACTTATGATTACTTTAGTAAAATCAGTTAACCTATGTGACCAGATTCCTGATAAATGAATATAGTCACACAGCAATCTTATTAGAGAAGATGGGAGTAAAGAGTGTTTGAAGAATGCACACAACCAGAATTTTTCTAGTTCTGTCTGATACATTGCAAGCTCTATATGTCATGTTACAGTGCTTTCTTCAAAGTCGGCTCTGCATTTGACTCTTATAGTGGATCTTGTTTCAGATGCTCAATCTTCATTGAAATATTTGATCTGTATTTAGAGCTCATTAAATTTACTGTTGGAAAAGTGGACTCATTTTCCCCAGTTATTCCATCGTACTTAAAAGTTTTCCAATAATTAAATTCAGCAGTAGTTTTTACATTTACATTTTCCTTAATGAAAGTTGCATAAAATTAAAAATTCAGCTGCTCATTTATGCTAGTCAAATGTCAAATTCTCAATAGACCCATCTGATTAATGGCTGCCACATTAGACACACAAGTAATCTAGTATATCAAAAATCTACTTTTACAATCAGAAGAAGGACTGAGAATTAGCCAACACAAATTTCCAAAATTAATATTTTTAAATAATTGTTAAGACTAAATAAACAAATATACATAAGAATTTAGACATTATTAGTTGGATAACATCATATGTGAAGATTTTTTTTTAACCTTTTTTTTTTAGGTGGAGTTTCACTCTTGTCTCCCAGGCTGGAGTGCAGTGGCGTGATCTTGACTCACTGCAACCTCCGTCTCCTGGGTTCAAGCGATTCTCCTGCCTCAGCCTCCCGAGTAGCTGGGATTACAGGTGCCTGCCACCATGCTCGGCTAATTTTTGTATTTTTAATAGAGACCGGGTTTCACCACATTGGCCAGGTTGGTCTTGAACTCCTGACCTCAGGTGATCCACCCACCTCCGCCTCCCAAAGGGCTGGGATCACATGTGTGAGCCACTGCACTGGGCCATATGTGAAGATTTATAATGCAAACTAATAGTCTCTAGTGGGGTAGAAGGAACTTAAAGTTACAGGTCAATAGAGAAAATATGGATAAATTAAGTGGAATTTTTTGGCATTAATACAAAAAAGTAAATCTCAAGAAAGCAAGAGAGAAAATAATTATAACATTAGCTGAGCAATATAATATATAATATAATAATAGAGCAGAGCAAACTAGAATTTGCCAATAGGTCAATAAATTATAAATCGTGAAAAACTGTACTATTGGTGATATGTGAACTCCCTTTAGTAATCTGCAAAGTGTAGTGTTTTAAAAAAATGGTAATTTGACTCTCAATAAGCCTGTCTGTTGATATTGTGCAGCATTATATCATTTTTGAGAGAAGAAAGGGCAACTAACAAGTGAAAATGATATCAAGTGAATTCTGTATGTTTGCTAGGACTCCTATAACAAGTTTGGGGAAGCTTTGTATTGAGTTGTAGGGAAATACTTCTTTATAGGCCTCTCTTGTTCTGCATGTCTTATGAGCAGAGGCAGCGGCTGCCCTTGTTTCCAGAGAGTGTTAGAGTTGCTTCTACAATGAACAGCCTTGGAAGACAGAGTGCTCCCCTAGAGCAAAGGCTATGCATGCCCACTGTGCATCATAAAACATTTAGGTTCCTTCAATTCAGGGCTCTTTTACCTTCACATAACCCATTGCTGGGGATGTGTCGCTTGAGACTCTTTGTACCAGCCCATGGGAACTGGGACTCACCTCACGGAACTGAAGCAAAAACGAGGATTCTTGGCTACCGTTATTGCTGTGAGTAATAAACTATGCTGCTTTTTTTCTGACTCAGGAGTCTTATAGCTCCTACATATTCACGAACATGTGGCCGGCTAAACTGTTAATGTTCAAATAGGGTGAAATCTCAGACTCTTCACAAGGTTTACTTTGACAATTGTTATAAATAATTTGTTCCATAATTATTTTACCTTGTGAAAACTTTTTATTGTGTGTTTTATTCAATGGAACACAGTTTTATATTAAAAATTAAAACATATGAATTTAAATGTGAATATCTGTTCAAAATTAAAAGTCATCATAATTTATGTATTTCCATTTTAATGTAAATGTTAAATCCGTTCAATACTTCGTGTTTTAAGTACCTTTTGTTTAATTACAGTTAAAAATTACAATTACAATTATAATTGAAATTTACAATGTAAAATTACAATACCACATAACCCAATAAGAATTACATTTAGTCTGATGAAAAAGTATATTTCAACCAATAGAAATATCCTACTAGAATGAATTCTATCACTAGGTCATATCAGGTTTTGAGGACTTGTTTAAATAAGGAAGTAATGGGCTGACAATGGTATAAGAATATGACAGGGGTCACTGTGCTAGACAAAGTGTGAACCAACTCATTTCCTAATAGAGGTTTTGAAAAGTGTCCATCATAATAATGTGGCAATACAACCTAGTATTTGAAGAAAAATAATGCACAGTTATGAAATATTTTCATTTATTAATTTAAAAGGAAACTTCCGAGTTCTGAAAAATCCTTCCTTTTATATATTCAAAGTATTTTCTTTCTACTTTTCAGTCCTGGTAGATGTGTTTTAACGTGAATGTAAATTTTCTAAAAAGCATAATTGAACAATTTTACTTGTATTACCATTACAAACTTCATTTACATGAGCTAGAGTGGAGAAAATATTATTAAATATTGCTCATGGAAAATATGTTTTTTTTACCAGTCTTCTCTTTTATTTACTCATCAATTGAAGAAACAGTTATTGAGTGCTTATAACAGACACATATTCACCTCCCAACAAACAACACGGCCAAAGGCTCTCACAGTGCTACTTTTCTTTTACCCTGATCACAACTGATTGCTTCCAAGGCAAAGAACATGACCCCAGTTAGGACTAACACATTCACTCTCCCCCAAAACACAGACATAGAAAGTACTTGGTGCTATTCTAGTTTCAGTTTCCCTGAACCTCAGTTGTTTTGCTCTTCTTTAAATTTTATGGGCCTCACCAATATCCATCCAGTAAAGCTTATAATCACATTTTTTGTTTTGTCAGAGTTTGTTTCTGTTGCTGGCAACTAAAAGGATATTATTTATCATGTGCTAGGCAATGGGTATATTACAAATGAGTAACAATGTGTATGTTAGAGGAATAACAAAGATGATGCAATTTGGTGAAGACAAGTATAGTAAAAATTGCAAAAACATGAGATAATTAATTGCTAAGGCAAAAATAAATTCTAGGTTCCATTGGAGATATCTGATAGGCTTTTAACACAGTCTCATTTCACAGAGGACAAGGGTGCAGGAGAACTAACTTCCTCGATTTTTCCTCATTTCTCACATCATTAAACACGATGAAATTGACCTGGAATGTTACTCCATTTTAAATGGCATGTCTACTTTTCTCAGCACCCTTGATGTCTTCACCATCACAGGGTGACCCTGAGGGAGCAAAAGCCCACTCAGGAGAACATGTACCATAGAAAAGTGCTTTTCAACCCCATCAGCCCAAGCCATGCTCCTTTTAAATAACAAAATACACTTTGTAATGACTCCTTTAGTACCCAGAAACATTTTTATAGATAATATAACTCATGTTTGTAGAAATTTTAAAACTGAAATCCATAATGACTTGCGATACAAAAAAAGGGACAAGGATAAACAATTCAAAATGAAATAAAATGTATTTTAATATAAATATGATTGGGCATGACTGCAGTAGAGCATAGTAAACTAATTAGATGTTTGTATCTTTATATAGAATCAAGGTGATTATGACAGCGAAAAATACAGAATTATCATGTATATTTTAATGGCCACTAAAATACTACAAGCAGCTTTCCCACTGACGATGTGAGTTTTCAAGGTGGTGACAGGGCTTCATACCTTCTAAACAAAGCAAAATAAAATTTCCCTTTAATTTATAAAGTGTTTTCATTCCTGAAAAGCAAGACATTTATTAAAATCATGCAAAAATACTTTTGTTTATATGTGAAATAGTGTTTGGTTCTAGGCTCAGATGATTTTAAACAGGGTTTCCACCTACATAAATGTCTGATACAACATTAGAAATAGGAGAGGGACTCATGACAAGTTTATATACAGAACTGTAATATGTATTACAGAAGGTCTAGCATCCCTTGACTACACCAATGAATGACAACAAACTCCATTGACCAAAAATATTATGATAAACAAAATCATCTCCACCCATTTCTATAATGTTCCCTGGAGAATAGCGCCACCTTCATTGAGAACTACGGTCAGAGGCTTTAAAGACTGTTGACTTGGTGAAACTATTTAACAAATTTTTTTCTTTTTTCCTTAATAATTTTTATTCTACCTCATATAGAAAGAAATAAAAGAAAGTTGGTTCATATGAGGTAGAGATACCATGAAATAATAAAGCAACATTAATTTCAAGTAGTGCTTCAATACAAACAGGAGACAGTTGATGAGAATTAGAGTTGGAGAAAAATAGTCCTGAATTTTGCATGCATAAAGTGAAAACAAATAATACACATTGTACAAATACTGAGTTTTTCTCTTTGGAGTCCATGTGTTATTGGTGGTGAGTCCAGGTGAGCTCCATAGTCCTTGATCCTTGTCTTCTTGTGAGAAATAATTTGGCCAAGAGACAGAAGTAGATTTAAGACAGAAATGAGAGTTTATTGAAGCAAAGAAAAGTACACTTGGAATGAACCAAGTAGGCAACTCTAAAGATTGAGGGCCTTGCCCAACCTTTGGTTCAGGGCTCTTACAGATTTACTATTTCTTTTTTTTTTCCCCCAGTCTCCTCCCTTTGCTGCATGCACAGTGAGTTGCCAGTGTCTGGGAGGGGCCACATATGCCATTTGGTGATTGAAGTTATGTGCATGCTCTCTTATAGTAAGTTTCCCTTACTGGTCTAGCGCCCCCAGAGGAAGGTCATGTATCAGTCAAACTCTGCCATTTTGCCCCTTAATGTGTGTGCTCGGACATGTCCCCATAGTAAGGTCAAGCTCCACTATTTTATGTTAGTATTGGAATGTTGTTGCTCATAAGCTCAAGATGTCTCCCATTTGTTAGGAAATTTTCCCCTCCCTGTCACCAGCTGCCTGACCATCTTTTGACAGTCACCTGACAGTCACTTGACATTATCTGGGGCTCTATCCTGCCCTCCACACATCTGCCTATCTACTTGGTCTAACACATGCTATATAAAAATACTGGGGAAAAAGATTTGGAGCAGAGATGGAACAGAGTTGACCATGGGCCAGATGTAACCAGCAAACATTTTGTTTGGCTCACACATAGTTTTAAAAAAATAATAACCAACTTCATCAAACCAGAAGATTTATCACACTCCCAAAAACTGAATTTCTTGATTCTTTTGATACATTATAGACCTTAGATTAACCAACCACATTGCAACAGCATACTGGATCAGAGCAGCAGCCGCTTTCTTAACAGGACTATGCATGCTACTTTGGGGGTATTGCAGTTTTTATCCTGTTTCCCTCCCCCCATTAAAGATTTGCATTTTTCAACACTTTGTCTCTGCTCTTCAAGAATAGCATAAAGAAGTGAAGTTTATTTCACTAAGCTGTAGGCATTTTGACCTGAGGTAGGGTTGGGAGAGCTTCAGGATTTCATTAGTTTTCACTTACAGAATTAATTTTAGGTCACTGGGATGCTGTATGTGAGAAATAATAAGTTTTGAATTAAAGTGGTAAGAGTAATGATAAAATCGGGAGAGAATAAGCAGTGCAATGTATACTTCAAAGGTAATGTAGATTTGCTTGGTTATTCTCTTTAGATACAGACACAAGAAAACGGAAGGCCTTCATTTGAGACAAAATGAAGGGAACAATGAAAACGTTATGAAAGAAACTTAAGTATCAAGAAGATTGCTGGCTTAGGAGGAAAGAGCAGTTCATATTCACATACCCTGAGGCATCGTTGAAAATGTCATAATCTTTCCATGAAAGAGTTGGCAGATGCAAATCAGGATGATCATTTAAACAACAAAATTGAGTACCACTAGAAATAGGATACTTTTTGGATAATGCCTCTGTTTAATGGAAACAACAAAATGAGAAAAAGAGAACTGTAAATAATGGATCTGGGTGAAATGAGGATCCATACAGAGGAGGATTGTGGAAGGCAACAAAGAATTTCAAAGATTCAGTAGAATGAGATGTTACAGAATCCTCAAGTAGAATGGATGGGGACAAAGATGAGGATGAGTGAGAAGCGTCCAATCACTCAGCGGCTATGGTTTACATGGAATACTCTATAAATTGTCATAAATGATAAAATGTGGCATAAGGAGAACTTGAGAAAGTGAAGACTATCAGACTTAAACTTTTAAGAATTAGAGTTTGAAAGAAAATGGTGACTTAGGGCAGTAGTTTGAGGTAAAAGGTTTCAGATAAATATTTTATAGAAATCTGGAGACCCAAGTCTGTTTATAAGGAGGGAGATAGAATGAAGAAATAGGGAGAGACTGAGTGTATGTTCAAGAAAATAGATGAAGCCAGGTGTAAGAGGATAAGGGAAAGCCAAGAAAACTTTTGAGTAATTAATCTTGTCAAGGAAAACATCATTTAAAAAAAAAGTTGGGCCAGGTGTGGTGGCTCACATCTATAATCCCAACACTTTGGAAGGCTGAGACAGGAGGATCACTTGAGCTCAGGAATTCGAAAGCAGCCTGGGAAACATAGGGAGACCTTGTCTCTACTAAAAATCAAAAAAAATTTAGCTAGACATGGTGGCACTCACCTGTAGTCCTAGCTACTCAGGATGCTGAGATGGGAGGATTGCTTGTGCCTGGGAGATTGAGGCTACATTGAGCTACTGTCTTGCCACTACACTCCAGCCTGGGCAACAGAGCAAGACCTTGTCTTAAAAAAAATAATAAAATAAATAAAAATGTAAAAAAAAAAGAATCAAAGGAGGATAGTTGAAAATGAATTTTGAGATTAGAGCAACAAAGGAGAGGAAGCCCACATCAGTCAGCTTCAATAGTCTCACTGAAATTTGAAGTGAGACTTTTTGCCAAAAATTGATGGTAGCTAGAATGCCATGAGACTAGAGCATGTATGAAAAGGCATTCATAGATTTAATGTTCAATCAGCCAGAGGTTTTCAGTGGTAAAAGGCCAAGAGTCAGATTACCTAGGCCTGTGAATGTTGGCATCATCACCAGATGCTAGCTGATTTACCTATAGTGTTTAATTACCCTGAAATGGATTAATAAACATCCTGCTCCTCAGAAGTAGAAAGTGACTTCAATACATTACCCAAATGTGTAGAGCCAGTGCGTGGTGAAGCCGATATTAAGCTCAGGTGTAGCTGATACTGCATAAGCCTACGCTGTCTCCTTGGTACTCAGCCAGGTTTCGTGCACTCTCTTGACCTCCAGCTGTAAGCACCTGTGCCGTAGGTGAGCCACACACTTTCAGAGCACCCATCAACCAAAGCCTCATTCTTCAGTGAGGGTTACTCTCACTCAAGTTTTTCTCTGAAGATTTACCCAAATCCACATACCAGGACTCATTAGTTCTAAATTATAATTCTCGGATATTTGGGAGGTAGTGAATTGTTATATTAGTGTATTATATTAATGTGAAATATAGTTGTGTGTAATTATGCATTCATTATATTAAACATTATATTACCTACATTATACAGTACCTACCTATATATTACCTACAGTATACATTATACTACCTACCTATATTATATACAATGTAATATAGTATATTATATACAATGTAATATAGTATATTATATACAATGTAATATAGTATATTATATACAATGTAATATAGTATATTATATACAATGTAATATAGTATATTATATACAATGTAATATAGTATATTATATACAATGTAATATAGTATATTATATACAATGTAATATAGTATATTATATACAATGTAATATAGTATATTATATACAATGTAATATAGTATATTATACAATGTAATATAGTATATTATACAATATAATATAGTATATTTTATACAATATAATATAGTATATTATATACAATATAATATAGTATATTATACATTATAATATACACCAAGGAATAGAGTAAGCACCAAGTTTTCTGTGTTGTAATTCCTTTCACTCACGTCCATGTGAAACCACCAAACAGGCTTTGTGTGAGCAATAAAGCTTTTAATCACCTGGGTGCAGGCGGGCTGAGTCCGAAGAGAGTCAGCGAAGGAAGATAGGGGTGGGGCCATTTTTCTGGATTTGGGTAGGTAAAGGAAAATTACAGTCAAAGGGGGGTTGTTCTCTGGCGGGAAGGTGTGGGGGTCACAAGGTGCTCAGTAGGGGAGCTTTTGAGCCAGAATGAGCCAGGAGAAGGAATTTCACAAGATAATGTCATCAGTTAAGGCAGGAACAGGCCATTTTCACTTCTTTTGTGGTGGAATGTCATCAGTTAAGGCAGGAACTGGCCATCTGGATGTGTACGTGCAGGTCACAGGGGATGTGATGGTTTAGCTTGGACTCAGAGGCCTGACATTCCTGTCTTCTTATATTAATAAGAAAAATAAAAGGAAATAGTTGTAAAATGTTGGGACGGCGAAAATTTTGGGGGATGGTATGGAGAGATAATGGGCGATGTTTCTCAGGGCTGCTTCGAGCGGGATTAGGGGTGGCGTGGGAACCTAGAGTGGGAGAGATTAAGCTGAAGGAAGATTTTGTGGTAAGGGGTGATACCGTGGGGTTGTTAGAAGAAACATTTGTCATGTAAAATTATTGGTGATGGCCTGGATACCGTTTTGTATGGATTGAAAAACTAAACAGAGTAAGAGAAGGAGAAATACAGGTATTAAAGGACTAAGAATTGGGAGGACTTAGGACATCTAATTAGAGAGTGCTTAAAGTGGTTCGGCATAGCCTTGCCAGCAAAGATTATTTACTTACTTTAAGAGTTAAGAGTGGTGGTTTGGGGATAGCACCAGGAGATATCAGCTGTGATGGCTTGGAGAAACAGTGTAAACCGGCAGTGTAAACAAGAGCAGGGCATGTATGAGTAGTTGAGAATGGTGAATAGGAGTATGACTAGACAGAAGATAGTAGGGATGACAAGTTTTTTGGGGCACAGTTCAAGTTGGTCTGGTGTCTGGGATGAGACTGGGGCCTAATAGAAAGGATCATCTATACAGGAGCTCAAATGGGCTGTACCCTGTAGCATTCTGAGGACAGGCCTGACTTCTGAGAAGGGAAAGTAGTAAAAGTATTGTCCAGTTCTTTTTAAGTTGGTGGCGGAGCTTGGTGAGGTGTATTTTTAAAAGACCTTTAGTCCGTTCTACTTTTCCTGAAGACTAAGGACTGTGAGGGATATAAAGTTTCACTGAATACTAAGAGCCTGAAAAACTGCTTGGCTGATTTGACTAATAAAGGCTGGTCTGTTATCAGACTGTATAGAGGTGGGAAGGCTAAACTGCGGAATTATGTTTGCCAGAAGGGCAGAAATGACTGCGGTGGCCTTCTCAGACCCTGTAGGAAAGGCCCCTACCTATCCAGTGAAAGTGTCTACCCAGACTAAGAGGTATTTTAGTTTTCTGTCTCGGGGCATGTGAGTAAAGTCAATTTGCCAGTCCTGGGCAGGGGTAAATAAATCCCTGAGCTTGATGTGTAGGAAAGGGAGGGGTAGTAGAATGGCAGATGGAACACTGAGAAGTGATTTCTTTGAGGATAGATTTCTAGGATGGAAAGGAAATGAGAGGTTCTAAGAGACGGATTGGCAGCTTGTAACCTACATGGAAGAGGTTATGAAATGACGACAGAATAATAGAATGGGCTTGTGAGGCTGGAAGGAGATATTTTCCTTGGTCTCAGAACTATTTGCCTTGTATGGGAAGAGATTGATAGGTGGAAGTTTCAGCGGGGGAGTAGGTGAGAATGACCGATGTGAAGGAGAAAAACTGGACGTAAGGGATAGAAGTTGGAAAGCTAGCTGCTTGTCTAGCCACTTTTATCAGCATAAGCGTTGCTTAGAGCAGTCAGATCTGACGCCTTTTGATGGCCTTTGCAGTGAATGACTCCAGCTTCCTTTGGAAGTAAAGCGGCCTTGAGCAGAGTTTTTATTAAAGAGGCATTAATGATGGAGGACCTTTGCATAGTGAGGAAACCTCTTTCAGCCTATATAACAGCATGGTGGTGCAAAATATGAAAGGTATATTTAGAGTCAGTATAAATATTGATGCTTAGTCTTTTTGCAAGAGTGAGGGCTTGAGTTAAGGCAACTAGTTCGGCTTGCTGAGAGATAGTGGAGGGGGGCAGAGCGGTAGCCTCAATGATAGATGTGGAAGATACTATAGCATAGCCTGACTTTGCTGGTGAGTGGCGATTAGGCCTGGTGGAACTGCCATCAATGAACTAAATGTGATCAGGGTGAGGAACAGGAAATAAGGAAATATGGGGAAATGGGGTGAATGTCAGTTGGATCAGAGAGATACAGTCATGAGGGTCAGGTGTGGTATCCGGAATAATGTGGGAGGCCGGATTGAAGTCCGTGCCAGGAACAATGGTAATTGTGGGAGACTCAGCAAAGAGTGAATATAGCTGAAGGAGCCATGAAGCAGAAAGTATACGCATCAGGTATGAGGAAGAAAATAGATTTTGGAAGTTATGAGAACTGTAGAGAGTGAGTTGAGCATAGTTTGTGATTTTTTGGGCCTCTAAAAGTATTAAAGCAGTGGCAGCTGCTGCACGCAGACATGAGGGCTAGGCTAAAACAGTAAGGTCAAGTTGTTTGGACAGAAAGGCTACAGGGTGCGGTCCTGGGTCTTGTGTAAGAATTCTGACCGCACTAACCATGCCTAGGAAGGAAAGGAGTTGTTGTTTTGTAGAAGGGATTGAGGTTTGGGAGATTAGCCGGACACGATCAGCAGGGAGAGCACATGTGTTTTTATGAGAATTATGCCGAGATAGGTAACAGATGAGGAAGAAATTTGCACTTGACTGAAGTAATGGGGGTTGTCTGTGAAGCTTTGCGGCAGTGCAGCCCAGGTAATTTGTTGAGCCTGATGGGTGTCAGGGTCAGTCCAAGTGAAAGTGAAGAGAGGCTGGGATGAAGGCTGCAAAGGAATAGCAAAGAAAGCATGTTTGAGATCTAGAACAGAATAATGGACTGTGGAGGGAGGTATTGAGGATAGGAGAGTATATGGGTTTGGCACCATGGGGTGGATAGGCAAAACAATTTGGTTGATAAGGCGCAGATCTTGAACTAACCTGTAAGCCTTGTGTGGTTTTAGGACAGGTGAAATGGGGTAACTGTAAGGGGAGTTTATAGGCTTTAAAAGGTCATGCTGAAGCAGGTGAGTGATAACAGGCTTTAATCTTTTTAAAGTGTGCTGTGGGATGGGATATTGGCATTGAAGGGGGTAAGGGTGATTAGGTTTTAATGAGATTGTAAGGGGTACATGATTGGTCACCAAGAAGGAAGTAGAGGTATCTTATACTTGTGGGTTAAGGTGGGGGGATATGAGAGGAGGATGAGAAGGAGGCTTTGAACTGGGGAAAAGGGCAGCAATGAGGTGTGGCTATGGCTAATAAGGGAACTGGGCAGGTGGGGATAACTAAAATAGAGTGCATAAAAGAATGTTTTCTAAGTTGGCATACGAGTTGAGGAGTTTTAAGAGGTTTAGAAGCCTGGCCGTCAACACCCACAACAGTTATGGAGGCAAGGAAAACAGGCCCTTGAAAAGAAGGTAATGTGGAGTGGGTAGCCTCCGTATTGACTAAGAAGGGGACGGACTTACTTAACTCCACTGTGAGAGTTACCTAGAGCATCTGTGATGGTCCTGTAGGCTTCGGAGGCAATCAGGCAGTGTCAGTCTTCAGTTGCTAAGCCGAGAAGATCTGGGAAGGAGTCAGAGAGCCTTGGGTCAGAGTTCCAGGGGCTCTGGGAGTGGCTGCCAGGTGAGTTGAACAGTCTGATTTTCAGTGGGGTCCTGCACAGATGGGACGTGGCTTAGGAGGAATCCCGGGCTGTGGGCATTCCTTGGCCCAGTGGCCAGATTTCTGGCACTTGTAGCAAGCTCTTGGGGGAGGAGGTTCTGGAGGAACCCCTTGCAGCTGTGGTTTGGGCACTTGGAGTTCTTATGTGCTGGAGATGTGGCTGGGGTTTGTCTCACAGTGGAGGCAAGGAATTGCAACTCAGAAATACATTGCTACTTGGCTGCCTCTATTATTGTACACCTTGAAGGTGAGGTTAATTAAGTCCTGTTATAGGGTTTGAGGGCCGGAATTTAATTTTTGGAGTTTTATTTAATATCGGGAGCAGATTGGGTAATAAAATGTATATTGAGAATAAGACGGCCTTTTGACCTTTCAGGGTCTAGGGCTGTAAAGCATCTCAGGGTTGCTGCCAAACGAGCCATGAACTGGGCTGGGTTTTTATATTTGATGAAATAGAGCTTAAATGCTATCTGATTTGGGAGAGGTCAGTTAAAGAAAAAGGAGTATTAACCTTGACTATGCCTTTAGCTCTATCGCCTTTTTAAGAGGAAATTGCTGGGCAGGTGGGGGAGGGCTAGTCAGGGAACGAAACTGTAAGCCGGACCAGGTGTAAGGAGGGGAGGTGATAAAAGGATTATGGGGTGGAGGAGCGGAGGCTGAGGAAGAATTGGGACCCAGCTCAGCCTGGCGAGGAGGGGAGAGATCAGATGGGTCTGTAGAAAAGGAAGATTAGAAAGACTCAGTGATGCTTGGGGTTGGGACTGAGGACAGGTGGGAGGGAAGGAAGATTTGGGATGAGTTGCATTGGGAACAGAGACTAGGGAGGGACCGATGTGTAAAAGAATGCCTGGACATCAAGCACCTCAGACGGTTTGCCCATTTTACGACAAGAATTATTTAGATCTTGTAGGATGGAAAAATCAAAAGTGCTGTTTTCTGGCTATTTGGAACCACTGTTGAGTTTGTATTGGGGTCAAGCGGCATTGTAGAAGAAAATAAGGAGTTTAGGTTTTAGGTCAGGTGTGAGTTGAAGAGGTTTTATGTTCTTGAGAGCACAGGCTAAGGGAGAAGGAGGAATGGGGGGTGGAAGGTTGCCCATAGTGAAGGAGGCAAGTTTAAAGAGAAGGGTAGAGACACGGAGGGAGGGGGTTTGGGGGTTCTTACCCTCCAGAAAATCGGGAAAGGGGTCAGGGCGTGGAAATAAGGGGTTGGGGCACAGAGATAAGAGGTCGGGGCATGGAAATAAGGGATTGGAGTGCAGAGATAAGAGGTTGGGGTGTGGAAATAAGGGATCGGGGTGCAGAGATAAGAGGTTGGGGCACAGAAATAAGGGATCAGGGTGCAGAGATAAGAGGTCGAGGCACAGAAATAAGGGATTGGGGGATTCTTGACAACTAGAAAAGCAGTACTTGCTGCTAAGGGTGAAGGAGAAGGGTTGGGGGGGTCTTGCCCCCCAGAAAAGCAGAGAAGGGGTAGAGACACAGAAGGAGTTGGGGGGTTCTTGCCCCCCAGAAAACCAGTACTTGCTGCTAAGGGTGAATGACCAAGGCAGGTGTCCCCACGTGGTGAGATACCTCTGAAACGTGGGTGAATGATCAGAAAGGCATCCCTGCAATGATTAAATGCCAAGGGAAGGCTGCCTTCCTGAGTCCATGACCAGCGCCGGAGTTTTGGGCCCACGGATGAAACGTGTCTCCTTCGTCTCTATGAGAAAATGAATTGAAATTAAAAGAAGGGAGATATTGAAGGGTGGCACCAAGATTGAAAGGAGAAAGTGGATGAGGGATAGTGAGAGAGGTTGGAGAAGAGAGTAAGAAGAGGCTGCTTACCCGATGTAAAATTGGTGAGATGTTCCTTGGGCTGGTGGGTCTGAGGACCTGAGGTGGTAGGTGGATCTTTTTCATGGAGCAAAGAGCAGGAGGACAGGGGATTGATCTCCCAAGGGAGGTCCCCTGATCTGAGTCACAGCACCAAATTTCACTCGCGTCCCTGTGAAGAGACCACCAAACAGGCTTTGTGTGAGCAATAAAGCTTTTAATCACCTGGGTGCAGGTAGGCCGAGTCCGAAAAGAGAGTGAAGGGAGATATGGGTGGGGCCATTTTATAGGATTTGGGTAGGTAAAGGAAAATTACAGTCAAAGGGGTGTTGTTCTCTGGCGGGAAGGTGGGGTCACAAGGTGCTCAGTAGGGGAGCTTTTGAGCCAGGATGAGCCAGGAGAAGGAATTTCACAAGATAATGTCATCAGTTAAGACAGGAACAGGCCATTTTCACTTCTTTTGTGGTGGAATGTCATCAGTTAAGGCAGGAACTGGCCATCTGGATGTATACATGCAGGTCACAGGGGATAGGATGGCTTAGCTTGGACTCAGAAGCCTGACAATTCCTAGCACTGTGTGCTCCAGCTCCAATGCCTATAACAGGTATAGCAGGCAGAATCATGAGACTATCCTTAGGTCACTGCCATAGTCAAGGTTCTTACTCACTCAATGAACCCATTGACAGTTTTATTGAGCATATTTTTCCCCCAAATGGAGAATCATTTCATCGTGTTTTTGTTTTTTTTTTTATTTTTTTAGTTTTTTTTATTTAGAGTTGCAAAATGCCTTTTGGCCCACATACCCAACTGAGGTATGACCCTGCTTCAGACACTGATTGAGGCTGTGACAGTGTGCATTGCCACATTTGGGGCCCATGCTTGATCTGACAGTTTACTTTCTCTCCTTTGGGAAAAATATAGAGCCTCATCTTATGAAAATTTCTCTAGAAATGCTTCTGTTCCTGGTTTCTGTCCCTTGAGACACTCCTGATATGTTTGAGAATAAAGAGGTTTTTTTGTTAAATGTGCTGAAATGCATGATCATGCATGATTTAAATTAGATACAAGGGCTAGATTTGTTTAATATATATAATAAGTGGAAAGACCAGAAAAAGACATGGGCTGGAGGCTTTGAAAAACATGGAGTCACCACAGTGTAGGCATAGGAGAATAAGAGAGACCATGAATCAGGAGTTTGCAGTATTTTGGGCCACCCCTCCTGCAAAGGCATGTAAGCAAACTCTCTAGAATTCAAGGAATTAGCATTTGCAAGAATTTTCTAAGAACTCAGGAATTAGCACCTTACAGAAGTTAGAATAAATGGTTTTGAATTAGAATCTGGTGATCAGATGAGTCAAGATAAATATACAAAAAATGGTAAAAACATTGGTGATGAGTATTATATTTATATATAGTTAAAACAACACTGGAATTATAGCTCTAGAATACATGGTATTAGCATTAATGATATATTACAAAATAAATTTAAAATTTGGAGGATGGGAAACTAAACATAGCTTAAGAGGAATAATTTTCTCACCTTTCAGAGCAGAGAGTCAGTAAATAGTAAGGTATAATGCACATTTAAATACACACATATACATACACATCCTTATTCTAAATATATTTTCATTTTTTTTTTACAAATAGGAATCTTTTTAAATAAGAACACATTTATGTTGAAGAAATGTTTAAAGTTTACCATTACTTGAGTTTCACTGTACTGTATTCTTTAGTATTCAATTCAAAGATATATTAAATAAAATTGTGTCTACTCTGCTCTCAAACTATAACATCTGCCATGGTAATTGTCTTTAGATTTACAAAAGATTCAGATTCACAAGATCCTCATAGGCCTCCCTTGGCACCAGCCTGCAAAGAAAGCTTCAGGACAACTTCCAGCAGTGCAGTGTCAGGATACTCTTACTGAGAGTCATAGCAGCCATGTGTATATCACTTCAAATAGCCATGTAGGAGTAAGCTGAGGTTCAAGGAAATCAACTCTGCATTAGGTGAATGCAAGGTATGCCCTGGCATATCATCTTCATGCCTCACAGGATTCAATCTTTTTTATAACAATCCCATAAGAATAGGTGTGAATGTTCCCTCAAAAATTAAGCCCAATTATTACATGTCACCACACTCAAGGAAGCTATAACCTCACCATCAGATATTTATAGTTTATTTGTAATTTCTCTGAATCCTTCCAGTAGGTACTGTTGCCTAGTATCATAATTAACATTTCTCATGTTATTAGCTCAGAAGGGGAAAGAATGAAGATGTTACTCATAAGCTGGATTCTCATGCAGAAAGGGAAAGCGTCATGACTTTTGATCACACTTTATGCATGAAAAGATACCTACAATGATGTCTATATAATGTTAAATATTGTTATACTGAGTAATTTCTTCATGACATTCTTTCGTATTATATATCTTTATGTGTTTATAGTGAATTTAATCTATTTTTATCAAAAGGGTAAAGACTTTACCTAGAATAGTTTATATATTTATCATGGAGTATCCTTGTCATTATCATTCCAGGAGAATTTTCTGGATTTTCTGGCTATGCCACTAATGCAACAGATGGAAATATTACATTTAGGTTTCAATGGGTAGACAAATAATATTTCCTGATGATTTATTTATAGCCAAAACATACTAGACCTGCTGATTTATAATTGAGCTCTGAGTCTGACTAAAGGATCATGGGACTTAATTTAAATAAAAAGCCAAGGATTGGAGCTTGAGCCACTGAAAGAGCAAGAATTCAGAGAACAAAGAAACTGTTCTTAAAGTTGACTTAGAGGAATGGCCAGGTAATTAGAATGAAAATTAGTGAATTGTGGTTTCTGCTAAGGAAGTCCAAAAAATAAATATTTTCAGGACAGAGGTGTGCTTACCTTTATCAAAGATGAAGCCTGGGCTTAAACTTCTTTTCTTAATAATATACAAAATAATAAAATAAATAATTTTATTTGTACTTAATAAAATACAAAATAATATTTTGTATTGCATTTAGCAACAGGAATTTCATTGGTAACCTTACTAAGAGTACTTGTCTTGAAATCTTAAATGACAAAGCCCAATTTTTGAGGTCCAAAAGACAGGATATCATAAGTCTGGAAAAATTTTTAAAAATAGTTTTGTTTAAAGGGTAAAAGAGAGAACTCAAGAGTAAAGTTCTACCAGGAGAATTGGCAGATCCCTAGAAATGTTTAGAAATTTTTAATATGCTATGCCAGAAGTGGAACACTCCACAGACAGAAAATAAATGGCTATAAGGAGCAATTGAATAACACAACAATCTTTTTCGAAATGATAGACATGTATAGATACATTTTTAAAACAATGAATATATGCAGTGAGTTATTATTAAAATAACCATGCATTAAACTACATGAGAAATCTCAGCAAATTTCTCACAATTAAAACCATAATTATTTACCACAGTTCAATACAATTAGAAAAAATAGAAATAAGTAACATACTGCAATTAAGAAAATATATTTCTATACAATTGAGGGGGATATGGAAAAATCGAGCTAAAATTTTGAAAATAATTTGAATTGAATGGCAACAAAAACATGACATATGTAAATGTAGATAAAGCAATATCTTAAAGGGGTTAAGAACTTTAAATACATCTACTGTAAATACAAATGTTTTAAATAAATGAAGTGTTCAACTTAGAAAACTAGACCAAAAAAACTAAATAAATCTGAAAACTGAGATTAATCAAAACTAAAAACAAAGTAATAAGAAATACTATAGAAATTACAAAATATAAATCCATCATCAATTAGCACTGGTTAATGAAGCTAAATAATTTCGTTAAAAAGTTTAATAAATTAGTAAATATCAAAACATAATACAGAAACAGCCAGGGAAGGCATCAGGGGCATAAAGGAGGACACAGTGAAACGTAAGTTTGAAAGTGTAAGAAGGTTCAGTGTCAGGCCTCTCTGATTGCTACAAGTCTCAGCGAAATTACACAGGGACCAAAGGAAGGGCTTAGGGCTTTTGCTTCTTCCTAGACCATATGTTTCTCCTGGCAGTGATGTCAAAACAGTAGAAAAGATGGCAGAGTTGAAGGGCAACTAAATAATAATATCTGTTCTGACTTTGTTGAAATTTAGTAGGAGGAACAATATGTTAGTACTCTGCACATCCAGTGTATCCAAAACCATATCTAAATCCTCTTGGCCACTCCATCTGTAAATGATACTTATGACTTGATTCTTTTCCTATGGTTAAGAACAAAAACCAAAACAACCACACAAAACATCTTTTAAAATGTCTCCCCAAATACCTGTTATGATTTAACACCACCTCTAAATACTATTTGGAGGGGCCTTGGCTAGCTTTTCTCATTATGGAGCCATTTCCATCTCCATAAGGTGTGTGTTCTGTTGCTGGAGTGGGTGGTGTTGCCACTCTCAGGAGTGTGGCTCTGCTTGGCTAAACTCCTACTGTGTTTCTGACATTTCTCAACGCTGTGGCCCTGTGAATGTAAACCACTCTTCAGTTCTGCTGAATGATTCCCTGTTCTGTTATCATTAGATAAGGTATCAGAGATCTTTACACTCTGGTCAGTAAATGGAATTACCTCCCTCTATAAACTATCCCTACACTTCTTCCCTCATCATGTACAACGGGATAAATTGTTGTCCTGGCTCAATATCTACTAGATGGATTTAGGATTGGGGGTCAAAGGGGACTTTTGCTTTATCTGTAATAATCATTTCATAATACAAACTATTTCATGCATTATATTTGTAAGGTTAATTTAAATTATAAAAACTTCATGAATTTAAAAACTGTATCTGAAAACCTGAAATTCAGAACAAATAGACAACAGTTTGTGTTCATCTCTATTTTAAGTGGGCAAAAGCATTCCTATCACAGAATGGGCAGGCAAAAATAAAGTTCAGCTTTGGTTAAATATACTGTAAAATACTTGGCACATCAAAATGTCACAAATAGAATTAAAATGAAAATAGTTACTATTAAAAAAGCACTAAGTCTCAGCTACTCCACAGACTGAGGCAGGAGAATCACTTAAGCCCAGGAGTTCAAGAGCAGCCTGGACAATAGAGTGAGAATCACTTAAGCCCAGGAGTTCAAGAGCAGCCTGGACAGTATAGTGAGACCCCATCTCATAACAAAAGCACTAATATTTAGCAAGTAAATAATATTACTATTTCTATTTATATGTATTATAAATGTTAATGTTATGAATATTAATATATAAATAATATTATCAAATAATTTTAATATACAAATAGCTCTTATTATTGGTTTAGGAAACATTAATACCCAAATAGAATTGAGAAAAGGCTCTAAACGACAATTTATAGAAATAATATAAATTTCTGTCAAATGGTATTAGTTTGTTTTCACATTGCTATAAAGAACTGCCTGAGACTGGGTAATTTATTAAGAAAAGAAGTTTAAGCCCAGGGCACAGTGGCTTATGCCTGTGACCCCAGCACTTTGGGAGGCCGAGGCGGGTGGATCACCTGAGGTTGGGAGTTCAAGACCAGCCTGGCTAACATGGTGAAACCCCATTTCTACTAAAAGTACAGAACATTAGCCAGGCGTGGTGGTGTGCACCTGTGATCCAGGCTGTTCTGGAGGCTGAGGCAGGAGAATTGCTTAGATTTGGGAGGCAGAGGTTGCAGTGAGCCAAGGTCACACCATTGCACTCCAGCCTAGCAACAGAGTGAGACTCTATCTCAAAAAAAAAAAAAAAAAAAAAAAAAATATATATATATATATATATATATATATATATATAAAGAAAAAAAAGAAAAGTTTAATTGACTCACAGTTCCACATGGCAGACGTGGCCTCCGGAAACTTGTAATCGTGGGGGAGGGGGAAGCAGGCACTTCTTACATGGCAGAAGGCGAGAGAGAGAATGTGAAGGAGGAACTGTCAAGCACTTATAAAACCATCAGACCTTGTGAGAACTCACTCACTATCAGGAGAACAGCATGGGTGACCTGCCCCAATGATCAAATCACCTCCTACCTGGTCCCTTCCTAGACATGTGGGGATGTTTATGGGAATGACAATTTGAGATGAGATTTAGGTGGGGACGCAGAGCCAGAAAATATCACTGGGCCACACAAGAGATCAAATATAATAAAATTGGAAAAATTAAAATATCAAACTAAATTGACAAACATAAAAACCATATAAAAATCAATGCTTAAAAAGTAGATAAGTAACTTTATACTCTATTTTTGGGCATGTAAAATATAAAACCTTTCTTGACTGAAACTTTCTGGTATTTTCTAACATTTGATACAATTTTACTCGCAGGAAACTTCATAAAAATAAAAAATACAGTAAACATTTCTATACAATGATAATAATAAAGCTATCATTTAAAAAACAGGAAATGGAGGCTGGGCGTGGTGGCTCACACCTGTAATCCCAGCACTTTGGGAGGCCGAGGTGGGGAGATCACAAGATCAGGAGATCGAGACCATCCTGGATAACATGGTGAAACCCTGTCTCTACTAAACATACAAAAAAATTAGCCAGGCGTGGTGGCGGACGCCTGTAGTCCCAGCTACTCCGGAGGCTGAGGCAGGAGAATGGCATGAACCCGGGAGGTGGAGCTTGCAGTGAGCAAAGATCGTGCCACTGCACTCCAGCCTGGACGACAGAGCAACACACACACACACACACACACACACACACACATATATATATATACACACACACATATACATACATACACACATACACACATATACATACATACATACATATATATATACACACACACCATGGAATACTATGCATCCATAAAAAATGATGAGTTCTTGTCCTTTGTAGGGACATGGATGAAGCTGGAAACCATCATTCTCAGCAAACTATCGCAAGGACAAAAAACCAAACACCACGTATTCTCACTCATAGGTGGGAATTGAATAATGAGAATACTTGGACACAGGAAGGGGAACATCACACACCAGCGTCTGTGTAGGCTGGGGGGAGGGGGGAGGGATAGCATTAGGAGATACACCTAATGCAAATGACGAGTTAATGGGTGCAGCACACCAACATGGCAAATGTATACATATGTAACAAACCTGCACGTTGTGCACATGTACCCTAGAACTTAAAGTATTATATATATATATGTGTGTGTGTGTGTGTGTATATATATACATAAAAAGAAAGAAATGGAAACATGCTAAAAGTTCCACATTTATTTTTCCTAAAATTTTTGGTATTTTCTGGAGATGAACAGGGACCAGAATATACATTGTCACTATTCACTTGAAGTTTAGAACTTAATGGTGAAAATCGATATTGGTAATTCCACCCATGGCTATATATTTACAAATCACATGTAAAGAAAAGTACAGGGCACTTTGAGAGTATATTCAAGAGGGTAATAAGAAATGAACAGAAATGATCCCATTCCTGAGACATTTGGGAAGAAAAAATTAAAAGGTTTTTGTGTTGGACTAGCTATGGCAGTGAAGGGGAGGGAGGCATCATAACTGACTTGTAACTTTCTGGTTTGCGTCATTAACTGGATAGCAATGGCATTTATTGAAATAGAAACCCTTAAAGTGCCTTTGGTATACGGGTCTAAATCTCAGAGGTGAGCTCGGGTTGAAATTTACATTTCATCATCCTGGGCACATAGAAGGAACTAGAAGCATCTCTGTGGTTGCATGTGGATGAAAGGACCATAGAATAGGGAGGCACACTGAAATGATTGTAGATATTATAAATTCCTGGAGAAGCCAAGAAAAAATATGCACACTCTTAACATCTGAACAGGAACCAGAGATCAAATGCGTGTAGTTACATTTGTTTTTAAAACACAGTGGGCCTCAGGAAACAGCCACACAGAATGTGTGGGTAGACTTTACATTGGCTGAGGCCTATTTTGTGACCTCTGCTGAGAAAAGAGCTTACAGCCCAATCTTGGGCAATATGTAAATAGTTAAGTATATTTTATTATGGAAACTGAAAATTTATAGTAATTAAAATCATTTTAAAATACACTCAGAGATATAATTTAGGTAACTTCTCAAATACCCAGCCAGCTTGCAGGCTTAGGAATGTTACTGGTATTTCTTCTCTCATAATTGGAAATGTATAAAATATTAACTGATATCTCAAACCACAAGGAAGGCAATTGACTTGCCTGTGAGCAGTACTACTGTGTACCAGACGTGCAGCTCTTTCTCACCTATTTTCTTGAATGCCTCAACCCCTACATGCCCTGATTTCTGTCACCTGCCTTTAAACATGAAAATAGACTTGCTCTATGTTTATACATTATCATAACAGAAAATCAGGTGTAAATCTGATTGTTTGCTATTGAGCACATCAAACATTTAGATGGTAAATTTGTCTTCTATTTTGATAGCATCTAAATATAATCATAACCCAAGATGAGTGCATATTTAGAAATTGCTCAAGTCCTATGTTAGTTATTGGCTATTTGCTTGTGTGTAGAAGAGAAAGTTTCAGATAGATTATTTAGGATCTATTTGAGAAGTAAGTTTATCACACAGCATGAGCCTCAACAGATAGATGAAATATCACATTTGAAAAAACTTCTACTGGAAAATTTCAAGAATTCCTGTAGCATAAACACTAAGGGCATAGCTATCCATGTATAAATAGGACTGAAAAGTCTGTGTTTGAGAAGGTATTCTAAATCTGCATGGCATGAGTTTAAAAACAGTATGGGCTTGTATGTTAGTTCATTCTCACACTGCTATGAAGCAATACCCAAGACTGGGTCATTTATAAAGGAAAGAGGTTTAATTGACTCACAGTTCTGCATTGCTGGGGAGACCTCAGGGAACTTACAGTCATGATGGAAGGCAAAGGAGAAGCAGGCTCCTTCACAGGGTGAAGGATGGAGTGAGTGCAAGCAGGGGAAATGCCAGACGCTTAGAAAACCATCAGATCTCGTGAGACTCACTATCACGAGAATAGCACGGGGGAAACCGCACCCATGATAAGATTATCTCCACCTGGTCCTGCCTTTTATGGGGATTATGCGGATTACAATTCAAGAGGATGTTTTTGGTGTGGACACAGCCAAACCACATCAGCTTGGTAGGAGGACCTCTTAAAATGTTTTACCATTTTTCAGTTTCATAGGTAAATGATTTAACTTCACTGATCTTTAGGTATGAAATTTGAACAATGAAGAAAATACTATCAATCTAAGAAAGGTTGTAAAATTCAGTGAGAAAACTTGTACAGGTGCCTGCCATACTTGCACATGTTAGAGATTCGATTTATTTTGTTTTCTAACTTTGGTTAATTTAAACAATTGGCATATCATATCCTCTCATATTTTCATATGGAGAATATAAGATTTGATCGTTTCTCTATTTTTGCGCAAGCTGCTACTGGTAAGGCAAACAAGTTTGAAGGAGAACTGATACAACTGATGAGTCTAAAAGAATTCAAGAAACAAAGCCTGATGTGATTGCATAACTGAAGGCCACCTCTCTTCTGAAATTTTAACTATCCATGCCAGAAAACACCTAGAGTCACAGAGTTTCTGTTTCATTTAACTGAAAATACACTATTTTATAAAACTTTTAATCTGTAATAGTAATGCCAATGTATGTTAACCAAAATTATTTCACAGAATAATAAAATAATGTTTTCCAAGAGTAAGTACTGCTAATAGAACAATAACAGAAGAATCGTCAAAAGTCTTACAGTGAAGTGCTTGGGAATTATAGTCTTTACCCTTAGAAAACAGGTGCTACCAGCTAAAATTTTAGTGTTAAATATTGCCAAAAAATGGTTACGGTTGGTCAAGATCTTCCATCTGCTTTCTTTATGATGAATATGAAATGAACAGGCGAACTTGCCTAATAATAAATGCTCACAGATTTTGTAAATATCTTAAAAGATTTAATACTTCAACCAGGGTAAATCCTCCTGCCTTGAGATTGAAGAAACAAAACAAAACAAAACAAAAAGCCTTGCATGGACCCAACCTAACCTTGTAAAGTGATTGGGGCAAATATCAAATGGAAGTATAATAACATTTTAGTTATAAAGAATTCTAGTATGTTAGATAAGACAGGCCATTCAGACAAATGGGTTTCAGTCACTAAAGCTACACTAGCAATGCTGACATATAGAAGGGACAGATTCAGATTGTGTGAAATATGAAGCTTTTATAATGTTATTTTTTAATAATTAGAATTTCTTATAAAAATGAATAAATATTATAAATCTGAAATTAGATACAATTGAATATTTAAAATAAGAAATTTGGCAAACATCACAGACATAAAATTTAGAAAGACAAAAAGCAGACTGCCTTGATTAATTAGTTTCCTACAACAACTCTATAATATCTTTTAAATTACTGGTTTGATAAATATTTCTAATAAAAATACCTGAAAGTAATATAAAAATAAGGCAACATAAGAACAATTCAAACACTTTTAAACTGCTGTATGTATGTTGAACTACATTATGTAATCAGATTACTCTTACCTCCCTTTGATGTATTTACTGATATGTGTAGGTGCCTCTGTGTAGTACTTGACTCTTTGCTGTGATTTGCTGGGTTGGTAGCAATTTAGTGTGCTGTTTTGCTGGACATGTCAAAATTCATCAGGACAAAATGCATCAGCTATGCTAAGACATGATTTGGTAAGTTAGGATGTATGAAACATGCAGCGGCAGACACAGACACTCCTGTGCTTTGCAGTGATGCTATGAGATTGTGCCCCATAAACACAGGGATTCTGATCAATTCCATTTCAAAAAAGAAATATGTGATCCATTTACCATTGTATGTGACATACACATATATACACACACAGACATGCACAGCTGTGTATGTTGTATCTATATATTAACTATAAAATAGAAATTCAAATCCTGCTATTTGAATTTCTATTTTAACTTTCAATGAAAACTGAGTCTTCACAGGATTTCACATTTTCAGCAATTGGAAGAATTTTCCTCACACATTTTCTGTCTTTTGTGGCTGCTAGACTCCTCACATACCCTCTGTCGTCAGGCTGCTAGTACCCCATTCCCACCATGATAGGACTTTTGGCCCTGTATCAGAGTCTCTAGACTGGACAAGTCATCACAGAGGACAGTCGTTTGCCTGAAAGCCTTTCTTGTACCATGGGGCAGTCCACAAAATCTTATTATGGAAGTGATGGCAAAGCGTAAAATAAATCCATGCTACCATACCGATATGAAAAGAATTCCCAAATGGACTTCCTTCAGTTGAATGCCCCAAATCAAGTACCCCTTAATGATCAGTCAGAGAAAGAGGTATAAAAGGGAATATCAGAGCAAAAAGAGACAGTGATCTTTATTAATCATAACTGAAATAATTTAATTTTGCCAAGTTTTCAAAAACGTGTAATCATGTGAACACATTACTAACTTACTGGAGAAGGTCTTCAGTTTATTGTAAATCTGCCCCTGGAAAGAAGCTATTGTTCTTACATATGTAGTTATTGGTCATTATAATATATCTTTAGTTTTTCCCTTTATTGCTCTATTTTAACTGTATGACAATTAAGTCTGTTGTAGAGAAAAGCAATCTGCTGGTCTCTGAAGTAGAATCAATGTAAGCATGGGTGCCACGCAGGTGGTAGCCAGTGGCACTTTAGAGACTGCCAATCACTCCTTTTTAACACTCTCAGCTGGGCCCCAAGATAGCCCACTGTCTGTACCTGAGCCCAAAAAGGTCATCATGGCAGTTAATAACATGGATCACAAATGCATATGATATTATAGAAACTTACAAATCACTGCTTTCTGACTCTAGGTTTTCAGGTAAGTAGCTGAAGGCCAATGACACCAAGTGATTTACATTTTGTGTCTTCATTAATTACCAGAAGAGTCATGTACATAAACCTCATCTTTGACTCCTAAATCTCTTGAGTTGCTTTGATGAAACCCTTCTGTATACTCAATACAGCACTCATATGCATTGAGATAGAGTATTTTATGTGAATATTCTTGTATAGTAAAGGCTTTTTCTATATTTTAATTTTATATTATCTGGTAGACAATATATATGCTACAGAATCAATTGGTTAGTTTTTCTTAATGTATAATGGCTTTGAAATAAATAATTTGGAGCTAATGTACCTTCAAATGTATGCATATTCTATAAACTGTAAATGGCAGAGTAATGACTTTAATTTACATCAAACCATCTGTTATGGGTTTGGTGAACAGATTTTATATTAACTGTAGGTTTAGTCAATATTCATTACTTCATGTTATATTTTTCACAATACAGAGTAAACAAAACTATTTTTGAAAATAGCCAAAGGGTACTGAAATTGAATCACCTCCTTTTTTTTTATTATCAGTTACTTGTAAAATCTTCAAAAGTTTCTTGTACTGTTTGCTTTTTATGTTTCATGTAATAGGTTTTTCTTGTGGTAGGAATGATTACAAATTATAAGGTCCTACATATAACTTGTTTGATCTTTGCAGAAAACAAATATATGTGCAAGCGAATTAAATAATGAAAGTGAATACTTGAATAATTTAAGTAAATAAAACCGTGGTTTCTATATTTTAGATAACTCTAAAATTATTTTTCAGCTGAAATCATGAGGATAATTATCCCAGTTTTGTGGACCAGTTTTATGTCTTGACATACACACTAAGGAATATTGTCATTTATTTAAAACTTTTGTAAAAGAACATTGGCTGGGTAGATGAGATGGAGGTTTTTAATATTCTCAATATGGCTGAAGCTACAAAGTATCCTTAATATAAACTCTGATGTACTCTAGAAAGCAAAATCTCAGAAATCAGTAATTTTTTAAAAATGTGCATTTATAGCTGAAATTAATTCATAAATCAGTATCTATTTTGATCATCAAAAATTTATATTTTTGCACATTTTCTCTCAAATTTATGTTTTCTAGTAGATGGATACTATTGGCAAGAACATATTAAAAATTCAATAAAAGCTTAATTCATCTTACTTAGAATTTTAAACATCAGTCTACCCTAACTGTAGTCTTTCTCTACAATTAATATTTACTTTTGATGACTACTAGATGTAAATCATGAAAATTTAAGAAAGTATCGCTTTTATGAGTGACAGAAAATACATATCTGAATTTAACTGCTATTGTTTCAAAGTACATGTCATCCCTAATTAAGAATATTCAATAGTATTACCTACTTTAGAGTTAAGTTATAGTTAACCCCAAAAGAGCATATTTAGTTTTTCAGTAGCTAATTAACAACACATCTCTTATTTATTTTTAAATGTTTTATTTTCTGAAAAAAGAATGTGGAATGAGGACCGGGAATTAGATTTCACCCCAGTAAGCTATTGATCTAGCCCCATATGGGTCAAATTATGTAAAATGCTGCTATTATTATAAAAAAAATGTTAATTATTAGATTTTGAATAGTCTGGGTCTTTAGTTTGAAGCCATTGTTTTCCTGTTGATGTTGGATGTCCAGGCTGGATGCTGATAGAATGATTGCCCTATTTGACTTGCGAAAATGTGGTCAGAAATAAAACTATGACACTTGTCTAAACAAAGCGACTGTCAACTCACATCACAGGCTCCTTCTAAATAAAGGACTCAGTACATGAAATTTGTTTTTCTTTAATGAACCTAAGCCTTTTCACTGTCATTACTCATTCCTTCTAAAAACAGTAGAAAATCCAATACATTACTCAACTGAGACCGTGCATCTTGAGGTGCATATTTTATTGATATAAATAAATTAGATTTTGGCCCTCTCGACTACCAATGTTTTCATTTTATAGAAATTCTGTATATACATTAAATAGTGATAACCTGAGGGTGGATGAGTGGAAGCCTTTTGGGCCGTCCTTGTTGAAAAATCATGCTCAGTGAGAGATGAATATTGATTTTGCACCATGTACATACACACACATACACACCCATCTATATCAGAAACCATATTATTTTAATAGTCCAGCCTGTTTGTCAGCCTCCATTTATTAAAGATATTGTTCAATATACCCTTATTGCTCAATTACATTATTTTCCAGGTTAGAGCCCAGCCTTCCCAATACAATTTTACATTTTTTTTTTTTTCCTTTTTGAGACGGAGTTTCACTCTTGTTGCCCAGGCTGGAGTGCAGTGGCGTGATTTTGGCTCACTGCAACCTCCGCCTCCCAGGTTCAAGCAATTATCCTGCCTCAGCCTCCCGGGATTACAGGCATGCATCATCACGCCCTACTAATTTTGTATTTTTTTTTTTTTTTTTTAAGTAGAGACGGGATTTCTCCATGTTGTTCAGGCTGGTCCCGAACTCCTGACCTCAGGTGATCTGCCCGCCTCGGCCTCCCAAAGTGCTAGGATTACAGGCGTGAGCTACCGTGCCCGGCCAATTATACAATTATTGAAAATAAAGAGTTTTTCTGGTTTATTATGGCATTTCTACTGGTAGCTATGGTGAATTGGATGTTCATGATAGAATTATGTTTTCAAAAATTCTATGGCCTGAAATGCATGCTGTTTTGACATTTATGCTTCCAAAATATTTTATACTACTGTAATGTTCCATTTCTAGTTACAGAAAGCAGACAAACCACACACCAAACTGTTCACAGAGTGATTCCTTACATCAAACCCCGACTGTCTTGTTGGTACAGTAAGCTACTTCTCTTTGTGTCTAGGCTGAAGCACAGCTTTTCAACCAAATGCATGTGTTGGCAGGGAAAACATGTTGGTGAAATTAATGTTTTAGAATATTCCAAATTTCTATCTAGTCTACATACTCAGTGGATACTTTTTCTATGTGTAATTCTGGGATGACTCTAGTGTAAATTTTCCTGCATAATGCTATTTCTCTCTATAGCGAAAAAGCCGTGAAATAGTCCATCAGTGGGTAGTGAAGGAATAGATTGGTCAAATTTTCCTTCTTGTAGTTCAAATGAACTAGAATGTGTTGGCAACGTTTTAATGAAAGGAAAGTTTCCCCGATAGATGTGACACTACTAGAAACTAAAAAACTAATTAAAATAGACTTTTTACAATGTTTAGTTGGAAAAGATGTTGCTCTTTGGTTAGAAATTTGAAGTAAAATGTTTCTTCTTTTAAGTTTTCCAGTCAATGCACAGGTATATTTTCTCTGCTGTTGCCCTTAAGTGATAATGTATTATTATGTTACCAACATAAGTTCTCTTCTTAAGATCATTGATTTAATGGAATACTTTAAATACTCACTTTTTTATTCAATGGAAAAGCAAATTGGCCTTTACTAGGTGTTCATTAATACAAGTTACATAAGACTAAAAACAATGTAGTTAAATTACGGGAGAGAATAAAAAATATATAATGATGAAGTTTTTACTTTTAAGAAAAGGGAAATTACGCCACTTTTTTTTTTTTTTTCCTTTTTCTGGAGAACGGGGTCTTGCTATATTGCCCAGGCAGGTCTCGAACTCCTGGGCTCAAGCTATCCTCCCGCCTCTTAGCCTCCCTGAGAGCTGGGATTACAGGCGTGAGCCACCGCGCCCGGCCAATTACGCCACTTTTTAATGACCAATTGTAATTCAAAAATATCAGAAAGAGAGACTTTAGAATCAATTGTATTTACCACTTGTCACTTACAGGAACAACATAAGGACTATAAATTCAAAGGTAGAAGTATTCAACCCATCTAGCTTTTCTGTGCATATAAAACACTATATATAAGGTAGTATTCATATTTACACTTACAAAACATGCTATTTTCATGGTCACATGAGATAACTCCTAATTTGGACAGAATTTGAAATTGGATTTAAGACATTTAAAGTGATGTTGTCTCTGTCAAGGGTTTTTCTATGTAGTCACTGACTTCATTTCTCTCAATAGGACAAGACATTTGAAATAAGAGAAAAGAAGAGAGAGATGAAAACTTCCTTCAGAATTTTAAAATGTATGTGTTAGTACTCAAATGAATAATATTTTAAATTAACTTTAGTCTGCATGCCTTTAATCCCAGCACTTTGGGAGGCCAAGGTGGGCAGATCACCTGAGGTCAATGGTTCAAGACCAGCCTGGCCAACATGGTGAAACCCCATCTCTACTAAAAATACAAAAATTAGCCAGGAGTAGTGGCTCACGCCTGTAGTCCCAGCTACTCAGGAGGCTGAGGCAGGAGAATCGCTTGAACCTGGGAGGTGAAGGTTGCAATGATCCGAGATAACACCACTGCACTATAGCCTGGGCACAGAGCGAGACTCACTGACTCAAAAAAAAAAAAAAAAAAAAAAAACTAAAAACTTGAGTCTGATTGTTTTTATAAGAATCATAAATGTTCCTGTAAAAGGTTTCTATTGAAAGACAATGTTAAGGCACATATGTAATAGTTTACCACATTATTTCAGCCTTCGAATTTATGTGTTTATTACAAATAGATTGTATTTGGAATATCTAGTTAATATATTTTTCCACATGTGCATAATAAGTGGTAGTTTAAAAAAGTTAAAAATAGTCATATCGATGCATAGATTTTTACAAAATTAAAATTTTAATCTGAAACTTTATTTTAAATTTACATAATTATCTTGTTTTAATTGAGCTAAATTTTGTATAAAAATAGGGATAGAGTATGTACAAGGAAGATATTTGTGGAAGAAGTTTATTTTAAAAATTTCCATGTTATTGAAGTTTCCTGTTTTGAGAGTAGATACGTGTTATCTATAAATCATTATTTTGGTACAGTTACCTGGCACTGAATTCGGTCTATATTTCTGTAATAAATTTTACACAATTATATTCATATTTTTTGATTCCCAATGATGCTGCTTCTTGATACAGCTGACCTCTGAAATTCCCAATGTTAAAAGGTGGAAGTTGTTGGGAAACTCAGAGGTGTGTAACTTCCAGCAAATAATTACACTTGATTCTATTTAGATTTAGGCCCAGTTAGCCACTGGGGATCCATCTTGAAGGATAGGCTCTTTCAGGTTAATATTTCTTCACATTTGGAAGCTGCTAAGAAAAGTATGGAGAATTCTATCCTCACCTTGACAAAGTATTTCCACTTTTGTTAGTGTTCCATTGGTTTCTACATAAAATTGATGTAATAAATGATTCATTTTGCTGACATGTATGTTTGAAAATGAGTGGATTAAGGCATTAGTAGCTTTGTCAGAGCATCACTTCAGTTGAAATAAACAAATCTCAATTTTCATCATTGTTTACTTATCAACTGAAAGATTCTTTCACCTAAAGTACAAGATTGTTTAGAACATACAATCATTTTACTCTCCCAGATTTTCTAGTTAATTTTCAAAATATACCTCCATTGTATTCTGAGGTTAACTCCCAATAGATCTCTAAACCTCAATTTTTTCTAAACTTTCTGTCTCTATGAATGCCTAAAATAGTTAGGTGATTCCTACCTATTTTAAACTCTGTTCTCATTTTTTCCCCATCTCAAAAGCCAGCTTTTGTTTCTGAAATGGCATAATTTGATTATATTTTTAAACTGTTACATGTATAATTATTTTCTACAAATAGAATTAACATTTATTTTTGTGTATAATTTATGTGCCACGCATTTTTTTTCAACTTTTATTTTAGACTCATGGGGTTCACATGCAGGTTTTTTACCTGCATGTACTGTGTGTTGCTGAGGTTTGGGGTATGAGTGATTCCTTCATATGGGTACTGGGCATAATACCTAATAGGTGGTTTTTCTGACCCTTGCCCACCTCCCTCCCTCTCTCCTCTAGTAGTCCCCAGTTTCTATTGTTGCCATCTTTATGTCCATGAGTACCCAATGTTTACTTCCCACTTATAACTGAGAATATGTAGTATTTGGTTTTCTGTCCCTGTGTTAATTCATTTAGGATAATGACCTCCAGTTGCATCTATGTTGCTGCAAAGGACAGGATTTTATTCTTTTGTATGGCTGCATAGTATTCCATGGTGTATATGTACCACATTTTCTTTATATAGTCTACCATTGATGGGCATCTAGTTTGATTACATGTCTTTATATTGTGAACAGTGCTGCAATGAACTTGAGTGTGCATGCGTCTTTTTAGCAGGAAGATTTGTTTTCCTCTGTATATATACGCAGTAATGGGATTACTAGGTAAATTGTAGCTCTGTTTTAAGTTCTTTAAGAAATCTCCAAACTGCTTTCCACAGTGGTTGAACTAATTTACACTCACACCAAAAGTGTGTCAGTGTTCCCTTTGCTCTGCAACCTCACCAGCAGCTATTGCATTTTTTATTTTTTCCTAATAATTATTCTGACTGGTGTGAGATGGTATCTCGCTGTGGTTTTGATTTGCATTTCTCTAGTTATTAGTAATGTTGAGCATTTTTCATATGGATAGAGGACACTTGTATGTCTTTTGAGAAATGTCTGTTCATGTCTTTTGTCCACTTATTTTTAAAATTTTAATTTCTGGGGTACATGTGGAGGATGTGCAGGTTTGTTACATAAGTAAATGTGTCATGATGGTTTGCTGCACCTATCAATCCATCACCTAGGTATTAAGCCCGGCATGCATTAGCTATCTTTCCTGATGCTCTCCCCCTCCGCTCCCCTCCCCTCCCCCAACAGGCCCTAATGTGTGTTGTTCCCCTCCCTGTGTCCACGTGTTCTCACTGTTCAGCTCCCGCTTATGAGTGAGAACATGCGGCATTTGATTTTCTGTTCCTGCATTAGTTTGCTGAGGATAATTGCCCATTTCTCAATGGGTTTATTGTATTTTTCTTGTTCAATTGTTTAAGTTTCTTATAGATTCTGAATATTAGACCTTTGCCAGATGCATAGTTTGTAAATATTTTTCCCATTCTGTAGGTTGTCTGTTTACTCTGTTGATAGTTTCCTTTGCTGTGCAATAGTTTTTTTAGTTTAGTTAGGTCTCACTTGTTAATTTGTTTTTGTTGGAATTGCTTTTGAGGACTTAGTAATACAATTTTTTCCTAAGGCCTGTGGACAGAATGGTGTTTCCTAGGTTTTCTTCTAGGATTCTTATAGTTTAAGGTCTACATTTAAATATTTAATCGATCTTGTGCTCATTTTTGTATATGGTGAAAGTTAGGGGACCAGTTTCATTCTCCTGCATGTGGCTAGCTATTTATCCCAGTATCATTTATTGAATAGGGAATCATTTATTCGTTTCTTATTTTGTTTACTGTCGAAGATCAGATGGCTATAGGTGTGTGACTTTATTTCTGGGTTCCCTATTCTGTTCCAATGGTCTATGTGTCTGTTTCTGTATGAGTATTATGCTGTTTTGGTTACTGTAGCCTTGTAGCATAGTTTGTAGTATAGTTTTTCCTTAGATGTCTTGTCAGATAACATGATGCCTCCAGCTTTGTTCTTGAAGTTTAGAATTGCTTTAGCAATTTGGGCTCTTTTTTGTTTCTAAATGAATTTTAGAATAGTTTTTTTCTAGTTCTGTGAAAAATAAAATTAGTAATTTTATAGGAATAACATTGAATCTGTAGATTGCTTTGGGTAGTATGGCCATTTTAATAATACTGATTCTTTTGATCCATGAACTTGGAATGTTTTTTCATTTCTTTGTGTAATCTGTGATTACTTTTAGCTGTTTTGTAGTTCTCTTTATAGACATCTTTCACTTCTTTAGTTACATGAATTACTAAGTATTTTATTTTATTTTGGCTATTTAAATGGGATTGCATTCTTGATTTGGCTCTCAGTTTGAACATTATTGGTGTATAGAAATGGTATTGATTTTTGTACATTGATTTTGTATCCTGAAATTTTATATTATTTGTTATTTATCAGTGCCAAGAGCCTTTTGGCTGAGTCTTTAGGGTCTCCTAGGGATAGGACAATATTATCCATGAAGAGAGATAGTTTGGCTTCTTCTTTTTTTGTTTTGATGCCTTTTATTTCTTGCTCTTGCCTGATTTGTCTAGCTAGCATTTCCAGCATGATGTTGAATAGTAGTGGTGAGGGTGGACATCCTTCACTTATTCTAGTTCTCAAGGAGAATGCTTCCAGTTTTTGACCATTCATTATTATATTGGCTGTAGGTTTGGCATTGATGGTTCTTATTGTTTTGAAGTATATTCCTTAGATGACTACCTTCGGGGGGTCGGGGGGCTGTTAATCATGAAGGGATGTTAGATTTTATTGAAAGCTTTTTCCATGTCTATTGAGATAGTCATATGGTTTTTGTTTTTAGTTCTCCTTGTGTTATGAATTACATTTATTGATTTGTATATGTTGAACCAACCTTGCATCCCAGGAATGAAGCCTACCTAATCATGGGGAATTAACTGTTTGATATGCTGTTGAATGCAGTTTGCTAGTATTGTGTTGAGGGTATTTGCATCCATATTCATCAGGGATGTTGGTCCATAGTTTTTGTTTTTCTTTTTCTTTCTCATTGCGTCCTAGCCAGGTTTTGGCATTAGAGTGATGCCACCTTTGAATAATGAGTAAGGGAGGAGTCCCTCCTTCTTGATTTTTGGAATAATTTCAGTAGGATTGGTACCAGTTCTTCTTTGTACATCTGGTGGAAATGGGCTGTAAAGCCGTCTAGTCTGCAGCTTATTTTGGTTGGTAGGATTTTAATGACTGATTCAATTTCAGAACATGATATTGGTCTGTTCAGGGTTTCATTTTCTTTCTAATTCAATCTTGTGAGATTGTGTGTTTCAAGGAATTTATTCATTTCCTCTGAATTTTCCAGTTTGTTGTCATAATAGTCCCTGAGGATCTTTTGTATTTCTGCGGTATCAACTGTAATGCTACTTTTGTCATCTATGATTGTGCTTATTTGGATCTTCACTCTATTTTTCTTTGTTAAAAATCTAGCTAGCAGTCTATTCAATTGTGTTTATCCTTACAGAGAAGCAACTTTTGTTTCCACTGATTACTTCTGTATGAATGTTGGGGTCTCAATTTCATACAGTCCTGCTCTAATTTTAGTTATTTATTTTTTTCTGTGAGCTTTGTGGTTAATTTGTTCTTGTTTTTTTAGTTCCTCTAGATGTGATGTTAGATTGTAAATTTGAGATTTATGAAGAAAATTTTCTTCTAGATAGTTTTGAATAGAAATCTGTACTCAATGAATATTTTTCTTATTGGTTGGGAGGTATTCATTGAAGTTATGTTGTAACACTGACTTTTTAAGGGACCCCAAAGAGATTTGAAATAGACATGTTAGGAAATATAGGATCCTCTGGAGGAAATATTTTACAATAAAAATGTGCAGAAATAAAAAGAAATACATGATTAAATGCCACCAATAGTGTATAGTTAGTGAGTTTAGGCCTGACTTTCCTCTCCAGAAAAACTATCAAGTGATAATAATTATCTTAAGTTTAGCATTATTAGACAGGCCCAAGGATTTATAAATCATTTTTGTAAAAAATTCACTTGAAGAAAATGACATAAGGTTTTAATACAAAGATACCTATATGTTGATTGACCACATTGTGTAGGCAATAAATTCACATTTAAAGTTTCATTCTATTTGTTGATTTAAATTAAACTATTTTATTTGAATTGATATGAGAAATCAGAAACTAAACATACTTTGTCAAAATTAGTAAGGGCTGCATGATCTTTTCCAAAAGCTTTTTAAAACTTATATTTACTAATATTCAATGTGTTTCCAACAAAAATAATAATGATATATGCTTAAGGAATAAAACCCTGAAACTGAATATTAAACTACATATTTAAAACAAAAATGTATTTATTTCTTATCTCCAATATATAACTACTATTAGCTTGCTGGTTTATGTGTTCTAGTTTCTTTTATTATTCTGTGGTGGTAGTAGTGGGTCATTTTTATCTCTCTTTCTCTCTATATTTCCCTCTTTTGCAATTTATTTTCTCATGTTAACAAGTGGTTTTTTAGCTGGGTGTGGTGGCACATGCCTGTAGTCTCAGCTACTCAGGAGGCTGAAGCAGCAGGGTCACTTGAGCCCAGGAGGTTGAGGGTACAGTGAACTGTGATTGTGCCACTGCACTCCAGCCCGGGCAACAACAACAAAAACAAAGTGTTTTAGCAAAATCCACTTTATTGGCTGCATGGTACTTTTATTCTACTATAAAGAATGCAATAAATTTACTTGTTGCAACATCCTTACACTTGTACCTGAATATTTCTTTAAAATGATGTTAATAGCACACATTGTTGACTTTCAGAAGTTTTTATTTTTAAATGACCATATGTATGCTATCTAACTAAATGTGTTATAATTTTTTAATATCCAGTTTTAATCCCACTCAGATTCTTTTGGCACTTCAGAATGAGATAACTAAATTTTTGTTTTATAGATATTTGACATTGTATAAAATGTTATGATATTTGCTCTTATATAGTATACCATAATTTTATACCACCTCTCTATTGTAATTATTCTTGGTTTATATCCGGACATTTACAATAATCAAAAACAAAGTAACCATCAACCTTCATTTTTTTCTTCACGTTTCACAAATTCCTATAGTGGATATTGATATAAGCTATTTAAATTATTTTTGAACACCAAAGACAATTATTGATTTCTTCATTAAGAGCTGTACTAAAATACTTAGATCCCAGTTTCTACATAAAAAGTATCACATCTTTTTGCATTGTTATGCTTGGTATGGAGTAGTGGAAGTTTCAAGGAGAAAATAATGCCAAGTACATCTTTAGAACATCAGTACAATTAAAATCTTGAGAACAGCGGTATTCTCTCAGCTAGTGATACCAGTCATCCTTGAGTCATTTCAAAGAGCACAATTAATCCTGAGTTATGTTTGCTGTTTACATTATTTATTAAACAACATCATGTCCTGGGATTTATGTAATTGATTTACATCTGTTTCATCAACACAGGGTGCTCAGTATGCAACAAGGGGTGTGAGCTGTCAGAGACAGAGGGTGACTTTGCCAGATCTGGAGGGTGAAATCTAAGGAAGAGAAACTCTACTCCTAATGACATAAGGTGAAGCCAGTGGTGCTCTGAGATTCCATCTGTTTTGACCAATATTCACTATACTAGCTCTCCAAGCTCTCTCCTAAACTTCTTCCCTCCACCCTATCCTTGTGACTACAATGCCCCCTCCACACCTCGGAGCAAGGGATTCAGGATTGTTTTCTCTATACACTTAGCTGAAAAAGAGTGGTTGCCTCTCTCAAAAATCCATGAACCAGCTCACCTATCTACTACCATTGATACCCAAAGCCCCCACAGAGCTGGGCACAGCTAATTGCAAAGCAGCAATGGAAACATTAACTTTACCTTGATTACTTAATTACTAAATTTTTTCACCTTCACCATATTCTACTGGATAAGCCTAAATCACAAGTTCCCCACATATTCAAGAGGAGGGGTTTGTACAGGTTGTGAACAGAAAGTGACTGAAAATCATGGGGCCACTCTGGCTAAGTGTCATGGCTTCAGAGATAGCCTCAAGTTTCCAACCATGCTAAAAGGTTCATGTCAAGTGCCACCTTCTCTCTCAAGACTTTCCTGGAAGCTCACTCCTACTTGAGTGTGCTCTACTTACCACTGCCATCAGAGCTTGTCCATATGCTTGCCATTTGCTTTCACCATTTCATTATAATTATGTTTTCTTTTATATTTCTCTAGTCATTCTAGACTATGAGTTATTAAATAGAATTTATTTCTTTTTCATCATTTTACTTAGACAGACTAGTCCACCAGATGCTCGGTAAGTCTGCCTGGTTCTTTCCGACTTGCCTACAGCTTGAAATTCTATGCTGTAAATGGCTAATGGAAAGCCAGTATGTGGTAAGAAGAGGTTAGAGATCTGTTTGGAATTTTTTCTCCTTTCAAACAGTCTTTACCAGCCAGGTATTGAAGGGCTAGCTAGTCCAGCATTTGACTAGACACAATGCAATTAGCCATCTTCTAATTTTGTCTCCAATATGTCGGCAAGAGGGACTAACCTCTTTCTTGAATCATCTGAGGTAGAATTTTCAGCAGCCTTAATATAAATAACCATTATCAACATATCTTTTAGATTCGTCTTTCTCACTTCACCTCCTCAGTCCTATTGTCATCCAAGCATTCGGGCTGACAGATCTGAGAAAACTCCACAAAGGTTACATCTAAACCAGAAAACTTGTCAGGATATTTAAAAAAAACAATGCAGCTAACTACCTTATGAATAGCACGCACAAGAACTAAGAAGAACTTCCATCTTTGAATTTCTTTTTTCTTTCTTCCAGAACTATTGAGCTTTAATACCCAGAACTACAATCAGGTTCCGGAGTGAGGAGACAGACTTGGTCAAGGTAAGCTTCAGCACATGTAACAGCTGCTCAGCTTCATGACTGACAGCAAGATGCAGACATCCGTCAACTATGCAGATCTAATTTAGACTGAGGGGGTTAACCTAGGAAAATGCTAACATTCTGTACAATTAAATGAACACTCCATGGGTTTTGTTGTTTTTAAATGAAATTTCTTGTGCTTGTCCATGAGACCATAAAATGTGGAACAGTGCTGGAGGCCTCTGCTATTTTTATCTGAAGTGTGTAGAAAGCATGATTTTTTTTTTTTTTAAAGAAAATGTCATTTCGGTGATGTGTTGCTTGCTGCTAGCACATGCACCAAGGTGACTTTTAGAGCAGTACTTTGCAGTTCCCAGACAATTCTGAAATTCAGGGTTTTCAGCATCCTGAAAGAGGCTTGATGATTAGAAGAATGTTTTTGCAGCTGGTAGACAGCACGGCATTTTTCATTTACATAATCACAATTATATTCTTTAAAGTAATATCTGCTTAGCAAAGCCTGTATCTCTGTGTATGTATCAATAAAACAGTGTGTAACTTTGAGAAACGCATAAAGTGAAATAGGATCCCAAAATCTGAACACAGGGATATTGAAATGATGACATTTGTTTTGGGATGAGACTGATCACTTCCAAGCAGTACAAGTTCAGTTCCATCTGTGTCAGAAAATCAAACTTAGATTATTTTTAGGTTTGAAAAGAGATGGGATATTTCAGCCTGATAATTATATTTGATATATCAAATGTGTTTACTAATATTTCAAATATGACTAATTTCAAATATGATTAATTTCTTGAAATTAGTAATACTTGAAATATTAGTAATTTCTTGAAATTAGTCATATTTGAAATATTAGTAATTTCTTGAAATTAGTCATATTTGAAATACTAGTAATTTCTTGAAATTAGTCATATTTGAAATACTAGTAATTTCTTGAAATTAGTCATATTTGAAATACTAGTAATTTCTTGAAATTAGTCATACTTGAAATACTAGTAATTTCTTGAAATTAGTCATACTTGAAATACTAGTAATTTCTTGAAATTAGTCATACTTGAAATACTAGTAATTTCTTGAAATTAGTCACACTTGAAATATTAGTAATTTCTTGAAATTAGTCATATTTGAAATATTAGTAATTTCTTGAAATTAGTCATACTTGAAATACTAGTAATTTCTTGAAATTAGTCATGCTTGAAATATTAGTAATTTCTTGAAATTAGTCATATTTGAAATATTAGTAATTTCTTGAAATTAGTCATATTTGAAATATTAGTAATTTCTTGAAATTAGTCATACTTGAAATATTAGTAATTTCTTGAAATTAGTCATATTTGAAATACTAGTAAACAGGCCTTTGCCAAATTAGCAAAATGTTTTTTTTTTTTGGTATGCTTTGTTTTAAATCTGTTCTTACCTACAATGTCCGTTTGGTCAAAAGCCTTCAAATGCAGGAATTACAATGAGGTTTTGCAATGAAAAGATTAGAAGGTACCTGCTCAGATAAAGTATTGCATATGATTTAGTTTTCAAAAAAGCGGGTATTTAATTCTATTATACACAAAGATTTCTTCCTGATCCACAGCTCGTTAGCTGTGACTATAAGAATGCCACCTAACTTCCTTTAGGTTTCAGTGATTCCTGCATATACAATAAAAAATCAAATTAAATCTCTAAGTGTTTTCAGGTTAAAAAATAATATAACATTATGTAAAATCTCCTGAGGTTTCTTCTAGCTCTGGGGTCTATGATTCTGCTGTTTATCAGAACAATGACATATAAACAACTGTAATCCTTTACTCCAAAAAAATACCTTTCGTATTGTAAAGGAGAAAGGATTTCTAAGCCTTAAGGTTATTTTGAGTTTTCAAGGCTGTACGATTGACCAACTAGTGTTTCTAACATGTTGCCACCTTCTTTTTTCTCCTCCCCATTTGTGCTCTTGCTTTCCTGTGTGTTCTTTCCTACTTATTTAAAATTCCAACAATGGTTACTCTTAATCTCCTTGTCAGAGGCTAAACAAATAATGCCAGTGGGTATCTGTGTTGGGTGGGCCATCAGGGGTCAGTGAGAAGATTTCTTGTGTGTAAAAATTTAAAATTTCTCTTGGATAAAGGCCTGTATTACTTCCACAATTCACCACAACTCTGCCATCGGGATTGCCAGCATAGAGTAATTGATAACAGAACAGCTATACTGTAGAGTGACTTATCTTTATGAAAATAAACCACAGTCACAATTTGAAACGTAAATGAAAGAGATGAATGGGCCAGAAGAGGAAGGCATTATATAAATCACCCTAACTCACTCATTCATTTCCTGTTGCCATGATTGGTGAATGACATTCGATATTTTAGGCTTTCAGTGATCAATAAGGGACAGTTTATTAGAAGTGTTGAGCAAGTTTATTATTGGTCCTGGTCAGTTTACTTAAGGTTCTGTAAGTCTTATTTCATTTAAGGAGGCAAAAAGAAGAGTGCAGAAGGCTGCCTCTGGGAAGGAATCGTTTTTATTTGCTTTGTGTGGCCAAATCCCTTTCTCACTCAATGCTCCCATTTCAACGACTGAAAGATGGGAATGAGGATCCCAGGGGATGATGTAAGATTATTTGAAAAGTGCATTGTGCTATTCAGATCCATGTTGCTACATAAGAAGGAAATATTTTAATTAATAATAAATAAATCACTCTGAATTTCTTGGCAAAGAGAGATATTATTTTGAAGATGAATTTGAGAATTAAGTACTTAATGAGGAGTCACCTTATGTATATACATGAATATATGGGGTATGTTCATCAGTTTGAAGTTTAAGCAAAATTGAAAAGCTAGAACAGTAGTTTATTGTTAAGAAGTAACTTGAACAACTCTTTTAATTCAATGTGTCATTTGAGTTGTTAAATAGCCATAGCTTATTTTGAAATACAAATTAATTATCTATTACAAGCATGCTATTGCTTATCTCCTTCAAAGTCTCATTAGTATGCAAATGACTCTAATTAGGTCACTGTCAGACAATATTAGTGCAGAGTCAGTTTCCATGGTTTACAATGAAAGGGTTTGGTTCCTAAATATTTATAAAACTGCTTTGGGAATCAGCTTTACTTAATTGGGATTATTCTGGAAGTCTTATTGGTTCGGAGGAAATAATCTCACACAACAAAGAAGAAATCATTTTTAAAAGACACCAATTTTTAATTGACACACATAAGATTATAATATTAGAGAATATTCATATTTGTAATATTAAATATATTTTAAATTCTTAAACCACTAAGAAAGCTTTCTCTATATTTTTATCTTTTTTTTAAATGTATCACCACCATGAGAACCAAGGGTTGATATAACCGAAACATGTACTTTTTAAAAAGTTTGATTAATTAGAATTAATTTTTCATGAAACAATAGAATTAATATTAGCAGATAATTAATAAAACAGAATGCACACAGCTGCATTACTATCAGTTCCATGCAGGGATTTTTATTAAGCTTAAAAGGTTCTCTTCTCATATGCCCACTTTTGTGATCTAATCATATCATATATATTTTTTTTAATTTAAACAGACTTTGCAAGCTTTCTTATATCATTCAAACTGTCTGACATTCTCTTTACTCTTGAACATAGTGTAAATCTAAAGCAATAATTTGGATAATGACTAGTAATAAGGGAAAAATAAATATTGTCACACACTTCCTGGCCATTTGATATCTCCCCTCTTGAATGATTGTGTTAATGTACTGCAATAACAGCAGCCTGTGTTCAATATAAAAAGAGAAGTTATATGAAGGAGTCGAAGTTCAAGGAGAACAACAGAATAACAAAAGAAAAAAAGAATACTGGGGTTACAGAAGTTACGTGTGGGAAGATAATGGTTTCCAGAATTAAAGATATGCAAGAAACCCAGGAGAGGTCGAGTTAAAAGGCAAAGTAATGAATAGTGAATACAAAAAGGGAAATTTGGGAGAAGAGGGCTAAAAAGCAAAAAGTAAAATACAGACATTTGAAGAAATAACAAATAATTTGGGGAAAGAGTATGACTGATAAATTTCCACTGGAGACGGTGGAGAAACTTGTATGCCAGCCACGGTGCTAAGCATGGCCACAACCAGTATCCTTACAACACCCTTCGTGAGTATACATGATTTCTCTTTCACAAATAAGAGGACCAAAACATAGAAAAATTAAATCACTTGTTCTGGCAAGTGGCAGAACTGAGATTGGGCCTAGTTCTTTTTCTTTTAGAAATACATGCCATTTTATGATTTATTTATTTTGTAGATTTGTGTCTGGGAGGCCCTAGGACACTGAGATTAAGAGCATATACTCTGAAGTTAAATAATCAGGCATTCACACTGGTTAGCACTGCAATATTGGGCATGTCCTAATATTTATCTAAGACTTGGTTTCTTCATTTGGGGCTTGTGAGGATTAAAGAAGTTATAGTCTGCATAGAGTTAATACGTAATTTCTGGACATAGAAAGCACTAAAACATGATATAATTATATATTTAAACGTTATCGTCTAATTATATAGAGCTTAGCAACAACTCGTAAATGTAACTCAATCTTGTGTTTCTCAAATTTTTCCTTTTAAGCAAAGCTGCATCAAGTGACCCTGTCAATTGCTAGAATAATCCTGCAACCCTCCACACTACAGTATTCAGCTTTTTCTCCAAGTAGTACACTAACTTCTAAGGAATTCTATTTTAACAAATTACAATTTTTAAATTACTAGATTTTCAGATTTCCACATTGCTTTTATTCAGTATTTTGCTACTAATTTTCAGATAGCAGAGGAATTTGGTACTTGGCTATTGAGTGGATGGATGGGGAGTCGCTAAGGATTGTGTTGTTATGACATAGTATTAAGTTGTTATGACAAATTATTTTTAATGTTACTCAAATATAGTAAAGCACAAAAATCACATAGAAATGACTTCCATTTATAAATCTAAATAGATGTCAAAATACAACTTAATCATTAGTAAAATTATAAATCCAATAAATTTCTAATGATAATATTACATCATGAAATTAATTAATATAATTCTTTTTGTTTGATAAACTAAGTTGACATTCATGTTGCTCTTGTCTTTTTGGAATTCACCATGTGTATTCTACTGTGTGCTCATTACATCTGCCATCTTCCTTTATTTGATTTGACTACTATGCAAAAGATGGCAGTCTTTCCTTCATGTAAATAAAACATTCCTATGTTAAGCCAACATTATTTTTGTTTTATTAGCCAATTATAATTTAAAATAATACTAATGTGGCAAAGATGAATAATAAAATTTTGAGATTGATTTAGATAAAAAATTTTGAGATCGATTTAGATTTAGATATCTGCATCATCAGAATGTACTTATATTCTATCTTTCATAAATTATCTTCAAAGTATATAGCACCTATTTAAATATTTGTATTTCTTCATTGTGGCATACTAGATATGCTAAAAATTGTTCTCTGAAAATCTCTAAAACTTTTCAGTAGATTCTTTACTGCACTTCCAAAAGAATAAGAAAGACAGATAGCCCAAAACTTAAGAGTGAGCGGGAAACCAGTGTTCAGTCACAGAAGCCACTTGCTCTGTGGAGTTATGCAACAAGCACAAATCTAAATGCTCAGATATTAATATAAGTGTGGGAGTCAGGAAACAGAACTTTAGGCGCAAACATGGTGGAAAGCAAAAAGTTGGCCCTTTCAAGGTGCTATAGCCCTGAAGAGAAAGGAGCAGAAAAAAATAGGATTTTCATTACAAAGGGAGCTTTTATCTAGGATCTAAGAAGGGAAAATGAACACTGCACAGATAATGTATACTACAATTTTTCTCACTACGTTTCTCTCAAACAGGTTTAGAATTTGTATTTCTACTATATATGTTACTGCATTGATCAAGGAAATGCCAGAGTTAAGAAATTAAGATAACATGACCCAAAGTTGAAATTTCCCCGGGGGATTAGTAGAAGCAAATTCAAGTCTCTTCTGGAAAGCATAAGATATGATTCGTTTGATGTTGATCTTTAGTGAGTCAATGTAGTATCAATATCAATCAATTATCAATAACTGGTCATATATTTAGAAAAGGTAAAACTGGATCTCTACACCATGTCAGAAATTAATTTGAGATAATTTAAAAGATTTACACATACAAAAATTTAAAAATTAAAAAAATTCTATTGAAATGTGGTGTTTGTCAGTGTTTCTCTATTTTAACCTTCTGTGCTTTTTCTCTGTATGGCAGAGGGTAGAAGTCTCAAAATGTTATTTCCTAGATTTTAGGAGCAGCAAGTTTTTATTTTCTCTTTATTGTGTCTCTTTCTTCAATGGCAGTAGCCAAGGTTGAGTAATCTCAGCAGATGCATGGCGTCCCAGCCTCTGCTTCAGTGAAGGATACGTTTGCACCAAGAGGCAGCAATTCCCTGGGCTTCTAACTTTGAAAATCTGCAGTTGCAGTAGCTTCAGCACTAAAGCAGTAATGTTCTGTGGGTTCTGGGTAAAACCTATTGTCTGCTTTTACTTCATTTTTCCAACATTTTGTAAGGAATTTACTGCATTGCCTTCCCTTGGCCCTACTTAGAGGATTTCTGTTTTCTTGACACACTATTAATTGATGAAAGAAAAATATACTCAGGTTCTTAGATATGCTTAAAAATGTGAAGTCTGGAGTAATCATAAAATCATAAACATTACATTTATGGTAGCGATGACTTCTGGCATGAGGAGGAAGAAAGAAATAGAGCCAGGCAATGCAGTCATCTGGTAACTGCTGTTCTGTTGACCATGCTTGATTACTTAATCCAGAGTGTAGGTGCAAGGGCAATTTTTAAATATAAGATTTTAAATATTTCTGACGGTCTAAAATGAACAAAATAATATATATTATGTGTTTTACATAATATATAAGAATATACAAGGATGCTCCTTCAAGCCACAAGAGTCAGTGTTCTCTCGTTTGAGAAACAGATGGAAAATCATTTGACCATGTCCTTGGGTCAGCTCTTCTTCCAGCCTTGCTCCTTGGTGCTCTCCTCAACAGCATAGTCAGAAGGATATTGCTAATGTGTAAGTAAAATGGTATCATTCTTCTGCTCACAACCCATCAATGGCTCCCATCTCATTCATAGGAAAACCCCAAATCCCTACTATGGTAAGATGCTGCATAAACTGGCTTCCCATTACTGTCTATTCTTGCTGCTTGCTGTTTTCTTGGTCTGAAATGTTCCTGCTAGCTCTGAGAGGCTTTTCATGGTTATCAGTTACTCTCATACTTCCATTGCAATATATATATACAGATATATATGTAATATATTCACATATTGTATATACACATATATAATTTATTCACATATTATATATACACACATATATACACATATATAATATGTACACACATTATATATACACACATGTAATATATACACACATATACACACATATGCAATATATACACATATATAGGCATATATTCATATATAATATATAATATATACATATATAGGCATATATTCATATATAATATATAATATATACATATGTGTACATACATATATATGTCATATATAATGCAACTGAAATACATGACATAATAATATATATAATACAAGAAAAATATACATACTATTATATATATAATTACTTTTCACTACTGATCATTACTCAACATGCTATCTATTTTACTTCTTTTCATGATTACTTGTTTGTTCACAAGACCATACAGTAGAGAAAGAAAATAATTTTGGCAGGGAACATTGCTTGGCAACAGTAAGCATTTAATAAATATTTGTTGAATGAACAAGTGAATATCATATCTTCCCACTGTAGTCAGGATCTATTGCTGTCAAGTTTTTGCTTTATTTTTTGCCAATAATGGATTATATATTTAAAAGAATATTGGAAGAAAGTTTGAAAAAACAAGTTTAGAAAACAAAAATCAGTGAAACATGAATCTACTATATTACATGAATCTACTATGTTAAAGGTTAGGAATTGAGTTTTAATTATTTTTGTTCTTTGAACTAATTTGAATGATACTTTTTAGTCTTAAAATCAGTTTGGTAGTGTTAATTTTGTTGTATATTTATAGACGTAATCTCCATTAAATGAATTTTTAGAGAGTTTTTAATTTTTGTAACTAAATTCCTTATAGCATGTATAAAAATTATGACAAAATCAAACTCTTTGAAATCTTTTGATTGCTTTATAACTATTGAAATAGGTTTTTATATAAGTAAATGTTTCTAAAATACTTTACTAGAATATTTCAGGAAAATTACAGTTCTGAAATATTATTTTTAAGTGAGTTTTTGATGAAAAATTTTACACATGTAAAAAATAGTGCTTCATAGCCAAATGCTTTGAGTGAAGATCACTTGCAGCCAACCAGTTTTCTGATGACAAAATTAGAACATCCTATGTCATCTCTTAATAAAGTACTATTTTGTAAGTTTTGACACATTTCTATTTCTATAAGCTATATTGTGTGCATTATGCTGATAATCACTCATGTGTTCAGTATTTGTAGTCCAATCATTCATGCTAAGTGGGATTTTTATAGAATTTTGCTATTTATTTTATTATTTTTTTCATATCAAATATAACTGAGACTACTATAACTTGAGAATGTTACAGTTGTAAGTATAAATATTTTATCATGTTTTACAGCTGAATCCACAAACATTTTACCCTTATTTTTTTGAATAGCTGTATAGGGAAATTTTCCTCAAGCTTCATACATAGCGGTATTTATTTTGTTGATGCTATTGGTAGTGATGGTGGTAATAATTGTTGGTATTACATATTTAGAATCACCCCAATAAAATTTATAATCTTTGGAAGGCATCATTTTGGGTTATAAACAAATATTATGAAGGAAATTATGAGTCGTAATTTTACTTTTTCTTTTTCCTCTCACTGATTGTAACAAATCATAACTGTCAAGTTCTAGGTGATGAGACATTCATGCATTCTTCTTGTGTTTCTGCTGTTTGTTATAGAGTACTACTAGAAAATGAGAAAATTAAATACCAGGTTCTAAAAAATGCGTCTTCTTTTGAAACTTAGTGATAAAGAATGAACTAAAGCCATAGCTTCTCAGTCATAAGTCTCAAGTTTAAGAATTACCTATTCATAAACCAGGGTCTTGGGGAAATTATTATTTTTTTCACTTCAGTATTTTTTTCTGTAAAGTTCTTCCCTGGACTCTTAGGGTCCTGCAGAAGTGTCTTGGAGATGTTGGCTAGAGATTGTTAGAGGTGTGTACCACCTCTTACATACCACCAGGTTTATTTTAAATTCATTTTATAATTCCTATTTATCCCATTCTTTAATTCTATTGTCATAGAATATACTTAAATACTATATTCAATGACAGGCAATTATGAATATAATCTCAGCTGCTAAACATATTTTTAAAAAGAATGGAGTTATGAGTTTTTGTTTAGAGTTTGTTTGCTTGATGGTTTACTTGTCAGTGTGGTTTTGCTTCATTAATCACCTAAGGATGTAGATTAGTTAAATGGAATTTACTGTTTAAAAATGCAGAATTCATAAAAGGCAATATGAACATTAAAAACTAGGCTAAGATAAAGCCATATTGAGTTTGAGATTTTCCTACACAGCTCATAGAAACTGCAAGCAAAGCAAGTTTGAAGTTACATTTATTTGATTACTTGAAGAATCTCATTTCACTAAATCAATAAATTTTAACCACTCTTCTGTCTCAACCTCTCTGGGTGGTAGGCTGTATTGTTATCAGTAAGAGTAGAATATTATGATAGTGTTTCTGCTGTAAAAATTGGTGAAATTTGCAATTCTAATTGGTTCCATTAGATAGTATTTAAATCTTTTCTAGCTCTAAGATGCACAAATTCAAACAAGAGTCATCTTACAGCACATAATTTTTGGTCACAAAAAATAGTCATGAAATTATTTTCATAAAATTAGACAATTTTATTCATAAAATTATAACAAAAAATTGATATAAAATGAATCAAATTTAATTTCTATATAATTCCTATATAATTTTGAGTATGAAAGAAATGAAAGAAAAACACTATACTTTTATCCTTCTTTGTTTTTTAATTCAAAGAAATATCAATCGTTTAAATAGTAATGGTGATTTGGGCATTTCAAAGCATGTTTTCCAAAACCTCAAAGAGCCAAGTGATTATATTAGATGAGTAACATTTTGTGGAGAGATCTGAGAATAGATATTAATAAACAATGTTTTAGAGTATTGTATAGAAACTCTTAAATAGCTTTTTTCTTATAAATATTATTTTTAAATTATTCAAATATTAATGTTTATTTGAACATTAGATTACAGATTTTTCCGTGTTTTATAGTGAAAAGATGTGCCTAAATTAATAAGAAAATACTCTCTGAAATGTTAAAATATAAAATCTTTTGCTAGTGACCAAATGATATTTTCGTCTTGGCTATCTTGGGTGGATGTGGTGTGCAGCTGGCTTAACACAGTATCACGTGCAAAATAGGTTATTGCATAGGGGTTGATTGAATTAGGATGCTTTAAAAATGTTGGATGTATTGTCTTTAGAGCTAATGAAGCATAAATATCATAGTCCAATTCTAGGCACATAGAATGAGCTCAGTTGTTACCTCTTAAGTGAATTAATTAATGAATAATTGAGTAAATTGTTTAATAAATGAGTATTGGAGGCTGCTTAGTGGCTTCATTCTAGACTTCGGACTCGGGAATCACACTATACATGACTATCCTTCAGTTCCCGAGTCCGTAAAATGGGAATTTTCTCTATTGAGTTAATTTTTCCAGGGTACCAATGGTAAGAATTCATTTAGAAACATGTGGAATAAGGGAAGGGCAAAGACCTCTGCAAGGGGCTGTAGTGCTTATGGCAGCAGCCTGTGGCCAAGCTGAGTGACAAGCTGGACAGACTAACAGTAAGTTCTCATTCTCAAGCGCTAGGCAGACAGCAAGCCTCTCCACAGGCTTTCGTGGATAGCAGTTAGGGCATCTGATGTAAGAGAAAGTCACAGGGCAACTGAAAAACTTCGATAACCCTTATAGGATTCCAGAGGTTCCTGATGCATTACTGAAGATGTAAAACTGGATGTAGTAACGCGATGCTAATTAACTGGTGAATTCTATGGCGTTATGGTCATGACCTTACTCAGGAAAATCCTTGTTTATATACGAATGATTTGCCTACAAAAAGCTGTGCTTGTGAGTTCACTGCAAACTAGATTCCATAATGCTCTAAAGAAAAACTCCTGTATTTTAAAGAAAATGAGCTGCATGGTAGGATCACTAGACACCCTTTTTGGTAGGATTCCAAAAGCCAGAGCTATTGATATAGAAGGCCAAATATAGATGTAAACACAAGAAGGCATGGTTAATTAAAGAAAATAAAAAGTCATTCTTTAACCTTTGATACATCTAATGGGCAAATTATTTATTTCTGAAATTATTTTGAATGTGTAAAAAGGACAAGTATAGCTAAAAACGATTAATCATTTCCACTATATGGAAAAAAACTGGACTGAATTTAAAATGTTTCGCTGGCACTTATGCATGTCTAATATGGAAAAGACTCTTGGCATGCAGGAAATATGATTTGCATTTTTCTACTGTTTATATTGTAGTTATCAAGAAAATAGAGAATAAACGTGAATCAGAAGAAAGAAGAGAATGCTATTTTGTTTATTAATTATTGTTAGAGATTGATTCATTTATTTATTCATAAATTTATTAATGTTCATTGGGGTCACTTATATGGATTTGAAATAAAGTTTTGTTCATTTGATTTGTTTTTGTTTCATCTTAGTATTTCAGAAATAAGTGTTCTGAAACTGTTTCTTTTTTTTTTCTTTCTCCATTCCTTTCTAGAAATGTCTTCCTATTTTTTTTTCCTCATATATATTTTTTCACAAAAAGCAGTAAGATATCTTTGGCACTTGACTGTTTTTCAGAAATTTGCTTGCCACTGGATTGCTCCTAATTTATGATATGCTGCAAACCATGTAAGCAAATAATTTATATTCTTATTTTTCCCCTTGCTTTTGTGTGTGTGTGTGTGTGTGTGTGTGTGTTTGTGCGTGCACGCACACGTGCGCACGGTAAGAGTTTCACTGAAACAAACTGGGCTTCAGTGTCTGAAATTCAACTTTCATTAAAATTCTCAATTAGGTCAATGGATCCTTGAACAGATCTTAGGATACATTTTAAATAACTTGCATGTTTCAAAAATTATTCATAAGTATGATGGTACATTGTTTCTGAAAATATTAACAAACCTAACAGAATTATTTTTATTCCCCATTATTAAAACCTGTCAACATGTATAGATTTTTGGGGGGCTTTTCTATTCATGTCTACCTACAATTTTTTATTCTGTAGTTTAAAATTTAATTCTATCATAAAATTTAAATAACTTTATTTTAGTTTTTAAATTATTTTAGTAGAAGCATGCTTTTGCGCCATAAATGATTAAAACAACCTCATATTTAATATAGGAATTTTGTTACTATATATAATACAAAATACAACTTTTGACATATAACAATCTATTATTATCAAATTATTTTCTAAAAATTAATTCTCAAGAGTTTATTTCTAATTCAAATTGCAGTGAGCATCTATTTTTCCATTTTTATGCATTTAACTTTTATAAAACTGTTATATGAATTTATATCAGTTTCACCACTGTACATGAACCACTGTAAATAACCTTAAGAATAATTTTCATTTTTGCTAACTTAATTGAAAATGAAGTCTTTCAAAATGCATTTTAATTTATTCTTAATTACTCATTAAGAGGAACAATTTTCCAAATATTGGCTTGGATTAAATTTAACAACAAACAAAAAGCAAAAACAAACAAAACCAACAAAACAGAGTCATCTTTCAGAGTTCTAAAACTTGTCAAATCAAGTGCATAGACTAACGAATCTTCTATACTCTTAATACATATTATTAGCTTATCAGATACATTTAATATCACATGAAAGCCAAAGTGAGCATTGGAGTGAAAATAAATGAGAACTAAAATGTAACAGAATTAACTCCAGGCTATTAAGAGAGAATGCAGCCATGGTTTTAACAACGGATTCAAAGTTACTAAAGGATTCAATAAGATCTTTAAATTATCAATAATTGAATTTAATATACCCCTTCGTTGACTTTTCCTTAATATTGTCAGCTCTCTGGGTTGCTTTATCTTTGATATATTATTGTGTACAACCTATTTTTATCCAGTTAGCTTTTCAATAGGTGGCCTTTCCAATTAACATGAAAATATTACCATCATGCTTAAGAAAAATTTCAAAAATCTAAAGCTTTATTTTGAACTATGTATGAAACACTTCAGACTATGAAGCTATTTTATGAGTCAGTGACACAACAATCAACTATGCAGTAAATTTCTTGAAATATTATTTATAAGTTATGCAGTGATAATTATAGTGACAATTAAGAGAAAGAACATAATAGCCATAAAATGACAAGGTTAATATCAGAAATAATGTAATTGATAATTCTTAATAAATTTAGAAAACTATTGGATTTATTTATTAGTATGTGTTACAAACTCAGGTGAGAGTTCAGCATTTTATGGAAGATTCATTCCTCGCTCAAAATAATATTCTATAAGTTTGTTTAAAATTCCAAATTTTCGGGCTGGGCACAGTAGCTAATGCTGTAATCCCAGCACTTTGGGAGGCCAAGACGGGTGGATCACCTGAGGTCAGGAGTTTGAGACCAGACAGACCAACATGGTGAAATCCCGTCTCTACTAAAAATACAAAAATCAGCTGGGCGTGGTGGCACATCCCTGTAATCCCATCTACTCGGGAGGTGGAGGGTGCGGTGAGCCGAGATTGCGGCATTGCACTCTAGCCTGGGTGATAGAGGAAGACTCTGTCAAAAAAAAAAAAAAAATTCCAGATTTTCTGCAATACAAGAAAGTATCAACTTATATTTCAATTATTATAATATGTGTTTTTCATGACTTTTGAAAATAAGTAAAGTTGACATTGGCTTTAATTGCCAATGTGTTTATAAAAGTATCAAACCTAAACAAAGAGCCAGTCTTACAGGTATTCTCACAACAGGACTCTAAACACAAATTAGGAAAGGGCCAAGCTTAAAATGATTCTTCTTTAACCTGCTTTGAGATTTATTGAACGAATATTTTTGATGAGTCAAAGAATGAGATAGCTGTGAAGCCCATGGTTTTGGGGATTGTAATGTATTTCTTTACCATCCTGTGTTTTAAATTTAGCACCATTATCCAAAGTGATTGGGTTAACGTCGAGGGCCATGAAGCAGCAAGAGAAAAAAGATCATGGAAGGGCAATTACGGGGAGGGGGTGATAGCCTACATTATTTTTCAGAATATTTAGTAAGCATGAATAATGTCTAATCTTGCAGTATTACTTTATTCTAACATAACAGATGTTTGTTTATTTTAACAATCCTATGGTCAAATTGATAAATTATAATGTAACTCATGTTTCAGGCATTCAAAGAAACAGTCTAGAAGAGCTGCTTATGTTTAGACTCAGTTTATTTGTCAGACTTTATCTTTTCAGAATTTTCTAAGAACCCTATAATTCACCCTAGGCATCACACAATTCTTGAGAGGATAGTTTAAACCCTGAGATAAACTCATGGAGGACAGAAATGTTGGAGAGAAGCAGATGACCAAAAATCTTATCTTAGGAAATACACAGTTAAGAGACAGAAAGAGTAAAGATAATGTTAGATAAAAGAGTTAGAAAATGATATAGATAAGAGAATAAACTAGAATTTTTTTTTCTAGTGAAGATAGAAGTAAATCAGTGTTATGATGTTCTTTAAGAATTGAAAGGGTTCTCTAACAGGGAATGCTGACTTGATACGTAGAAATAAGAGAGGCTCTTGCATGTTGGGTTTACCAAAAGAACCACAAAAAGTCAGGGTCACAAAAGAGTGTTATGGTAGTAACACCCGAAGGAGAGATGTAAAAAGATATAAGGAATTAAACAAGTCCTTATGACTGTTCTACCATCTCTATGGCTAAAGGGCTACTAGGAACAAGCATGAATGCAAATGTTTGGAGAAAACTCAAATAGGTATGGAAATAAGACGACCAATATTGTTTACTATTCTTGGTCTTTTGCCTTGTCATAAATACACTTTACAGACCTCATCTTTCCAGAAAATAAATTTATTATATGACTCTTTAATATTTAAAGATATTTAGGAAAATATAATTTTTCCCAAAAAGCTTTTATAACAAATTGATACCTCCGAAGTAAAATCAAAAGAAAGTCAACACTTTTCTATTCCTTTGATGGGGGAGGAAAAAAATAGAAGAAGGCTTTGACAAAGAAATGCTTTTACTGTTCAAAGGGGACTTGTCTAGGAAACTGAACATATTAGCATCTGTTGCTTGAGTTTTCCTTTCAAAGTGAAATTAAGCTGAGTAGTAATAGTCTCTTACCTCCCGACTTCTTTAAATAAATACATTCAAACACCAAATCTTGCCTTGTGACATGAGGTTTAAAGATTCTTTTGCCTTTAATGAGATCAGGGCAAATGAAGGAGTAAAAAATAATATGTTAATGAGGGGAGGGAGTAGAGGCAGCCAGGTGGCCCCGGGATGTAAAAAACTTTTATTCTTCACCTTTGTGTAGAGAGTTCCCTTCATTTGTTAATCTCCTTGCATTTTTTAAATGCATAAAAGACCATATGGACTTCCAATTGTATAGGCACTTTGACTTAGATGTTTATATTGCTTCACCAGGAATTTACATTTCCTTATTGTGGAGTCAGCCATCAGGGATTGCTTCCTCTAGGACTATAAACCAGAAGACTGATTCTTTGATCAACTTACATTCTCCGAATCCTATTCTTCCTTGCAGCTCCTCGTTGCCCACGAATCTCTTGTTTATTCCCTTAGTTTAATCGAGAAATTTACTAGATCTGGGTCTTCCTCTCCAGCTCATGTTTTTCTTGGCTTTATTCCAACTATTCAGCCTAGACATCAAGTATTACTGTTACATAGAACCAATGTTAATTTATGTTTACCCATGTAGTTAAATTAAAATATTTTTTTAACCAGTGTTTTTTGGTGTCTTAAACCTACACTCTGAAATCATTTTCTTTCTACCTGGATTATGTCTTTCTGAATTTTCTTTAGTAAAAGCATGTTGGTGATAAACAATTTTAGGTTTTAGATATTTGAAAATTTAAAACTCCATTCACAACCTGAATCGTGAATTTTAAGTTGATGACTATTGTCTTTTAGAAGATTAAATTATCATATTACTGTATATGGTGGCTTTCACTGATGTTGGCAATTAGCTATCAGCCTAATTGTCCTTTCTTCATAAGTGATCTTTTTGACATGAATATTTTTAGTATTTTTTTCTTTTGCTTTGGGTTTCTTTAATTTCACTATGAAATGTCTAAGTGTGGATTTCCTTTTATGCGTATTTTCACTGCTTCCTGGATCTGAGATTTACTATCATATAGCTGTAAAACTCTCACATATTATTTCTTTGAATAGTGCATTTTTTCCAATTTTTTCCCATTCTTTTTTGAGGAAAATGAATTGTATATATGTTAAAACAATTCCTCTTTTTTCTATATGATTTATTTCACTTCTTTCAAGTTCAATAGAGTTTTCTTTGCGGAATCCAGTCTGATAGTTTTGGGGTCTAACTCTTTTGATCTATGTTCAATGCATTGGGTTTCAAATTTTTAATTATAGTTTTTATTTCTAGATTTTTGCATTTTTTAAAACCTGTTGGTTTGTTTATTAAGTGCTACTCATATTTTTATAGTTGCTTTCTCTGGGATACATTCCATATGCGGATTTTGTATGCTGAAGGTGAGATCTCCGAAGTCTGAAGCATCCATGGGTCTGGCCCTGCTCTTTGTCGCCTGTGCTGGCTCTCACCCTCCATACTTCACAGCCTTGGGTGTTCTGTAATCTTCACTGGGAATCTCAAAGTCTTCCCACTTCAACCGTGAGAGTTCTTTGAAGCCTAGGTTGAAATTCCATTACTCTTCATTTCTTAAAATAAAAAGCTTACTATTACTTCTGAAAATGCTTGAAAATAATAACACCTAAGACAGCTGTAAATTAAATAACGCTTCTTGAAGTTTCTGGAATACACAGATTAACATTAATTTACACCTCAAACATACTTGAGGTGTGAGTGATGTGTGATTTTTGAATTTTAAGGGGAATTTTTTCCCCTTCTGTCTGGAATCTACGATAAACACAACCAAGTGTAATTTATGTCTGTTTTCTTTGACTCATCTTCGGTTCCTGTAAGAGACGAAAATAAAAGAATAATGGAGACTGATTATTTTTATAAGGTCAATATACCCGGTGTCTCTTGGAATTCAAGTATGAAAAATATTTCAGGGCAAGATTAGTTCAAATGTTGTTGATATACAAGTTAGATGAAGAATGGGAATTTGTCTTCATGTTAAAGATTTTGAAAATATGGTAAGAAAAAAATCATGGATGGGGAGGGCTCAAGGGAAAATGTGAAAATTTGAATTTAAAACAACAAATCTGTGCAGTAGTTTGTGGCGATCTGCCTTAATAGAAGTTTGGGGTAGTTGAAGAAGCAGCGATAAGTGGGAACTGGAGTTTAAGCGTAGTAAGAGGGGGATTGTTCTTTTTTAAAATGGTAACAAATAATAATTGTGATTCAGTAGTAATGCAGGAAAGGAAGAAACACTGTAGCAAATGCCTAGAAAGAGCCAGAGGGAGGAGGACCTGCTGGACAAGAGGAAAGGCTGGTGTGAGTGAGGATCACAGACACCTCATCTGTATCCACGGAGAGAAAGGCAGAGGGTGTTGCAGATATGGGATAGTTGTGTTATATGGGAGAGCCTGTGGATGTTCTCTCCTACTTACATCTGTTTTCTCAGCTGTGAGTAAAGATTGGGGAGGAGGTGTTAGAGGTTTGAAAAGAGAAGATGTGAAATGGTAGATTTAGGGGCTAGGAAAGGGAATGGGCCAAGTAAACTTAAAATGAGCTCTGAGTAAGTTGTGGGGTCATACAAGCATTAAACCTGAGTGTGGATCACAGCCAAGTAGGATATGACCTTACCGGGGGAAAGAATGGATGAGCAAGTTGCATGTGGGTAGGAGGAGGTGCAAAGATTAAAAAAGAACCAGGTAGAAAACAGCTGTCATAGAAGGTTAATAGATAATAACAAATATTAATTTGTAAAAAAGGAACTGAATACACAAAGATTCAGATGCAGAAGCTAAAAATGGTTGCTTCTAAAAAGGACTGAATTTCATGTTCAAATCTGATAGAAGTAGTTGATTCTTTAAATTACATATATGAATAACTTTGATACACCAAATCTTAAATGTATATTTTCATATATAAAACAAATATTAAAAATAATAAGAAAAAAGCATATGCCTATTTGTATATATACAAATATGTAAGTTGTGTGGTTGACTGTTTGAATAAATATGTATTTATTTGTTTACAATTCATGTCCTGCTTAATGCCAAAAATGATCTGAACTATTAGCTGAATTGCCAAGTCTCTAAAATAAAGCATACCCACAGCAGTGTGTAGACGTACATTTCAGGGAACAGCGATGTCAGCTAGACTCACCCACCTAATTATTAAAACTTAGTAAGAAAAATAAGGTTTTTTTTTTTCTTTTCAAAAGACATCTGGCACTCCATGAATCAAGCAGTTAGAGCTGAAAAAGTAGCAGCATCAATTACAGAGAAAAGTGCAGTTTTTCTCACCTATCAATTATGGAAATAGAGTGCTACAATTTTTTCAGCTAAATTTTCCTAATTAATGTATCAAGATCATTGTTACTATCATCTTTTAACAAGATTATACATATGAAGTTCTATGGGTTACCCTCCTGTAAAACTATTGCTAATTTCTAAGAAATCGAAAGTTAAAAACCAGTAAGTGTGTTGGAAAATGATGCTAGCAGGTCCCATGATCTTTGGGGAAGATTGATCTGCACAGGATGATTCTGTCTTGAGCACTGAGCTCTGGAACTCCTATCAGGTGTAGCTTTCATTAGTGGACCAAGCAGTTCACTGATGTTCCTACCGTCCTAGGTTCCTGGGGCCTACATGACTTATGCTTATAACAGAGGGAGAGGATTCGTGGATTCTCCTCAGGCTTTTTGTAGATCATGGTGAAAAGTGGGTTGCTACACAATAACATGAACCCTAGTGGTTTTCATGCAAGGCGTTCTGAGAGTATGAAAAAAGAGCTGAATTAATCTCCATAACATTCCCTGAAGTTTATTGTATACCCAGGGCCTTAGTTATAATTTCAAACCAAGAACAAGGTTCTCCTGTGTGTGACATCCAATGAGCCATGAAAGGAACTGAGTGCGTTCACTGCCCTGGAGAAATTCCAGCAGCTTCTCCGCATGAGATCAGTATATAACAGATGGGACCAGGGTGACTGATTTAATTAGAATATTTTAATAGCAGAATTGTGAACATTACACAGCTCTATCAGGAAGAAGGCCATTAAATTTACTAAAGTAATTGTTTCATTGGGAGAATATGTCAAATAAAATATATCTACTTGTTATATATATACATTTAATTTGAAGAGAACTTCAAAGGATGATTAGGAAAATGAAGTCATTATATAACATATGATGATTATCTAAATCTTTATGAGAAATGAATCTTTAAAGCTACTCAAATATTTGTCTTGTCTTATTCACTGAAGTATCCTGCTGCTTTAAGCTCCTTTTGACCTAGTCGCTGATGTCCTCCAGACTTGAGAATGATACATTAGAAGAGGAAGAGCTCTTTCAGTCTGTTCAGAAAATAGAGATTTTTGTGACATGAAGGCAGTTTATAAAATATACAGCATTTATCTAGAGTTAGTGGACTCTTAAGGGAAGAGTAAAACAAAACTACAATTTTCAAAGGTAGATAATATACTGCATTATGTTTTAAAATTAATTTTATGAAAGCAGAAAGCAAATTAGTCTTAAATTTGTGTTATTTAAACATAACATATTTGAATGCTTTTATTAATTTTGCTGTTAGCCTGAAATTTATACTTACATCACAAAAGATCAGTATCTCTTAAAATATTATTTGCTAATTCTGGTAGATACTATATATATATTATCTCCCATATAGTATCTATTATAATTTGAATAAATCCATATTTTAATAAATCCTATAATAGAGCATACCTTCCTATTATAATAAATGGTTAATATAACACAAGGCTTAGCAGCATGGTGTTTAATGGAAAGTGTATTAATAACATAATAGAATTCATGTCAAATAACCTTATAAAACCTCTTGTTCAGTTTCTAGTCAAAAAGCAAAGAAGAACAAAAAAAAATCCCCCTTTTTTTACTAAAATAAACTCAGTCTTATTCATGTATACCCGAGAGAATATTTTTTTCTTTTTTTTTCAGAAAACAAAATAATCAACATGGGTTTAAGGGGGAGATAAAATGATCTACTTATCTATCTATCCATCAACCCATCTATATCTATCTCAATACCTAGGGGTCTGTATTAGTCCATTTTCATACCGCTATGAAGAAATACCGAAGACTGGGTAATTTATAAAGAAAAAGAAGTGTGATGGACTCACCGTTCCACATGGCTGGGGAGACCTCACAATCATGGTAGAAGGCAAAGGAGGAACAAAGGCATATCTTACATGAAGGCAAGGAAGACAGTGTGTGCAGGGTAACTACTCTTTATAAAACCATCAGATCTCATGAGACTTATTCACTATCACGAGAACAGCATGAGAAATACCTGCCCTCATGATTCAATTACCTCCCATTGGGTTCTTCCCATGACATGTAGGGATTATGGGAGCTCCAATTCAAGATGAGGTTTGGGTGGGGACCCAGCCAAACCATATCAGTGCCTATTAACAGCTTTCTTTTGATAAAATAGGAAGGGTGGTAATAGTTTTCATAGTAACAAAGTTTTATGTTTTATCTTTTTGAAATAATGTATCTAATCATTAAAATTCTTTAAAAAATTCTTTAAAAAGAATTCACTCAGCACCTTATCATTTAAAATACAATGGTAACTGCTTAGTATTAAATACCAGAGAGATATGAGAATGAAACAGTTGAAGGGCAAACTCCTAGATGCCTCGACTACAATATACAGTGTCCGGGAGAGACTTTTACTGCTAGAAACCAGAAGTACCATAGAGTCAAAGTTGCTATGAAGAGACTGGAAATAGTTTAGTTCAGACCCAAAGCTCAAGTCAGCTATAAAATTTATCTTAGTGTCCTAGCGCAAATCAGATTCCAAGTAGAAGACAAAACTCAGTGAGCTATTATTGTAGATGGCATATTTTCCAGTTAAAGCTACTGTCGACTTGTGCCATGACTTCCATAGGAGGCCCATTGAAAAACAATCCCCTGGATCATTGCATGGACTTGCCCAGTGGCTGGTAGTAATAGATTTAGGTGGTATTAAATAAATAATTGATAAACGTATGAATTTTGTTTGCATTTGAACATTAGCAGACCATATAAATTAGGAGTTCTCTGTAAGTCTGTATTGATATAAATCTTACCGAAGCTAATAATTCGAACAATGTAAATGCAAGAGAGCATCTGAAACTAATATCCGATCAGAGTGTGGTAAAGGGAGCATACAGACCCCAAGTGGGCATGGTAAGCTAAGAATTGCATCAATTTTTTTATGTGAGAAGAACCAAAGATTAATCAGTATCACTTTGTATGTTACCTGTATTTTGATATCCAATATAGTCATTTCTGATTAATTGTTTAATAAACTGCCTGTGGTTCTCACATCATGTTTTAGTCAAGGAAGGTTCTCATTAATTTTAAACAATAAAGCTCTGATTTAAAGAACATTTTTCATTGTTCCTAAAGGGCACAATAAACAATTGCAGTCCAACCCTCTAGTGCCAAGAATGATGGAGAAAGGCAGGGGTAGCTGTAAAGTACGTGACCTTATGCAGTCTGCACCATACCCACCCAATGCCAGGTGATGTCTCTTTCTTTCTCACGTCTCCCCCTCATTTCATGGTTTCCCTACCTCTAAAATTTCTCCTTCCCCAGATATGTAACAGCCTAGAGTCTGAATATTATAGTGTAAAAAGCCCTGTTCTTTATTTCCATCCTCTCTGTTACAAATGCAGTTATTCTGAGGAAAATCTTTCTAAGACGTGTCAAAGATAAAAAAAATTGGATCATGTCTTCATCTTCTTCTTAGGACTGATTCTTTGCTAATGCAGTCATAAGCCACAAAAAAAGTGTGCCATCTGAAAATCACTTTCCCATTTTTCTCTTTAAAATATATGACAAAGAAAATCATTATTTATATTGCCAACAACAGAAATAGTGTTGGGCTTTTGCACTCCTCTGTAAATTTTTATTGAATTAATGAAGGAATTAAGCCAACCAAATATTCTGTACCTATGTGCAGACTCAATAACATTAAAGCAATCTAAAAAAAAGTGTGGTGACGTAATGTCTATTATGTGCAGGGTTTTTAAAAATGAATGAACCCTTTTACGGCCGGGCGCGGTGGCTCACGCCTGTATTCCCAGCACTTTGGGAGGCCGAGGCGGGCGGATCACGAGTTCAGGAGATCGAGACCATCCTGGCTAACACGGTGAAACCCCGTCTCTACTAAAAATACAAAAAAAAATTAGCTGGGCGTGGTGGCGGGCGCCTGTAGTCCCAGCTACTCGGGAGGCTGAGGCAGGAGAATGGCGTGAACCCGGGAAGCGGAGCTTGCAGTGAGCCGAGATCCCGCCACTGCACTCCAGCCTGGGCGACAGAGCGAGACTCCGTCTACAAAAAAAAAAAAAAAAAAAAAAAGGGAATGATCCTTTTTAACTATATACTCTAGTGGAGAGACAAGATATATAAATTTGAGTAAAGAAAAGTAAATTAGGAAGTGTCATTAGGCCGGGCACGGTGGCTGATGCCTGTAATCCCAGCACTTCAGGAGGCTGAGGCGGTAGGAGGATCATTGAGCTCAGGAGCTGGAGAAGAGCCTGGGCAACATGGCAAAATCTCGTCTCTACTAAAAATACAAAAATTAGCCAGGTGTGGTGGTGCATGCCTGTCTGTAGTCCCAGCTACTCGCGAGGCTCAGGCTTGAGAATCCCTTGAACCTGGGAGGCAGAAGTTACAGTGAGCTGAGATTGCACTACTGCATGCCAGCCTGGGCAACAGCAAGACTCTGTCTCAAAAAAAAAAAAAAATGTGTCATTAGATGGCACAATAACATTCAAATGAAGGACTATTTAATTAATACTATGACTTTGGAAATATGAGAGACTGTAGATGGTCTGCAGTTTTGTTCAAAGACTTCGGGGAGATCAAGTTATCAAAATGATTACATTTGGCTACTGAATTGTTTAGCTAATTGTATATTTACAGTATGCATTGTAATTACCAGGTGACATCATATGCATTTTTGTCAATACTGACAAACTTTAAAGCGATAGTCCAAGAAACTGTCAATTACCATTTCTGAAAGAAAATTGGAAGCGACTTTTTAATGGCCAATTCAGAGATATTAATTAATATCCTAGCATCTCAGAATGATTGTGGACAGTTCAAATCCCATCTAGCTTATGTTATGTAAATGCAGCCTTCAGTTTTCTCTCATGCTTTGGAAACATTATATGAATATTATATATGTTTATATGTATAAATAGATGTTATACTATATTGTGTATGTTAAATAAACATCATATATGTGCGTATATACAGTATTCTATGTGTCTTGTAATTATTTTATGTTAAAAGGAGTTCTGGAAAGCTCTCATTTAGACTAAGAATCTGACCACTTTATCAAACAGCTTCACATTCTTTAATATTCTTTGCCTTATATCCTACATTCCATCATTTCCGGTGTCAGCAATTTAGAGACATGGGTTGCTTTTCTTCTCTAAAGTATTCAAGCATCTTGTAATATAGTGTGCATAGTGCTTTCAATAAGCAGCTATCTGAAAATAACACTTGGGGTTCCATACACACAGACACACAGAGCAGGCATTTCTAGATCAAGCGTGTTAGAGTCTGAATATGAAGTCACATTATTTAGTGTTTATTGTGTGCCTTATAGAGAAACATTAAGACTGGATAATATTGGCCAGGCACGGTGGCTTACGCCTGTAATCCCAGCACTTTGGGAGGCTAAGGCGGGTGGATCATTACGTCAGGAGATCGAGACCAGCCTAACCAATATGGTGAAACCCCATCTCTACTAAAAATACAAAAATTAACCAGGTGCAGTGGTGGGCGCCTGTAATCTCAGCTGCTAGGGAGGCTGAGGCAGGAGAATTGCTTGAACCTGGGAGGCGGAGGTTGCAGTGAGCCAAGAGCGTGCCACTGCATTCTAGCTTAGGCGACAAAGCAAGGCTCCATCTCAAAAAAAAAAAAAGATAAGATAATATTAACATTACATTACGTTACCTTATTTGATCCTCATAACTCTGTAATGAACTGGGTCTCAATTTCTTAAATCATATTTTATTTAATAGCATTGCAATGGAGATTTTAAGTGCTGTTTAACTTTAACACTAATTCTCTTTCCACTATAATCCCCCTAAAAGATCATTTAACTTAACCCATTCATTTTACACAGGAGAAAACTAAAGAGCTGAATGTTTAAGTAGCTTGTCCTTTCCCACATAATTGGCATAGCTGAAGTTTCACACAAAACTAACTGATGAAGAAATTTCGCTTGAAGGACCAGTAGTAAAAAGAACATATTATTAAGCACAGATAGTACCTCACTCATCTAATATGTCTATAAATTTTCTTTGGTTGTTTTCTTCTCTAATCAAATGTGGAAGTGACCTAAGCTGAAAATGGCAAGCTTCCGGAGATATTTTTGAAGTCTAACATATACAGCCCCTGTCTCTTGAAAATAAGCCTGTTTATGGCTGCTAGTTTATTCATGGTGGAAAAATTTTGAATTTTTGCTGCTTTTGTTGTTGTTGTTTTTAGACGTCAGCTCAGATTTTATAAGAAATGACTCTTTTTGACATTAGGATGAAGCGTGAAGCAATCCATTTCCCAGGTAAAAAAACAAAAAACAAAACAGAACAAAAAAACTATAGGCTCATCTTAACTCTGGCTTTCTTAAAATAGGATCTACCAAATCTTAAGGGGTCTATGCATGGACCTTTGGAGGCTGATGAACTTGGATAAGAGAAAAAAAATGCATCATTATTTTTACTATCCTATAACTGAAATTTAGCATTTACTTCCATGTTAAATGTAATCAATAAACCATGGTAGTACTAGCAATTCTGGATGACTTTGCTACCCATGGAAATCAAATAGAAACTTTCATATTACATTCAGGTTATCGATGATATTGAAAGTTTTGTACTCACCACTACTTTGAGATTATAAAAATTATTAGTTGTTAATAGTTATTTCTTTGTAATCCCATGTATGTTATTTTATATGTTTAAAAACATTAAAGATCCATGATGTTCACTTGATTACAAAAAGGATCCATGGCCAAAAAAGCTAGGAATTCAGTATTAGCAATGCTCCATACATGTTTATCTCTTTCTGGAATCAATAAGTATGAACCCGTAGTGTAATTAGTGGCCTTTTATCTCGCCCAAGTTCTCTCAAAGTTGGAGTAGAAGCTAAATTCTGGATTTGTCTCTTCCTCTTCTTTTTCTCTCTGAGAGCTGAACTCAAGCAATCATTAATAATTTATTTGCCACAAAATAGGGAAGTTACTAACTTCTGGAAGACCTAATACTGAGACTTTACTTTTATTTTTATGAAAAGCCTGAACTCAACTTCTATAGTATTGTTTACAAGAGAATATTACAATACATCTGCTCAAAGTCTGCATATTTTCTCTAATGCCCCAGTTTCTATAGCTAATAGTTTTGTGCACTAGAATGTCTTGAACCTCTCCCACAATTTTCTTTCACTGGTAGCACCACTCCAGTTTTGAGACAACAGTGACATTGAACTAAAGCCTAGCACCTCAGAAAGGAATGGAGCTGAGGCTTCCGAGGAGGAGGGAATCAAATTTAGGGAACCAAGAGTTAGAGACAGGAAGGAAAGGGCACATGGATGCAACATGCTTACGGCTGCACGGGAGTGGGGAGGGACTCCTCAGAGCTTTCCCTAAAATTGCTGGCTTCAAAAAAGGTAATTAACTAGCATTTCACTTTATTATCTTAAAATTGAACATACGAATTCCATGAACACATAATGAAATAAGTCAACGACAGATGATCAGAATATGACAACAAATGGGATTTGTTATAAAATCATCATTTAAAAAATTATATCATATTGACCATTTATCAATTTTAGTAGAGACAATCTTCCTGATATGTTATAATCTGGCTGTGTCAGATACACTGAGCTTCTTGGAACACATGGTTATAGATTCAACTCCCATTTGGTCCAGTGAACTTTGTGTGAATTGGGGCCACAGCTGCATCCCAATCAAGGCAATTTATCTTATAATTTTTACTACAGGTCTCTGAGAAAATTCAATAGAAGAGTTTGGTTAGATGGGTATAGCTCCATTATCATTAGCAGAAATTTAGACCATGTTATTCACAAACAGTGATTAATGTTTTCTTCTTAAGAGTCCTCCTTAAAAATTTATATTAGATAGAGCTCTAAAGTATAGAATAAATCATTAAAAGTGGAAGCGGAAATGACTGACCTGTATACTTAAGAACACTTAAGTTGTTAAATTGTGTTATGTGTATTTTTCCACAATTTAAAAACTAAATATGGAAGCGGAAAGAGCTGTCAGTTACTGTTCACATTGGTTCTGTTGAAGACATGAAGTTTTGATCTCAATTTGCCAACCTAAAAACTATTTTCCAGTTACAATTTTAAACTCTGTAGAGGGGCACTGAATAAGATCTTCTGCTCACAGCATTGGACATTTCAACAAACACATTTTAAAATATATGTTTAGCCAGCATTTTGGCCATTTTATAAAGTTAAAGATAAGTCAAATTGGACTTTATTTCTCAATGACACAATTAAAAATAATGTAGAAGTGTCAAAGGAAAACTAAACCCAATTCCAGTACATTATTTAAATGTGGATATCTTAGGATGACACCTTGTCAATCTGTGATTCAGCCCATTTCACATTTTCTTCCATTCTTTTATAGTCTCTTAAATTCCAGGAATCTATGGTATTATCATAGTATTTAAGAAAACATGTTGTAACATTGTTACCTTCTGCCCCTGCCTGCACGTATGCAAACCTAACTCAATTAGCCTGGTATTGAAGCACCTGCCATGAGATCTGTTCCTCATGCTGCAGGCCCCCACCACGGCTCCTAGACATGAGGCCTAAGCACTTAGACACTTGGATTACTTCCCCGCAAAGCAATTCTTCTCCTTCATAGGCCCTCTAGCCTCTACTCCCTCTTTTCCCTACCACACCTTCCCTGTTATCTATTCTTCATGACAAAGAAATCCAAATTCAATGACATGAAACAACAACCATTTTATTATGTTCTTAGATTCTAAGGACAAGGAATTCAGAAGAGGCTGAGTGGGAACAGTTTGCTTTTGCTTTGAGATATTTTGGGCTTCATCTAGAGTACTTGAAGACTGGAGACTGGACTCATCTAAAGGGGTTCCTTTGACTCAGATTTCTGAGTGTTGCCGCTGGCTGTTGGTTGCAATCTCAGCTGGACCTGTTGGCCCAACACCCACATGTAGCCTCTCTTGGCTGCATGAGCTCCTTTATAGCATGGATAGCTGGGTTCCAAGAAAAAAAAGAATCCAAGAGAAACAGGCAGAAGTTGTTTGCTTTTTATGGCTTAGGCTCAAAATATCATAACATCACTTCTTCTATTCATAAGCCCACCAGATTCAAGAAGAAATACTAACCTCATGTCTTCAGGCGAGACCTCTCAGAGTGACACAGTGAAAACAGTAAGGGTAATGAGAGTAATTGTTGCAATCATATTTGAAAAATAGCTTCTGCCACACCTACTGTATGGGAGACTTGCTTCCGTATCTGCACCAGGCCAGGTTTATCAGAATTTTCTGGAGCTACTGTCAAACTCATAACCTGTATCTATTTTATTGATTTGGCACCACCATACTTAATGTGAAGTTCCACTACCATGTTTGACTGTCCATGGACAGTACATTAAAAATATAGAAGACGCTTCCTCTGCATTCAGGTTTCCCCTAAACTTACAGAGAGTTCAGCCCTTTCTCACAGAGCCCCAAGGAACAGGAGTGTCAGGCCTCTTCCTAGGCACCAGCAGCCTCCAGTGAATCATAGTAACTTCCCTGGATTTCCTCTTCCTGCTTACCCATTGAGACCTTTTTCCCATTACAATGGAAAAATGCCTAATGGATTCACATAATGCCTTTCTTACTCTGCTATCCATCATTTACATTTCTCTGTCTTATAAATGTTTAGTGTCTGGATCCTTGGAATATTCAAATCATTTTTCTTCCCTACAAATCCATATATGTAATTTATATAAATAAAAAGTGCACTTGAGACTTGCTCTAACTATGGATTTTTAAAGCCTATTTGGAACTTAAAGCCAATTATTTTACTGTTCATATTCTATTTTTTTGTTCTGTTTTCCTGGGGATAATAAGCTCAGTATTATTTTAATATTGGAGGAATGGTGTCTAGTGAAAAAAAAGTAAGGAAAAGACAAATGAATACATTTAGAAATATTATCCTGCTGCATTTGCATATGACATATTGGACAATTATATACTGAGGCAGAAAGACTATAAATTATATTGACCATTACACTTTCAATCACATTTGGTAATGAATAAGCTTCCTAATATAAATGCAAATAATATTTATTATCAATAAGACATTCTAAAATATATTAATCTAATTCTGAGACAAGTGAAATTCATAATAGCCTTTATATTCTTGATTGTTTAAGATATAAATAATCTCTACTTTGTGTAAATATTCAGGTTGTACCAGATATAACAGCATCCCAGAAATACTTACTAAGTTTTGCATTATATCATTTTTGTTGTCTAATGTGATGCAACTTCTATTTGTTGTATTACTGTATATTGTGACTTTTTAAAATATGTGAAAATGTTACCAGGTTCAAATCCAACTGCTATAATGCAAGTCTTATCAATTGGATGAGCTTGCACTAAAAATGATGTGAATTAGGTGTCAAGTCTTCACAGTAGAAAATTATGAGATGTATCTTGGACTTGCTGATTGATGTTTTTGCACCTCTCTAAAATTCTGGCATGTGTAAGTTGAGAATATATATCTGGGTGAATTTTCTGTGATAATTTTATTTACACAGATTATTAAACACATAGAAATTAGTTATAAGAGTAGATTTAGAGATTGTGATTTTAACCTAGCCAGACACTGACTGAGAGGTTTTCACAAAATGTTTGTCTACAGCAGAGGACTTATATACTAAAAACAATTCTATTAATAAAAAATAAAAGTAATGGTTGAAGAAGTCACATTGAAGTGACTGTTGAAGTCAGAAGGAATTTCTGAAAATGATCCGCAATAGGAAAATAAGATATTTCTTAAAGTTTTAATTAGACTGAATATTTTCTGACAGGGCTTGCACACACATAGACATACACAGAAAGAGAGAGATGGAGAGAGAAATGTGGATAGGGAGAGAGAGGATAAAAACAGCTAAAATAAATGTAAAAAAAAAACAAAAAACACTAGATGAGCAATTTAAGGAAGAAAAAGGCCCCAATCTTCACTTCTGTTTCCGAAATAATACTTCTCAAAACATTGTTTACGGACTCCTGGGTCCCCTAGCTACATCCATGGTGATGGCCCATCTGTTTTCATAAGGATGGTAGATCTTATGTGCCTGTTTTACGGTGCTGACATATGCACGGATGGTGCAGAAGCAATGTGGGAAAAATGCTGGGCCTTTGCATGAATGGAGGGAGGGACACCCAGCCACTGGTAGCCATTGTATTCTTCCCAGCCAGGAACCAGCAGGAAAAACAAACACAAAAATTAAGAATGCCCTGGATGAAACATGAAAATCATTAGTTTATTCAGTCTCAGCTCTCCAGTCACAGTGTTTTAATGTTCTGTGTGATGAAATGGGAAGAGCTCTCAAGGCTGCCCCACAGCATAATGAAGTATGATGATTGTTCTCTGGCGCGTGTAATTGTCTAAGTTGCAAGCTAGACTAGCTGCATCTTTTGCATGAAGCACCATTTTTCCTTGAAAGAAAAACTGACAGAAAACCTATGGTTATTCAGAGGTGGGTATTTTGCAGACATTTTCTTGATAGTGAATCAAGAAAGTGAACCTGCCACTTTAAGAAAAACATCTGATAGTATTTGTTGTCAATGATAAAATTCAAGCTTTCACATGGAAATTAGAAATGTGGAAAACTTATATTCACTACTGTGAGATTGACAATACCTAACTCTTAAATATTTTTCTGGTTATAGAGACGATAAAATTAATGAATGTGATACTAGATATTATACAGTGAAAAGTGTCAGCATTTGAAAGATCAGCGTAATTTAGTAAACTGTACTTTCTGATGTAGTGAAGTGTGTCAGCATTTGAAAGGTCAGTATAACTCAGCCAGTACTTTCTGAATAATCTGTGCATTACATAACAAATCACGCATGGGTAAATAATCCCAAGTGCAAGATAAAGTGGGTGAGGTGGCTTACGCCTGTAATACCAATTCTTTGGAAGGCCAAGGTGGGAAGATTGCTTGAGCCCAGGAGTTTGAGACCAGCTTGGGCAACAGAATGAGACTCTGTCTCTACAAACATTAAAAAAAAATCAGCCTAGTGTGGTGGCGCTCTTGTGGTCCCAGCTACACCGGAGGCTAAGGCAGGAAGATTTTTTTGAGCCCAGGAGGATGAGGCTGCAGTGAGCCATAATTGCTCCACTCCACTTCAACCTTGACAACAGAGCAAGACCTTGTCTCAAAAAGCAACAAAGAAATGCAAGATAGACGAATGAATTCGAATATAACAGTACAAAAAATAGTGATAATGTTTTCTGATTCCACATTTCAATTGCTATTTAAAAATTACTACTTGTCAAGTTTTGGTATAGTATTAAAGAAGAATGTCCCTGGTTATTTGCAAAAGTCTATTAAAATGCCCTCTTCCCTTTTTCAGTTGCATCTGTGTGAGATTGGATTTTCTTCATATACTTCAATCTAAACAACTTATGGCAATATAATGAATACAGAAGCAGATATAAGAATCAAAGTATTTGTTTTAAGACAGACATTAAAGAGATTTACAAAAATGTAAAACAATGTTCTCAGTAAGCTTCTAGTCTTGGAAAAAATAGCATGTTTTTCCTAAAACATGTAATCGTTATTTTAATTTTTCTCAGATTTAATTTTTAATATAGTAAGTATCAATAGATACAACCCACCACAAAAGCTCTTGGGATTCTCAATGCTTCTTAAGAGGGTAAATGTATACTGAGACAAAAAAATTGTACACTACTGTTTTAAACAATTTCATACCATTTATTTATAGGGAAGATTGTTTGATGTAGTTTGGGTGCTTATCCCCTCCAAAACTTATATTGAAATGTGATCTCCAATGTTTTAAGTGTGGCCTAGTGGGAGGCTTTGGGTTCTGGGTGTGTGGATCTGTCATTACTGTCTTGGTGTCTTCTCTGTAGTAATGAGTGAGTTCTCACTCTGTTAGTTCATGCGTGAGCTGCTTGTTTCAAAGTGCCTGGCATCTCTCTTGCTCCCTCTCTTGCCATGTGACATGCCTGCTCCCGCTTTGCCTTCTTCCATGAGTAAAAGCTTCCTGAGGTCTCACCAGAAGCCATGCTTCCTGTACAGCCTGCACAACCGTGAGCAAATTAAACCGCTTTTCTTTATAATTTACCCAGCCTCAGGTATTCTTTCATAGCAATGTAAAAGAGACTAATACATTGTTGATACATCTGAACCACGTGGTCTTGTTACATCTATAGACTATTTTGTTTTAGTTGTTTGATTTTCTCACTATTCTTCTTTAGTCCCCTCTGCATAGTTTTAATGTTGGTGTTTCCTAAAGTTCACTATTAGCCTTCTACTTCTTCTCCTATTCTCCCTGGTGACGGTTGGAAGAGATGCTCTGTCTTCCTTGGATTGTCCCTGTGTCTTCTTACTGAGTAAGTCAAGAGCACAGAGCTATAAACACTTTCATCCCAGGAATTTATTTGGGTTGTGCTTTCAGTGAGTTACTCTGAAAAATGACATGAAATCTCCTCCCATGGTAAGGACAAACTGCCTTATGCTTTCTACAAAAGCACTAGATTCTTCAAGCTCAATGCTTTTCTCCTGCAATGCAAACTGCTGTGTACAAGTGTCCATCACAGGCCCACTTGCCTCACCCCGATGGGACTTAAGACAGCAGCATGGGGAAGTGAGGGAAACAGACATGAAGCTCTGGCTGCTGCGGTTTCTCTTACCCAGGTGCCTGGGTCTTCTTGTGTCTTCTGCCAGCATCTACGAAACTCTGGCTGGTAAACTTATGAACTTGCAAGCAGGATGAAACCATAGACACTTATAGTTATTTTGTTTTATTATTATTATTATTTTGAGACAGGGTCTTGCTCTGTCTCCCAGGCTGGAGTGCAGTGGTATGATCACAGCTCACTGCAGCCTTGAACTTCTGGATTCAAGGGATCCTTCCACCTTAGTCCCAGTAGCTGGGCCTACAGGTGCATGCCACTACACCCAGCTAATTTGTTGTTGTTGTTGTTGTTGTTGTTAAAGATGGGGTCTTGGTCTGTTGCTCAGGCTGGTCTCCAACTTCTGGCCTCAAGAGAGCCTCCTGCCTCAGCCTCCTAAGTAATCTTGCCCATCTCTTGACAGTGATCTCTTCCTCACCTATGGTTTCCCCCTAAAAATCTGAAAGTCCAATGACTCCAAAATTTATGATTTTCAACTGGATTGCTTACTAAAACAATAGGACAAAGGTACAGTTCATGCCCTATTTGTCCAGTTTAATTATGTCATGGAATTAATTTCCTCAATGATTGTAACTTCCTTGATCTAGAGGGGGTCATACCATATAGATCTTCTGTATTCTTTTGTTGCCCTGAATTCGGTATTAGATCATAGCTCCACTTTAGTAGACCCTCATTAAGAGTTAGTTATCAGTGATAATATTTCCTCCTTTGGCGCTCCAGTATCACCTAAAAATTCTCAAGCAATAATTCAAAAGTAAATTACTTCCCCAGATCCCACAGTTCCTTGATGTTTTTTTCTTTTCTCCCATGATTTCCAGAAATATAATTAATTTAGCCTGAGAGTTTTTACAAGTTGCAGCCTCAGCCCATGGCCTTTCCAACAATGTACCCCTGAGAGTGTCTGGAAACTTAGTTGAGCAGAAAACTTAAGCCAGACCTTCTGTTTGAACGCACCAAATGCGACACGCTATTTCCCAGAGAGAGCTCTCTGCTTGCTCCTGGTGTGACCATGGCTCAAAGCCAAGCCTTGCTGCAGACATATTACCCCTCAGTGAGGGAGAAAAACTATCTCATGTAACAACTGTAGCTATGGTTTTAGAATCCTGATTATTAACAATTTTTTTTCTGAGTGAAAAATTTAAAAAAAGTGACATTTAATATCCTAATTAAGGCTTTGGTAGTTTCTTTAGAGGGCATCAACAGGGTATTTGTACAGATCACAAGCAACCTCTCTTTGAACACAGAGGACGCTATACAAAGCTAAATGTTAGTCTGAGATGACAACCAAATATGATATTTGTATTTCAGCGGCACACACACACATACACACATACACACACGAAATCATGTGTATGTATTCTTTTACCTATTTCATACAAATGAGAACATAATATATAATTATATTTCATATAATATACATGCAATAGGTAAAATAATACACGTACATATTATACACATTGTTGTATAATATGTCCTCATGTGTTGTTAAAATTCTATCCTTGCAATATTGCCTCTGAATCTACAGACAGCTTCTTTATTTCATAATAATATCAAGGAGGAGTCATTGCATATCAGTGATGTCACCTGATTTCTTACTGTACATTCTTGCAAAACCAAGCTTGGGGTCCCTCAAACCAGGATTTCCTCTTCTAGATATTTGTTCAGCTTTGTAGTCCTCATGAATTCTCCAGGTTTTTTGTAGTTTCCAAAAATCTCCACTCTGATTTCTACCTCTGCCAGTTGAGACTAGTTAATAAAAGTTTACAGGATGACACATATTCCAGAGTTTAAAATCAGTCCTTAATTTTGATATGATGTTGATATACAGCCCTTTGTAATTGTTAATCAGTAAAACACTTATCCAGCTATCATTCTAACTTCAAGCTTTGTTTGAAATTCAGAGAGTTTGAAAGGTAGAGAATAACGCAAGATGTAATCTGATGGCCCTGAAAAAAATTATTATTGTATCCCTTTAGAAAAGTTTGATTTCTATATCTTTGTAAATATCATCTTGCATTTTACTTAGATTTCAAATCTTTTTAGTAAAAAGTTTTGCTAAAGAAAATTATTATTGTATCACCTTAGAACAGTTGGTGTGATTTCTATATTTTTGTAAATATTGTCTTACATTTCACCCAGATATCAAATCTTTTTAGAAAAAAGTTTTGCTAATTAATTGTCGTTCATTGCTAATTAAGTGTGGCAAGTTAATTTTTATAAGAATCATAAAATCTCTACCAATAAAATTGTGCTCAAGGTATTATTTTGAATTTACCAGTTCTCATTTTGTAAAACTTTTGTTCATGGTTCAAAATTTAAAAATAGATAAAGCGAGATTACTGAATATGAACTATTTGGAAAAATCTTAGTTCATGTTAATACACAATACTACTGGCAATATGTTAATAAAATTTAATACCAGCAGCTCTGGGGTTTGGCCATTGTTACTCATTTTTTAAAAATAGCATACAATAATGGATATTCTCATGATGTTCTATTAAAAAGGTGTAGATGTACATGTATTACAAAATTTTCCTGCTACCTCAGTCTTTTAAACATCCAATTACTCTTGGGACAAACCAAAGTTTGCAGTTTCTGGTATAGCCTTTCCATAGATTTTATGCACAAGCAACACACACACATTCATACATACACACACAAATTCACAGGTGTGTGTTCTTTAACCCATTTTCATACATATAAGAACATATTTTATAACAATGTGGATAATATGTTTTCATATGTTGTTAAAATTCTATCTTCGAAATTATTGCCTCTGAATGTATGAAGAGCTCCTTCATTTCATTTTATGGTGTCGTAAAATACCAGTGTTTTAACTATATCTTTACAAACAGACATTTAATTTTAATTCTTACATTTTTATCACAAGAAAAGGGATGCTTCTACTATCCCAAGAGCAATAGCTTTTGCTACTTTTGATATCACAAGGATGCACTGAAAACCTGCGCAGACATCATTCTGAACAAAACAACATTTGTTGAATAAACTCCAGGAAGTAAAATTGTTGAATCAAAGAGTGTTTACACTTGTTATTTTCATGATTAAGGTCACATTGTCTTGAATAGAGAATGTAATAATTTACAAATCCACCAACAATATATGAACCCTACACCAATACAAGGTTAACAAACATTTTGGTTTTTGTGAAACTAAGTGAAAGAAATGGTATCTAGAAAAAATTATACTGTATTCCTGTTATTTTGAGGAAAACAGTTTTTTTAAAAAATGTAGAAACATAATTATTTAATTTCCTTTGAGTTATTTATTTATCCCCTTTGTCCAATTTTCTCCTTGGCAATTTTTTAGCAATCACTTTTTTAATTTTTAGAAGGGCTTTATATTTTATAGATGATATCTACTGGACTACAGTATGAGACAGAAATAGTTTTTCCCCTTTTACTATTTGTCTTTTGAATTTCTAAAAGTCACTATTTATGGAGTCAAATTTATTATTCTTTTCTTATTTGTATTTGAGGATAAATAAGGTCTTCCCTGGACAGGCTAAACTGCTTTAAAATGAGTGTGGGCAACAAGCTAAGTAGAAAACACATAAATTAAAATCGCCCTGTTCAACATTTAGGAAACCATCTTCTGGAGAATCACATCTTACAGGGATAGATTATTCTCACTTAAATAAGTTCCCATTCTACTGTGGTCTTTCTGTCATGATTCTCCTCCCTTTTTATCTCTTGTGGTCTAATTCTGAAAGTGCCCAAGATACGTTATAGTCACCATGTTTTCCCATTTATATTTGACACATTTCTCCCTCCTTTTAAAAATTATAGCACTAATCACATTTTCTACTGCTTTATCTGAGGATATCTTTCATTATTCATGTGCTAATAACAATCCCAATATTACAAAGACTATGACTTCCACTAAGTGTCTTTATACTATTGAGTTACTCATTCAATGTGATTTTCCCCTATATCAGAAATCAAAAGGAACATTATCAGCTAAATAACTGAAGTGCTGTAGACTGACATTTGTGTTCCACCCAAATTCATATGTTGAAATCCTAAACCCCAATGTGATTGCACTAAAAAGTGGGGCGTGTGGTAGAACCCTGTAACATAAATTCCTCCTATAACCTAATTTCCTGATTAAAAAGTGGGGCCTTTGGTAGGTACTTTATAACCTAATTTCCCACTTTTTAATGTGAGAGTCCACAGGGAGCCTTCATCATTTCTGCCATAAAAGGATTGAGAGGATGGCTTCTATGGACCAGGAAGCAGTCCCTCCCCAGACACCAAATCTGCAGAAATACATTTGTTGTTCATAATCCACCAAGCCTATTAGTATTCTCTTATAGTATACCTAACAAACTAAGACATGAAATCTAAGTTCTAAGAATTAAGCCATATAAAATTCAATAACATAATAATAAAAGCAGAAAACAGTCTGGGTGCAGTGGCTCACACTTGTAATCCCAGCACTTTGGGAGGCCGAGGCGGGCAGATCACCTGAGGTCAGGAGTTTGAGACCAGCCTAGTCAACATGGTGAAACCCCATCTCTACTAAAAATACAAATCATAGCTGGGCCTGGTGATGTGCACCTGTAATCCCAGCTACTCGGGAGGCTGAGGCAGGAGAATCGCTTGAGCCCAGGAGGCAGACGTTGCAGTGAGCCAAGATGGTGTCATTGCACTCCAGCCTGGGCCACAAGAGCAAAACTTGGTCTCAAAAATAAATACATAAATAAATAAATAAATAAGCAAAAATAAACACATCTGTAATAAATAGGAAGCTCATTTTTATGTCATTATTTAAGCCATGGCAAATATTGAACTGTACAGCCTTATATTTCACTCATAATCATTTTTTTCCATATCATACAGAATAAGAACATCATACTTCACCCTTTTACTGTTACTGTTTCTTTTTTTTTTTTTTTTTGAGATGGGGTCTTGCTCTTGTCATCCAGGCTGGAGTGCTGTGGTGCGATCTCGGCTCACTGCAACTTCCGCCTCCTGGGTTCAAGCGATTCTCCTGCCTCAGCCTCCTGAGTTGCTGAGATTACAGGCACCTGCCACCACGCCCAGCTAATTTCTGTACTTTTAGTGGAGACAGGGTTTCACCATGTTGACCAGGCTAATCTCGAACTCCTGACCTCAGGTGATTTGCCCTCCTTGGCCTCCCAAAGTATTGGGATTACAGGCATGAGCCACTGCGCCCCGCCTACTATATCTTAAATTTAGGTTACAGGGTTTCTTTAATTTTAATTTTGGTAGTTTCTCATTTTAAGCCATATTTATCTACCAAATTAATGTGAAAGATGACCTTTTTTTCTGAGATTTTTATATTTCTTGTCAAATTTTAGTACATTTAGTAAAATTGGGACCAGAATACCAAATAGTTCGTTTTAGTTTTGTTTTTTACCTTATCATGTTTTCCAATGTACTTTATATATTCAGGCCACATAAGCAACATAATTTTACAAAAGTGAAGTTTTACAACCTTTGTTTAATACATTGCAGAATAATTTGAGGAAGAGAGAAAAATTTAGTGCAAATAGCACATAAGTGAATATATGACTGCCTGAACATATTAAATTAGAGTTAATTGGGAAACTACTGAGAAAGTAAAACATTAAGAGTCTGCAGTGAGTTACCATTGGAGACATTCAGGAAGTTTAATTCCAAGGGAAAGGGCTCCATATTCCTCAATGCTTTGTCTAATTTAGAAGTTAAAGGATCACAACAAATTCCATCTCGTTTTTGAAAGTCATTATCACTAATGACTCTTTAAAAATGTTTTAAGACAACTTTTATTATGGACATATTTTATTTTATTCTTATAATTCTTATGATAAAAATTCATTCTGTGGCATGTTTATTTTTAAAAATTCATTAATCTGGTCAATGTTTTGGGTTGAAAATCAGAATTAAAAATGGTTTGTAATTGCGTCCTGCACTGTCTCTGGTGAATTACTGTTTGTCCACCTTTAGAGCTCATTATCCCCATATTGTTAAATTAGCAACTTTCTACCATTTTGCGCAAATACTCTCTAAGATTATAGCAAATAGTATGCAGCTTCTTGAGCATTTTAAAATTGATATTAGTTTTTATATCATAACTTAAATATATATGCTACATATATAATTTTGACATAATGCATATAGTAAGCATATTTTAAATACATTGTCATAAAAAAATTGGAGTTTCAGATTTAGATTTCTGAAATTTTGAAAAATGTTTTCCTTTAACCTAATTGACAATGCCATGTGTCATTTTAGACTCACATTTCAAATCAAACTTACTTTACATCTAAATGTTCTGACCTCAGTTTGTATCACAAGTGAAAGTGTTAGTATTTATCTCCATGATGACATGTAGAGACTTGTTAAATGTGTTAGTAAAATCCAGAATAAACAAATACAAGATTGATAAAATTGACTATATGGATGCTAATATAAGGCACATGTTGAAAATGATGAAGCCTTCATTAGTGAGTGTCTGAATGACTGCATGGATAGGAGCCACTCTGCTGATCTGTTCACCTCTTTAGTCTGTGTAATCAGGAAATTTCTCCTGGGAGCCAAGCATTCTATATTTTTGTCTTTATTTTTTGTTGTAGTTAGCAACGAATGTAGGGCAATAGCCCTCCAGTACTAATTACCCTATTAAGGGTTTCTAAAAATACCCTCTGCAGTAGCAAGATAAGGGTATACTGACCATAATTCTTTAAACTTGTATAAAGCTGGTGTTCTTAGATGGTTAATTGCATGCAAGCATTCTCTAAGGCCTCATTTTATAAAATGCCTGCTGTATTGCAATTGCTGGAGTTCATATCATGCATTTGCTGCCTTAATAAGTGTAGCTTTATAATTGTTTCATACTCAGTTACATGCCTGACATATAGTAGATTTTTAAATGTGAATAAAAATTAATAAATAAAAATACACAGTTACAAATAATTTATCATAACTGACCACCCACCAGGTGTTCAGCTTCAGTAGCCTGAGATTTTATGCCAAAGCATTTACCACATTATTTATTTCAATTATTTCCTCATTTATCTCTTCTACTTTATATGTATAGGGAGGAGACTTCATTTAGAAGAGTACCATTTATTTAGGACATGACAGAAACAACATGGATAATAACAATGCCCTGGAAAACTATTTCTAATATTTAAGATTAACACAGATAATTAAGTGTACAAGGTAGGAGGATCTATCCTGATATAATTCCTTCATGTCATCCAAGGCTGCTTCTTTCCCCATAGAAACCTTATCTAAAGAGGTGCAGTTGTTGTGGCAAAACATTTTTTGCTAAACTAGAAATAATTGTAAAATACAGCTCACCAAACAAAAGTAAAATTAAAACTCTCAGGTTCAGTGTTTTTAGTATTATGTCATATAAATTATATATTTATATATTATTATTATTAAACTGTCAGAAATATTCAACAGAAAAATATATTAATAGATGTAAAAGCAAATCTTTATACATTTTGGGGACATATAACTAATTTTAATTAGTTTTATTTAAATACTTTTTTCTTTATATAATATTTTCTGTTTGAAAAGTATGTTCAATAATTCAGAAAGGGGAACTACAAAATAGATGACATAACTCTCCAGGAAATATGTAGCTCATATAGACAGGTTATATCAATACATTTGTATGTAGAATTCACAGAAGCATATAAGCATAATGACACAAAGTTAAAATAAGGTTATACACAAATTTTGAGGTTTTTTTTAAAATTTCAATAACTGTATGAATAGAGTTAAGGGAATGAAAAAACAAGACACAAACTTGGAGAAAATGTTTGCAAACAACATATCTGTTAAAGAACTTGTATCCAAAATATTCAAAAACTATTAAAACTCGATAAGAAAAACAAGAATAAATTGAAAACGGAGTAAAAAACTGAACAAATAGCTCATCAAAGAAGACATAAACATTTAAAAATCATTATATTTGATAATGGTAAATAACTATATAAAAATATGTTCCACATCATATGTCATATGAGAATTGTGAATTAAAACAGCAATGATATACCTAAGAGATTAGCTAAAATTCAAAACACTGACAACACCAAATCCTGTCAAGGATTCATTCATTCATTGCTAGTGAGAATGCAAAAGATACAGCCACTTTGAAAGATTGTCAGGTCCTTACAAAGCCCAACACAATTGTGCTTCTAGCTATTAACCAAATTTATTAGTGTTTTCACACTGCTATAAAGAAATACCCAAGACTGGGTAACCTATAAAGGAAAACAGGTTTTATGACTCACAGTTCTGCATGACTGTGGAGGCCTCAGGAAACTTACAATCATGGTGGAAGGCTGAGGGGAAGCAACACCTTCTTCACAAGGCGGCAGGAGAGAGATGAGTAAGCAAAAGAGAAACTTGTGAAACACTTATAAAACCATCAGATATCTTGAGAATTCACTCACTATCATGATAAAAGCATGGGAGAAACTGCCTCCATGATCCCATCACCTCCCACCTAGTTCCTCCCTCAACACCTGAGGATTGCAACTCAAGATGAGATTTGGGTAGGGACACAAATTCTAACCCTATCACCAAAATAAGTTGAAAACTTATGCCCCCCCCCAACACACAAACACAAAACTGCACACTAATATTTACAGCAGCTTTCTTTATTCATAATTGAAAAAATTGGATGCAACCAAGATGATGTCTTTCAGTATGTGAATAGATAAACTGTGATTCATGTATACCATGCAAGAATACTTAGGAATAAAAAGAAAGGAACTATCAAACCATGAAAAGACACGAAGGAATCTTAAATGCATCTTAGAGTGAAAGAAATCAGTCTGGAAGGCTACACACTATATAATTCTTATTATATGATATTCTATAAAAGGCAAAACTGTGGAAAGATTATTGATGTCACATCTATATTTGCAGTGACAATAAAATAATGTTTTCCAACATAAAAATCAGATATGCAAGATAATTAAGGCAACTATGCAGATTTTTTATCATTTGGCAGGAAGTCATAAGCAACATCTTATGCAACCTTTCTTCTTTCATTATTTTGCCTCACTTCAGGAGATAAACTTTAACATAAGTTGTTCACATTTTCCTTGCTCTTTGAGTAAGTATGGGTTGTGTCCTAAACTTTTTACTGCTGGTTGTCCAGACTCTGGGTGCTGTTTTGATCCTCCAGGCAAATTTGTTTTAGCATTCAATCATATCAATAAGGTTCAGAATGTAAATTCTGTCTTACCTTCTTTGTACGGTGATCCAAGTCTTAGTTTCTTTTTCTGTATTTTTACTACATGGCTTGTATCAGTCCTACTCATGCATGTCTCTCAAGTTAGGCTGTGACTTCTGTGAATTTATGCATAAAAACAAGAGATCCCTTTCTCTAGTTATCATTCCAAGATTTGCTCCTCATTCCTTAACCTGCAGTGGTTCTTCTGAGTTTTAGCCATTCACATAGCTTCTTGCCTCAATTTTGGATGTTTTCAAAAAATTGGGAGTCATCCTCTGTGGAGTTCTTCTCCAGGTTTTGACTTCTCTCCTCAGGTAGTTGTTTTTTGTTGTTGTCGTTGTTGTTTTTCCCAGTTTGCTTTTGTGAGTAGATGGGTAATTGGAAGCTAACACCACCATGGTAGAAATAGGTATGGACTAATTAATGGTGTTTTTATGAATGACATCCCGATTTGAATAAAGGAAACATTGCTAATCTTTTCCCTAATGACTCACATTTCCTATATTTAAAAAAAAATCCCTTATTTTTAGCTAATACCCCCTATCTTTTTAGAAGTCTAAAAATATTGTCTTATTCTTGATACACTTGAAAATAATGTTATGAACATGAGAATGTAATAATTTAGACTCCTGTTTTTTATAGAGATAACTCATATTTATAATCCCTTTATTAAACAGCCTCCTCTTATTATGATTTGCAATGCCATTCCTTGTCATATATCATTTTTAAATATGCATGGATCAGTTTCAGTGTTCTCAATACTGTTCTATCATCAATGCCACACTTTTAAATCATTGGAGCTTTCTGATGCACCCAGAAATCTGGCTCAGCATTATCTTCCAAATGTTTTTGTTTCAAAGTATATCATTTTACCTCATTTATATCAGGTTATGTGTTTTTTTCAATGTCCACTAATGCACTTACATGTATTTTAACTGAAGTTCCATTAAATCTAGAGATTAATATGGCAGAATTGCTATCTTCTCTATAGAGAATCTTTCTGTCTATAAATATTTATGTCTTTTAAAGTGTGGTTTGATAAATATACTTATTTTTTAAATATTTATTTGATATCTTTGTACATTTATTCTTTTAAAATATTTCATATGTCTACTATTAAAAACACTTCAAGTTTTATTTTATAATGTTTCCTGCATTTAGAAATGCAATTACTCCTGTATCTGGATCTTATATCTGACATGAGGAAACATGATAAAATTTCTTATTAATTTTACAAAAAACTGTATATTTGGGAAAATTCCTATATGAATTATCACATCTAATTTAACCAATTTTTTTCTTTCTTTTCAGTAGGCAGAAATGTTTTATCTTTCTCTTGTGTAATTGCACTATTTTGGACTTCCAGTACAATGTTGGATAGAAGAGATTGTGAGACTTCTTATTGATTTTAAAGGCAATGGTTTCAACATTTTTACAGGTTTTTTAAATATGATTTCTATTAAGTTTTATATTTAACATATTTCAATTAACTTTATTAGTAATTAGAGAAATGCAATTGAAATTCTCAATTAAAATATATCAGGATTTGGTTTGGTTTACTGCTAAAGGGCATATTTTATTTAAATGCATGAGTTAATTTTTTTTCACTGCAATGAGAATTTGGCCATTGGCATGAGTTAGTGGCTCAAGGATATCAGGTCAAGTTTTTGGTGATTCCCATCGTCTTTTCATCACGATACCAAGTGGACTCCTGGAACTCCAACAATCACTTCTACATTTCAAGCAGCAGCATTCAGAAAATTCAACTGGTAAAATGTTTTTGTATTCTTGGTAGTACTACCAAATAATTCTCACTGACAAAGCTTATAGGTAAAACAGACTTGAAAAAAATGGTTTTTCATTTGGGGGTTATTACTGTGTATTTTATATGACAGGGATATATATATATGTATATTTCAAAATAAATTGGATATTGCATAGGTATCTAGCAATCTCTGTCACAGGAGACATTCTAGATAGCTGATAGGAAGGCAGTTCAGAGAAACTGCTTTATGAAACAACATGGCACTATCCACTTAAGTAAGAAGTGCTTGTACAAGATGATGTCTGTACAACACAAATTCCGCTCATGCATGGATAATATGAGCAACGATCACTGGAGGACTCTTTCATATATACATCAAAGGGCATAAGCTACTGTGGATGTGTATGAACATGCATATATTCATGTTTGTCTACATGTATGCATGTATAGCAGAAGAAAAAAAATGCAAACCACCCCAGTATCTATTGACAAAAGCATGGACAAATATATTGTAACATATTTGTGTGTTAGAATATGATACAGCAGGTAAAAAATGTGAACTGCCGCTTCACACATCACAATGAATGGATTTTGTGAACAACACTGTAAGAAAAGTCATAAAAGGGTATATAGCAGGATTCTATTCATATAAAACTTAATACATTGTACAATTGAATGAATACATTATTTAGTAATACCCGTGTGATGACTGATTTTGGCTGTCAATTTGTCTAGACTAAGGAATACCCAGATAGCTGGTAAAGTATTATTCATTTTCAATCATTGCATTAATTATTCTCAACTTTTAAGTAGGCACTGAGCTCATCCCCATTTTGCTGAAAGGGAAACCCAGGTGGTTTGGCATCTGATCAGAATGACTGGGCTCCCCCACGTGTATCTGTGAGGGCATTTCCAGAGGAGGTTGGTGTGTGAGTGGGTGGACAGAATGGGAAGATCCACCCTCAGTGTAAGTGGGCAGATTCCAGTCAGCTGGGGACCCAGATGGAAGAAAAAGCAGAGGAAGGGGGAATTCTTGTTTGCTCCTCCAGAACTGGAGTACCCTTCTCTTGCGTTTGAATGTCAGAGCTCCAGATTGTCCAGCCTTTGGACTCAAAAAACTCACAATAACAGCCTCCTGGGCTCTTGGGCCTTCGGCCTTGGAATGAGAGTTACATCATCTTCCTTGGCTCTCAGGCTGCGCTGGCTCTCCAGCTTACAGAGCCCCTATCTCAGGACTTCTCAGCCTCCATAATTGAGTAAGCCAATTTCCCTAATAAATCCCTTCTCTTCATATATATATATACACACACACACACACACACACACTCACACACACACACAGACACACACAGACACACACACACACACACGTATCCTCATTATTTTGTCTTTCTGGAGAACACTGACAAAAACCAAAACCAACTCTTCTTGTTGAAATCTGTAATGAAGAGAAAAATACGATTTGAACAAAACTGAGGCTCATGCTTGCCTATATGGCAAATGGGAATTTGGTTAATGAAATCTGGAAGGATGACACAGAGTACTTTAAAGTTATTGACAATGTATTCATAAAACTCATGTTAAATATCTAGCATTTATTATTATTTTTAAAATAACAAAAACACTGTATAGTCAATATAATACTTTTCATATAAAATTAAAAAAAACTGTTTGAATCATGAAGTCCTGTTCTTTAGTTGCAGAAAATCAATAATCTTTATCACCGTGAAAATATTTAAAGAAATTATGGCAAAAAAGAATGACCAGTGATGGGGATGGTCCTGGTTAAAACCCATAATACCTAATAAATAAATATGGAAACAGCTCATTAACCTGAAGATGTGCTTATGGTAGCCATCAAAGTGTCTGTCATCTTTTATGATGTGAAAATAGCCCTCATGTTCAATGTAGTAAAGCTGACTGAGCTCCCGGGATTCTAAACTTCACGCACAGATAGGTCCTGCAATCATCAGGGTCAAAATTCAGTCTGTCAGGCCGGCGCGGTGGCTCCCGCCTGCAATCCCAACACTTTGGGAAGCCGAGGTGGGTGGATCACTCGAGGTTCCAGTCAGCCTAGCTAACATGGTGAAACTCCGTCTCTACTAAAAATACAAAAATTAGCCAGGCATGGTGGCTCATGTCTGTAATCCCAGCTACTCGGGAGGCTGAGGCACGAGAATCACCTGAACCCAGGAGGCAGAGGTTGCAGTGAGACAAGATCCCACCACTCTGGCCTGAGCGACAGAGCAAGACTCTGTTTAAAAAAAAAAAAAAAAAAATCAGTCTATCAAAAATGTATGTTTGGACCCAACTGGGATTAATTCATCTCTGAACCTTGTACATATGTGACCAAAATTCACACAAATTTGAGTTGTTTCTGTAAGTCAATTTATTATCTTGTGGTGAGACTGTGTAGCTGTGTTTAGTACCAGATATCTATAGCATCCTAAAGCTTTATCTGAGTAGATGAAAAACTAACTTGAGAAACTTAAGAAATGGAGAATGCTTTAACAAAATCGATACTAGTTTATCAGTTTAGAATACCTACACCAAACTACAGGACTTTTAGAATTCATTCTTCTCTATTTGGATATTCTACTTTCCAAGCAGTTCACAGCATTCTTTGGTAAACATGAATTACATTTCTTGAACTCTTGTATGGAATATGTACAAAATTGTATATCAAATATTATTTTTTAAATACTCCCAATTAACTATTTCAGCAACACCTTTTTCTTATTCAATATTAATATTTTCACAATTGGTTATATTTATGTTTTCTTCAATGAACTTATTTCTTTGAGGAGTTTATTTCACTTATTTGTCACGGTCCATTATCTACTAATTAATGTAAAAGCCCCAATTATGTTAAATCTATATTTTGCCACCTTTGCCCTTATGCAAGGTAATAGTGCTAGCACTTCAACTATAGTTTCATCTAAACTTTGAGTGACCGACAGAACTATCTATGTGTCCTGTTTTAATTAAGCATCACACAGAATATCAAACTGTCTAATAACAATACCAAGCTGTTGGGTGACAGGTGAAATTGGGCATTAGGAAAATGATGGGGTCCAAACATTGGTATACACTAATAGTAGTTCATTATTATTAAGAACTGCATATTTACATCCCCCCAAATTCATAGGTTGAAATTCTAAACCCCAACAAGGTAGTATTATGAGGAGAGGTAAGTAGGTCGTTGGAGTTGTGCCCCCATAATGGCTCTAGAGTCTTTATAAGAAGAGGAAGAGAGCTATCCCTCTCTCTCCCCTCTGTGCAGATACAGGGATAAGTCTACAACTCAGTAAAGGGTGCTCACCAGAACCCAACCATGCTGGCCCTGATCTTGGAATTCCAAACTGGTGTCCTGATCTGGAACTTCCCACCTCCAGAACTGTGAGAAATAAATGTTTGTTTTTTAAGCCTAGCGTAAGTCTATGGTAGTTGGCTATAATTTTATAGTAAAGATAAATATTCTGATGTATTGTCTTAGTCAGTCTATGTTGCTACAGCACAAACCATACATCAGAATATTTATCTTTAGTATAAAATTATAATGTAGAAATTAATATACTGTTTTTTTCAGCTGAGGAAATTACGGCACTAAGAAGTTGAGTAACACCCTCAAGGTGGCCCAGCTTGTGAAGTGGGAGCCAAGATACCATCTCAGATGTTTTCTGACCCAGGAGTTTATCTCTTAATGACTACAGTATATTACCACTTCAGTTATTAACCATAAACTAGTCCATTAGTTTAGTGTAAAGATCACTACCACCCCTAATAATGATATGGATTTCCAAAATTATCACACTTAAAACCCCTCTGCTCAATGAGTTAGGGGATTGTTTGGATTCCCAGGTGAAGGTCTGGGTTATGTTATCTTGTGGATTTCCCGTGCCAAGGTTTAGTTTTGGAGTAGGAATCTGTGCAATAGGTCTGAGTCCTCAGGTTTCATCAAAGAAGATGTACAACAATGAGGCACTCTAGACTTATTCAAGAGTAGAGCACAGAAAAGCCCAGCAATATGGGCTGGGTAGGTGGTGAATGGAAAATGGTGGAGTACACCTGATGAGCATCACTGAGTCAGCATGTAAGAAATCATCAGGTATTTTTCTAGAAGTTGCTGAAAATTTATGTATTTTTATCTATTGAGGTATGAAGCAAGCCTCATTTGCCAGGTTAACCAACTCAAATTTGAGGGTGTGTGTGTGTGTGTGTGTGTGTGTGTGTTTGTGTCAAAATGAATCATTAGAGAAATAATATCATTGGATTTTTTCTATTGTCTCAAATTCAGCTGGTCAGCTAAAGGCTGAAAGTTGAGAAAAGTGCATGTCAATTATCTGTACATTTTAAAGACAGTTAACACTTTAAGAAGGGACTAAACTGGTTAAGTGATCATCAAATCCTACAGTATATAGAAAGATAACCTCAGTGAAGATATATGCAGTAAACAGGTTTAGTTTTTTTTTTTTTTTCTAAATGAGTAGCAAAAACTTTAGCAAAAATGACAATGCTATGTTATTTTTCAGCCCATCTTCATGGGGCAGAAATGGTGGATAATTCTCCCCACCCTAGACCAGGTTAGGCAGCCTCAGAGTACACAAAAAGTCTGGAGTCATTTGAATTAGAAAAGATTGATATTTCACTCTCTGATTGACTGCTTGTTGAGTTTCAGAAATAATCAGCCCAGCAGAAGCAGTTAAGCATCAGAAAGTTCTTGGAAATGTTGGAATATGCCCCAGAAGCTTGGTGTACATGTTTATGGAAGCAGGTGTCTGTCCCAAGCTGGAGAATCCAACAACAGAAAGCTGGCTGGATGAGCTGCGATGTCAGGTCAAGCAGCAAGGAAGAAATGGGGGCAACCTGAGCCCCTACTGTTTCCTGGGATAAGAAATTTTGAATTTTTCTTTGGGACAAATGGCCTCAGCAGAAGGTAGCTTTGATCTAATTATCTTCAGAAAATTCTGATCCAAAGGAGCTACCTCCCTGGGCTAGGTGACCACAAGAGTACAGCCCCAAGCAGGAGCTGAAAGAAGTTGGAAAGAAAAGGGACCCTGGCAAGTATGTGATCTCCTCGAAGAATGGGCCCCAGGAAGGCTCACAGTCATCTGCAAAGTGTCAGTGGACACGAGGGACTCCCCCTAAGACACAGAAATAGGTATTGCTGTGTTCCTTCTAACCCTCTTTTCTACGGCTTCAACCTTGAAGGAGAAGCAAAGTGGAATAAAGGAAGGGAAAGAAAAAGCAAGAAGAAAGGCCACTCTCCTTTTTCTCCCTGATCCAGCTCTGGACTTGTCTTAGACAGGGCCAGGAAAAGGTGTTAGATGAACACCAGATTCACATTTTGATTAAGACAGGACTGGAATTAACACCACTGGAAAGCTATGGGATTTTTCTAGGGTGTTCCTAAGCGTCAGGAAAGGGAAATGTATCAAAATATATTTCAGAACAATGATGGTAGGAAAAAAAACCTGTTTATATTCTAATGAGTTTACTCCAACCAATAAGTTAGTTGCATTTATTGTTTAGGGTTTTTAAAAATTTCATGAAGAATTCTAGAAAATCAAGGCACCCTCCACACTCTCCTTTTTGTGTAAAGAGTAACATTAATTCTCTAAATTCCCAAATGCTACTTTAAATAACTATTAATCTTGAAAGTTTAAAGAAAAGGTAAGTGTGGAAGAAATCCTAGGATCTCTTCTTCATTTACAATGGACCAATTGACTGTTTCAATGTTCTTTTCCTTTTTTTTTTTTTTTTTTTTTTTTTGCAATGCCCTAAATAACTGTGAAGTTGTGTCATCAATATCCTAGCCAGGTATTATCACATTACTCACCCAACTAAACCTGTTTTGATATTTTTTGAGGCAAATTTCCTGAGTTTAAGAAAGAAAAAATCATCATGAGCACTGGATAAGACAGGATACTGTAAATAATTTGGTTGTTCAAAGTACTATATTTATGAATGAGCTTTTCTGTCTCTTTGCTCTATTGATTTCTCTGATCAGTATGATTCTGACCTTAGAGAAATATACCACAGTGACAGCCAACAGAGAGAAGCGTTTGATGAATATAAAGTGTTGGGGAAGTTGGGTTCCTTCAGAACTCTTTTGCACCTGTTGAAAATGAAACAACTCCTGCTTGTTCATCTCCACTGCCTGCTGTGAAGCTGTTTCCTACCCTTCGGGCCTGGTTGTCTTGCCAACCGTGGAAGCTGACATTTTTCCTCTTGTTTATTTGTGCATTTAGCAAAGGTTCTTGAAGGGCCACCTGAGGGGAAGTTAGCAAGGCAGGCTTAGTGGGCAAACCCCCCCCCCCGACAGAAAACAAAGAACCCCTCCCAAACCAAAAACACAAAATAAACCAAAAATAAATAAATAGAAATAAATAAAAAAGAGGAACTAAAGCTTTTGGGAGCAATGGAAAGAACTCTGTCATGTTGATTTAAGAGAATTATTTTAAGTAAAATGTTCACAATCCACCCAAGAGAAAGCAGGAGATTGGTAAGGGGATTGAAAATCTCTTTTTATCCATTTCTCAAAATGAAAGAGATTCCTAGGCTAAATAATTCTTCAAATAGGCACTAGGCAATTTTTATTACATCTACTTTTACAAAGCTCTGGCAAATAATACAGGATATATGAATGGCCTTACTGTGTGTGTATGTAAAACAAATACATACGTTGTGTATATATAAATAATTTAAATATTTGTGTTAATATATTCTCATATGTATGATACATGCATACGATCCATCGTGTATGTAGAGGCACATATTAAATCTTCAGTTGCACATTCACATTGCATGTTGTGTTAAATTTGTTTATAAAATTACATGTTAAGTGAAATGTGAGCTGTTCTTTTTAAAATAATTTCAACTATTTTTATAATATAATAATTTACACCAGAGGGTTTAATTAGAAAAACTTGAAGTATTTCTATTCGGCGTGCTATATTAAACAGCACACTTGGACCTTAGTGGATCGTACGATTCGTCGATGTTTTGGCGTGCTGCAGTGGAAATCCTGCCTTTAGTTGCATCCTTGTGCTGTTCCCCTAGATATGCTACCAGACCTATGTCACCACCTTGCAAAGTACTCCTCTGGGCTAAGAAATTCTTTTCAAAGAGTCAAAGAGATTCTATTAAAAGACATATTTCTTTTCTGTTCAGGAGCAGTGACACACACTTGTAGTTCCAGCTATTTGGTAGTCTGTGGCAGGAAGATCCCTTGATCCCAGGAGTTTGAGGCCAGCCTGGGTCCCTGTGTCAAAAAAAAAAAAAATCAGAAAACATTTTTAAAATATATATATATATATATGTTCTGCTTGAGATAACCATATGAACCCAATCTAGGATAATGGTTCCAGTTTACAAGTGTTTGTTTCTTGTTTTAGGGATAAAACATGCTGGGTGCTGGCCATAAATTTGATTCTTTGTAGTGCTGATGCAGGAGAGGGCAGAAGTCAACTAGCCTGACGCCAGAGTGGGGTCATTTGGAGCCAGGCTGATGATAGCTCCAGAATGAAACAGACGTGGGATCAGTTTCAAAAACGGATGAGAGGAGAGCATGTAAATTGAGAAGAAAACTGAATGGATGCAAAATAATAAAGAGGCAGAAGAGCTTATATTAGACTATCTAGGATAAGGGAGGATGGCTTCAGATTTCTAGGGATGGCTGTGGTCTTGTTCATCAGTCTCATTAGAGAGAGCACAGTCTGCCGCCGGTGTGAAGAGGACAGAAGGCCGTCGTTTTCATTTACAAAGATCACACTACACAGCACCAGCTGAAAGAGATCACCACCAGGGAGACAGGTCCAGTCTGGGTATGTCACCTACAAAGGCGGTGCCAAACTCTGGGTCTGAGATAAACAATTCAGCAAACAAAGATCACATCTATGTCATAAGAGCACAAGTAACAACACAATGAGAGGTTGTTTCAATGGGCTTGAAGACTGTTGCTGCCTTAACTACTATCAGCCTTAATTTTCTCCTTTGTTCAATGGACACTAACAGTTTGGTATTAACTGTTGCAGCATAATAGAACTTTTGAGAATAATATATAAGTGCCACCAATTTTTAATATTATTATTGCTGCTGTTATCACAGTGGGAGGTGTCCACACGCTAGGTGTGGGTATGTAGGAGTTATTCTTTTGGTTTTGCTGCATAAGGAGAGTATTGTAGGGAACTATAGCAAGATCTTGGTTTCAAGAAGCAACATTTGTACCTTTGAGAAGTGGCAACAGATGCAATCAAAGGAGGATGAAGTGAAATTTCTCCATTAGGCGGTTCCTAATGTCTTATTATTACTTTATACATTCGTTTATTTGATAAACAGAGAGAAAGGGTGTAAAAGAGTGGAAAAATCTCAGGTAAAATTTAATATAGTGAACAGAAAAAATGTGGGAATAGGAAGTCAAGCAGAGAATGCCAGGGTAAATTTGGGGCCAACTTCCTAGCTAAGGGAGGGCATTGTATTTTCTGGTGTTAGGAAACAGTGTTTACTTCAAAGCGCTTGTAGGATAGAAGAAATATTTGAAGGAAGATAGCCTTAAAAATACAAAATGTGCACTTCATGATTTTTCAAAGCCTGGCCGTTCATGCGATAGAAAATAAATCTCTTATGTTTAAAGTTTACAAATACAATGACTCATGGTTGACACAAGGTACTTGAGCCAGGAATACTTGCATTTTTGAGGAGGAATAAAGGACCTGTCAGAACTGTCCCTGGTTATATGGAGTTTAGAAAATTTGTCAGAGACAGAAGTTTAAGATTTTCTAGAGTTTTGGAATATTGTGCTAAATATAATTTGGTATTGTAGATTGGACCTTCAAACAAAAAAGAACATTAATGGAAAAACTGGTGATATTAAGTAAAGCATGGAGGTTAGTTAATAGTAGTATACTAATATTCTAATAATATTCTATCAGTTAGAATATCAATATTGTATCCATGTTAGTTTCTTAGTTTTGACAAATGCACCATAATTATTTAAGATGTTAAGTTTAGGGGAACTAGGTGAAAGATATTTGAGAACTCTGTGCCATTTTTGCAATTTCTCTGTGTATCTAAAATTATTTCAAAATATAAGTTTAATATAAAAAATTTGGATTTTTAAAGATGTTTCTAAAAAACTAAATAAAGCCTGTTCCTTTTTTATCCAAAGTAGTAAAGAAATACATTCCAGTCCTTTTTTTCACTGTTTTTTTTTTCTGTTCTATATGTATACATATAGACCTATATAGGTATTAACACTAGGTTGGACTAGATAACTTTTTATTTATTTATTTTTTTGTAGAGAAAGAGTCTGTCTTGCTGTGTTGCCCAGGCTGGTCTCCAACTTCAAGCCTCAAGCTGTCCTCTTGCCTTACCCTCCCAAAGGGCTGGGATTATGGCTGTGAGCCACACACCCAGCTTTGTCCTCTATTTTGAGCTACTATGTACTGAATAACAGAATGGGATAAAACAATCAAACAAAATAACTTTAACATTTGTACGAATGCCCACTTTTGAGTAATATTCACTTTTGGCTTTTGAATAAATAATAAAGAATCTTACATAGAACCTATAAATTCAGTCTTCATTAAATCTCTCTGAGCTTCATTTTTTAGATACGTATTTTATATTGAATAGTTGTAACTTATAGATGCAAAGGATTAAATCTGATGGGTTACACCCTTAGAGAAATTAAGCATAAAAGTGTTGATGCTGAGCACTCAGTAACAGATAACGGGCCTATTTTTCAGATCCAGTAACAAATTCTTGGCACTAAGCCTCTTCCTTTAGTCTCTACGTCACTGTGCCAGGTTAAGGATTCATTCTTTTGGATTCTGCTATTATTTTTCTTGCAAGATATCTTGACCATTTTGACATCAACAATGATTTTATGTGGCAAAGAAGCATTTTTGAAAGTATATGTATTCTGCTGTCTATAATTTTTTGAAAGATTCTTTACAAATCAATTCTCATTTTATAATACTGCTCATGTCTTAGTTTATCTTCATCAGTAGATAAGAATATATTTGTTACAATGGTAAGCCATGGTACAGTCTAGTGATTTCACATCAAAATATTTTATTTAAACATTATACTGCAAGGATTCAAACTCCATTTACAATAGATATTAAATGGCTTATTCAACTAGGAATCATCTAATTCAAGGTTAAAACCCACATTTTGATTTCAAATCTATTAATTTTGTTTCTCTTTTACTATTTATGAAAGCTAAACATTTCATTTGGTGTTATATTTTTACATGTTTATATTGTTTTTTGGAAAGTTGGGGAGTTTGACAAATTGCCATGCAAAATGTGTGTATTAATATATTCAATTAGTTCCTTCATTTGCCAAAATCTTTCAGGTTCAAATTTAATATACATGTAAAAATATCTTTTGTAGAATGATGGGATTTTTTCCTGAATTTTCAAATTTCCCGCATAAGATATAGTAGCTATAAAAGCAAGAAAAAAATATATATGAATTTGCATGCTGTTTTTCGAATGTTGTTATTCTATTTTTAAAAAATACTTATATTCAGTGGAATACTTTGCTATGGAAATTCATACAATTTTAAACAAAGTAATTAAATCATAAATGAGAAATTTATGCCAAAGATAATATTCATAATGCTTCATTCATTTATTAGAGCTCTGTGATATTTCTTAAATGATGTTTTAAATTTGACGCCAGAATGTCTTCCACGTTTCAAAGGTTTTCAGGTATTTGAAAGTTCTGTGACACATTAGTGTGTGGCTTTGACATTTATCCAGAATAAAAGCAGTCATAATATAAATTCAAATTTATATTTGTATATTAGTTATTTTCTAACTTAAACTTGCCTAAATAGTAAGTCTTTATGCACAAATATAAAAACAAATCTGTTCTTCATTTTGATGAATTCAATATAAATAAATACACTACAGAGCAGGTGCCCTTTTCTTCATTGTACTTGTTTTTCTTTACAGCTGTCCCGACAGCTATGGCCTTTCCCTCATGTTCTTTTAATAACTCTAGTAACTGACACATATTCTTCTGGTACATTTTTATTCACACTTTTCCCACCCAAGGGAGTGTTTTGAGTTTTAATTTTGGTTTGTTTACTTGCTCGTTTTCCCCTCTGAATTCTTTTTAATCAAATTAGTAGGGTAAGTGACCATCACTCTGTTGTGATACGAACAGCAGCACTGCAGAGGTGGCTGCCTCTCCCCCAGCCCAGAATACACACAGAGACAGAACCTCTACTTGTTCTTCCACAGAGCCCGATTTCATCATCACTGCTACAGTAGCTTCCTATTGCTGCTAGAACAAGTTACCACAAACTTAATGCCTTAAAATGACACAAATTTACTATTTTACCATTCCGGAGGTAAGAAGTCTAAAATGCATCAGCAGGACTGCTTTCTGGAGCCACTAGGGGACAATTCATTTTCTTGCCTTTCCCAGTTTCCAGACACGATCTACAATCCTTGGCTCACGGATCCCTCTGAGTTCTGCTCCCAAAGTCACATCTCCTCCCCTGATGTGGCTCTCCTGCCTCCCTCTCACAAGGAACTTTGTGGTTACTTTGGTCCCATCCAGAAAATCCACCCGTGTTAAGATCTTAAATTTAATCAAATCGGCAAAGTCCCTTTTGCCTGGTTCCATACTCATAGATTATGAGGATTACGTAGCAGACAGCTTTAGGGAATCATGATTTTTGCCTACCACAATGACCCATGAGATGAAGTCTAATTTTGATAGAATAATACCCAAGACCTCATTATTATCAATAATTGATCTTATTCATCCTTATCCTCTCCTGATTCCTTACCAGTATTTAGACCAAAGCCATGCCAAATTATTTGTGGTTCTCTGAAGCCAACTTGTTCTTTTAGAGCTTCCTAATTTTTTGCTTCCTTCTGCCTGCCATGCATGTTCAGTCTTTTTTCTACCAGACTAATTCCTACTCATCCATGTTTTATTTTAATTACAAACCACTTTAAACATATGGGAAGATAATGAAAATAACAGAACAGAGCCTGCACTCCAAACCCCAAGATTAAACGGATGTTAACATTGTGCTGTATTTGTTTCAACTTTCTCTTTTAATTTTTTAGACAAATAAAACATTACAGATACCACTTAAGCCTTAGCATCTCTGATCCTCACCAACCTCCCCAGATGAACACTTGAATTGATGTTTGTCATTCATAAACATTTTGGCCATTGCAATAGGTGTGCAGTAGGACCTCATTATCTGTTTGACTTGCAATTCCCTAATGACAAATAATGGTGAGCATCTTTTCAACCTCCTCTTTTTTTAATCCTTTCTCAGAATTGTCTGATATTCTTGCCCCTTTGGATGATGCTTTTTTCACATGACATTTTGAATTTTCCAACTTGCCTTCAATTTTCCATTTTTATAAATTATGTTTCTTATGTACGCCTGCTCTCTTTTTTTCATAGTGCCTCTTCTTATACATTTGATTCCTTTTCTTACATTCTCATTTTTAATAGGCTTATTTATTAGATTTTTTTCAGATTGTCTGTTATCTGACAAACTTGGATTCTCTTCCTTAAGTTGATTGTATATGTCAAAATTTGCTCACCGTGGATTGATATTTTTCGTGAGTTCCTATGCCTCATTGCTTTATTCTGCATGGCGGGAATTAAGGATGTCCCCACTCAAGAGTAGTTTGGCTAATTTCTTGGTTGCATTTCTCATCTGGGGATCTTCAAAACTTTGAGTATTACACATTGGAACTAAAAAATAGAGGACTGGAAAACAAAATGAAAATTATCGTGCAAGAATTTCCCCCCGAGTTGGGATTAAATACTGATTACTTTCCCTGTTTCTTTCTTTACCTGTGAGATCATTTTTCTGGCCCAACATTACTACATTATTACAAAGCTATAACAGTTAAGGTCCAAGGTTTATTTGAAGGCTTCTTTCCAACTCATTGCCTCATGTAAGCTCAAGATCTTAACTTCTGTTCAATTATTGTTATTAAAATCCAGGCTTCTGGATTACTGCAGTCCACATTAATGACAATGCACACGCACACACACAAACACAGGAGCGCAAACACGTGTGCACACACACACATACATATATATAAGGAAGCTGCATATGGCTCATACACTAACCATCCTGTTTTTCAGTTTAGGTTACATTTGCTTTTCTGGCATTTTGGATTTTCCTTTCTCTTTCAGCGTTTGTCATTTTTTTTTACCAGTATCGCTTGTTGTTAGATGCACAAGTAATTCTGTTTATATTTTTTATCATATTGCCACAACAAACAAGAACCTTATTTATAGTTTGTCTTATTTCAAACATGATTTCCTCTACAGGGTCACCTTTATTTTTAAACATTCTTGTGTGATCAACTGGAAAAAAAAGAAAAACCTATTTGGACAGGAATCATATTTAGATGGTGAAACTGATTAGTTTTAGACAATTTAGGACACCATTTTTTCAAACCACTACAATTTGGAGTCTGTCTTTTGTTATGTTTTCTGCTTTATGCTGAATCGAAGTCTTCTAATATGATTTTTACCTATTTGGAGGCAAAATTTCCCATGCAACTCTTCATCCATTTTTGTATAGCTAATGATCATAGACCTGAGCAACTGAAACAGAATTATGTAACTTCTTCTTCATGTTCTTGGCAAATGTTCCAGGTTAGCCTGTAATGGCTACATGCAGATTCTTGAAAAAAAATTTTGAATGAGATGTTCCCTCCGTGCCTTAGGGGTGAGGGGGTGTCAGTTCCACCTGAATTAAATGAGATGGGGCTGAACTACCCACAAGAAAGACATATTTATTACAAGAAGAAGAAAGGGATTAGATGCACATTCTGGACTGGGAAAATGAACTGTAATTATCACGTACAGTAGAGATGCTGGGCCATCTGCAGACAGAATTCTGTAATGATTTCTCTGAGCTCTTACCACTTCTGAGGTCTCTGTAATACTGATGACATTGCTGCACTAAACTGTGTATTTGAATATCACTTCTACTCTTCTGTAAATCCATGAAGATCAAAAAATATTTTGTTTCATATTTGAAATCTCAGTTGTGACATCATTGTGATTGCATCAAAAAGGTTATAGAAGAGATTAAAACAGAGAGAAGAGGAAAGGAGTAAATAAAAAGAAAGGAAGAAAAGAAACATGCCGAGAAAGTTTAAAAAAAACTTCCCAGCACCACAGCAGGTTAATAATAGAGCTGGCAGAACTCAATTTTCATAAACCCAGACAACCGCACTTTGTTACTCTATGAGTATTCCTAAGTGACAACATAAAAATATTTAGAATGCTGGTTAGAAAAACAAAACTAATGAAACTGGAAAATGAAAAAAAAAAAGAACTGCATTTCCCTTTTATTACAATAGCTCATGGAAAGCATTAGGTTTGAATATGGTTTGTTTCAGGACTTCCAATTTTATCATGTGGTTTCAAGCTCCATTTGTTTGCAAGACTCGGTTTTGCCTTCCTCTGGGTTCAGTGTTATCTCCAGGTTGATCTCAAAGTACCAGCATGGCTGTGGATATTGTCCCAAGAAAGAGTGATTATTACCATCAAAACCTGCTATGAAAGATAAAGTCTGCCTGCCCTTAAACACACAAATTCTCCTGCCTAAAAGATTGGGTCTTGCTGTTTGACTTACTCAGTCAGGCCACCCAAAATACCCACGTGGCTCAAAATACCATGTTGGCTTTCTGAAAGAAAATGGTAGGAGTCTTAATAGGAAGGAGAACAAAGGATGCTGGACAGTAAAAACAACCACCAAGAAACACCTTCCCCCACTAGAGTAGATTGTAATCTCTGTGTGGATGTTGACGGTGGCTTAATCAGATCATGTTTTGCCAGCGCATAGCATGCTGCCCATTAGTGATGTGTATTTGCTACCACGTAATTGTTTGCTGCAGCAGTTGCTCTTAATTTTATCCTGACAAGTCGGAACTACTCTGTTAGCTGCTTTCTTCTGAAATCATATTCTTCTCACAGACTTGGTACAACCACCCATACAATATTTGGATCCCATATGATGAAAGCTCTATGTTTTAATTGCTAGGCCTAATGATATATTTAGTTTGTATCATGAAATATCAAGTTAATTAAAGATAGTGAGTGATTAACAAAACTTGCTTTATAGGTCCTGTTCTATAGATCTCAATGTCCACCTTGTGTCCTGCTGTTGTTAACTTTTTCCCATTGAGTGCATCGTGTGCTCTTAAACTCCACATTTTTCCCTTCAATGCATGCAGTGAGTGGGTCTGAATTAGAAGAGGTCTGTCTTCGTATAGTGAATCCTCCACGCCTTCTCTGAGACAAGGAAGTGATTAATAAACTTAAAAGTTGGTTTCCCTTTCTGCTAGCTCCTGCTGGGCAACTGTAAACTATGACACTATTTATGTCAACAAAGTATAATCAGCAAAGGGCTAATCCACATGCTATTACCCAGAGTTAACTGTAACAGATCAATTTCTATGTATAGTTTTGAAAACTTGTCAATATACAGCAGCCACAGAACCCCTGAGCTTAACCAGATGTAAGAATCTGGCTGGCGCTGTCAGTCCCTGAGGAAGCCTTGGCCAAGCTTGCAAAATCTTTGACCTTATTCTCACCCTCCAACAACAGGAGCAATAATCCAAAGTGTTTTGTCTTTCTTGTATTGTAGCTCATTTTTTTTTCCTACAGAGGTGAAATTTCCATTTTGTAATTTTTCTTTCTGCACTTTTTCTATCAATTTTTTTTTCTTGGAACTTGGTGAATAGAAGAAAATGCTTTTTATTTAATTCTTGAGCAAAAGTAGGATAGGAAGATAAGATGTCATCTTGGCAGGTTGAAATAAGTCAGGAAGTGTGTGTTATAATACCTTACAGATGTATAACATTTCAGTTTACAGATCTATCCTGTGTTCATCAGCTCAAACCTCAGCAGGTCCCAGTGGGATAGGAGGCTCAGAAAGTTGAAAAGTGTGCCTGATATCACATGCATGTGGTGGTTCAGGAATATATACCTAACACATACCTAGCATCACCTCCGACGCCTTTCCACAGCTGTCTCCCTACATGCCTTAGTATCATGCAGATCATGTGGAATAAGGTAAAACATATGCGTTTATTTGCTTATTTTTAATTGCTGTTTCCATTTACTTGATTTACTGTTATGTTGTCTATACTGTTGATCTAAAGTATTATATTAGGTAGTATTTCTTTCTCAATAATTTTGCTTCACAATCATAGTTCTAATTCCTTCATAGGCAAATAATTAAGCAACTCCAGTAATATTTCCAAATCACATACTGAGGCTTCTCTGCATAGGGTGCTGAGTCATCAGTGTTAACACTAATAATTAGAGTTCAAGGGGAGGGGCTGTCCAGGGGTCACACCACGAGAAGCTGTTTTGGGGTAAAATGACACGATCTGCACCACCTGCACTTAGTCAGAAGAAGGGCATTGAAATGGTGCCATGAACAGCTATGATCCTGGAATTAGAAAAAATAGAAGAAATAAATGATAATTTCCAGCTTTAAAATGTTAAGAACTCAAAGTGAAGCCACAACTGATAGGGAGAGATTTATATGGATATTGGAATCTATCTGAGGTCAGTGGGTCCAGTTTGTGTCAATAACCCACGCTGACCTCTGTGGCAAAGACTCAGGCAGGATGACTTCCTGGTACACTCGATGAGGATAAATCTTACACATAGGTATCCCAGAAGTCCCACTTCTCCTCTGATCCAGCAAAGCATGGGTTGTCAGAAAGACACTAGTCCAGAAGGCACTGAAGGGATCATGTCGGTTCAGACCAACAGTATCTAAAACATCTAAGTCATGGGTCCAGCATAGGAGAGACTGAAAGTATTCTAGAATATGCACAACTGTGGAGCAATTAGGCCATCTTTGACCTAACTTTTTCACAATACTGCTTGGCAGAGAGATGGTGCTTCCTAGAAAGAATATATAACTTCAGCTTCTCCTGGAATACCATTTAGCTTTCTCAGACATCAACTGTGTGAGACACGGATATCTCATGAAGTGTATTTAGATCATGACACATGTTAAACATGTTGGGATAAACATGGAAATGTGTTTCCCTCGATTCATTAACTGATTCAATTCCCTCCACATACTCAGTTAAAATATCAGTGCAAGAAGTGAACCGTGATGATAGATTAAAAACACTTGTGTCTACTTCCTTTATCATTTATTCGCCTCTAAAATAAAGAATAATTAATTATATATTTGCCAGACTCTTGTGTGGACGGGTTGGGCCACATGACCTTCTTCTGACTTAGCAGATCGCTGGAGTACACTGCACCACCAGGTACATTCTGGGAAACATTTTTCTCTTTGAGAAATAGATGTCACTGTAACCTACAAAGGACTGTGCAGGAGATGTGTATGTTCTTAGTCATATCCTAAAATGGCAACTGGATATCTACTGATAGCTTTCATTATTCTTCTGAATCTCAGGTTCACTTCAAATTTATGGAACGTTCTGTTTGAATACACATGTGTTCCTGACTGTAGTCCTTACACGTATATCCTAAGAGAGCTTCCTCTTTAGTATTGCGAGGTGACCTTCTTGTATTCATCATTAATTGAGGTGGGATACAAATTCCATAATGTCACCGAGTTCTTAACCCACTTATTTCACTGGGTTAAGAAATAAGCTTTGTTAGAAAAACTAACAAGACAAGGGGCAGCAGCAAAAGAGAAAAGACAAGTTCCTCTCATCGCTCATTTTATTTCTGGAGGGGGTATGCCTGCTGACATTTTATTTCTGGAGAGGGTAATGCCCACGTCCTGACAGATATGCCAGCCTCTGTTGCCTCCATACTCACATGCCAGGCAGGGAGCACCCTGTCCATCAGTCTTGGAAGGACTGCTTGGCCACTTGGTTGTCTGGGTTTGCATGGCAGCTGTTCAGTTATATTAACTCAGAAAGCAGGCTTCCAACACCCAGGAAACATGGAGGCCACAGGAAGATGGTGGCCTTCCTGCTGGGAGGTCAGAACTACCATACTGTAGGAGGTTGGCTTTGGGTGCTGCTCTTCCTGCTGGGAAAAGGAGGATGTCCGTGGTTCCCATTGGCTCATGGTCCAGGCAACACAGACCGAGTGCCAGAGTGATTTTTAGACAATCCTGCCTCTTGCTTCGTGACCTCTTGTACAATCTTATGATCTGTGTACAGTCCTAGGATATTTCTCTTTAATGTAATAGTAATAGACTTTGTCCAATATTCAGGGATTATCTCTGTTCTAGAAATGAATATTTTTATTTTTATTTAGATCCTTGAGAGTGAATTAATTGAAGCTAGGCAGTAACTTAACTTAATCCAGCAAAAATTTTGCTTAGAATTATAGTCTTCATCCCCTGGAGTGAAATGGCATTATTTGTTTCCTAGCCATGAGATACATGTCTCCAGAAAGATTCTCAAAGTCTCTGAGAGAACAGGATTCTGTACACAGAATCTAACATCAGTCAAGTTTTGATTGGACATCATGGCAGTATTAGCTTAAATAAAATAACGGTGATACTTCAGATACACGTTCTTAATCATAGGGAGATGATTTTGTGTAATAGTATTGGAAGAGGTGTCCAGGGACATGTAGAAAGTGAGATCAGATGTCCTCGTAATATTACAGAGATGTTAATGCCCATTTTAACGCATCCAAATTAGTGAAATTTCTATTGATTACAAGAAAAATGAATTTCCACAGGTCTTCATTCACATTTATGAATTCTGCTAGTTCTTGTTCTTTCTTAATCTAGTATAATACTGGTGTATGCCAAACGAATCATATGTTTTCATTTTGGCATTATATCTACTCTTTTATATTATGCTGTTTATATGTTCATCTACAAGAAAGCAATACGTAAGATTTTATAATTTGATAGGTATACTGATGTTCACTAAAAACATTATGAGTACTCAAAAATATCAGCAATATGCTTTCTATGGTAATTTAACAACTCAGAACCTAAATTATAATTTGTTTTGTTTAAAATTACAATAATTATTTTTATCTATACACAGTTATTGTAAAGGAATGCTTTTATACGTTACACAAACCTCTTCATTTACTTTAAATTCTTTTACAAATCATATGAACAAATGAATTCCCATTCCCAATGTCTACTTTTAAAAAAAAGATGTTCAATGAGGGAGAAAATCATCTCAAAGAAAGGGCAGCCATGATGCAAACTGGTGTGTGTGTTTGTGGCTCCTGTGGTGTGCGTGTGTGTGTATATACCCTAATTCTCCCATTGGCCCTAAGTGGCCAAAAGGTGAACAGCACGTATATGTAGTCAGAGGTACATGAATTCTCAGGCAATGGATATATATGCAATAGATTATTTAGTTCAATTTAAAGCTTCTGGATAGAGTCAAGGATAAATATTTAAGAAGCACATTGTAAAAGAGTGGCACATTTGTCAATCTAGTTTATCTATTTTTAAAAATAATCATCTATTTAAAAGCCAATAAATATCAAAGTTAAGATTAGCATTTCTATCTCTAGTAGATATGTATGAAAAATGTAGACAGTGTGTATAAAATGTAGAAAAAAGGAAAATGTAGGAAAAAGCACATATACGTATGCACAAACATAAACCATATATATATGTTATATATATAGTCATATATATGTTATATATATTATGTATATATGTGTATATATAATGTATATATGTATATATATAATGTGTATATATGTGTGTATATATATACACACACACACAAATATATTACTGCTATAGGATTCATATCATTTTATTAAATTATCCTAGCTTAGAATTATTCTTATATACAAATATCCATGTATTCACAACATATATTTAATGTTATTTCAATATAACAATGCTCTTATTATTATTTTTCTATTAGGTAATCTTTACATGCATACAATAAATAGCTGTCTATTTCTTACTTCTATTAATTTTAAAAAACGTTAGTGCATTAATATCACTGGCACTCATATAAACATACTAATACACTATTTTGTTATTGATACATTTTCACAATAAGTTGTTCTTATTACTATCCCAAAGTATGACTTATTGGGGTTAAAGAAAAGTTTTAAAAACAAAGTAGAAAGTACTTTGCTTCTTTTTTAAAGATGGTAATACTGTCTCTCTACATATTTTCTGTTCATCTATCTTTAGTAGCATGTTATCTTCATACAGTACCTTTCAGAAATACTGTGGTTCATTGGAACAGTGTAGAAAGCCATTTCAGCACCTAACATGATGTATCGTAAATACTTCTCAAATAATGCTGGTGATAAATGTGAAGCAGCTATAGTTTTGCAAAAGCCATTCCACATTTAAACATCCCAAAGAGTTTGTTTTTCTATTTTCCCTATGAGACAATTCCTGCTGAAAGGCCTTAACTATAGCCAAATTTTGGATGGCAGTCAACCTAAATTTTCTCTTTATTAATGTGGAGTGATTCAGGCTTTCTGATCTCAGCCTGAACATTTCTGCTCCAGCCTTGATATTTACATCCTGTAAGTACTTGTAAACAATTACCATATCCCCTACTTAGTTGTCTGTTAGCCAAGCTAAACAGATTGAGCTCTTTTAATCTTTTCTCATAAATCAATCTCTCCACTCCCTTAATTACTCCTGATGTTCAGTTTTGAACTTATTCCAATATGCTCATCATATTTCTAATACTCAGTTTCCCAGAACCACAGTAGTTTTTTAATGCATTCATGTTAAAATTGTGCTTATTCAATTAAAATAACTGCAGTAGAAGATGTTTTCTGCCGTGTTTAGCTCTCTGTATGGTTGCACAGAGTGGAAACACCACCATCAGGAACCTCATCATTAAACCTATTTCTTTTTCACTCTTTATGGCCTTGTGCCAGACCACAGGGCTAGCATCTGAGAGGTAAAGGGTAATGGCTTTAAGATTGCATGGGATGGGCAAGGAGACTGTTCATCTAATTAAGAAAAACAGAAAAGATACTGTTTCACGATGTAAATAGGAGAACGAGTTCATTTTCACACATTAGCTTGGCAAATAATTTCCCTTTAGGTATTGCAAGCCAAAACAGGTATTTCCCCAACAAATCAAGTCACATTTAAAATAAAGCTCTACTGTTATCAATGTATTTTTTGTTGCCGTTCTTGAAATAAATTCTGTTTTAGTTTTTATTTTTTTAAATGGAAACAAGGTTTCAGCCTATCAGTCAGGCTGGGTTGGAGTGCAATGGTGCAATTATGGCTCACTGTAGCCTCAAACTACCGGTCTCAAGCAATCCCCCCATCTCAGCCTCCCAATAAGCTGGAACTACAGGCCCATGCCACCAAGCCCGGCTAATTTTTTAATTTTTTTGTAGAGGTGGGGTCCTGCTGTGTTGTCCAGGCTGGTCTCAAACTCCTGGCCTCACGCGATTCTTCCTGCATAAACCACCATGCCTGGCCTAAATAAATTCTTTATCAGAAATCGAAAGCTATGATTTCATTTTCAAATTAAGATCTCGTGAACTTAAACCATTTAATATCAGCAAAAGGAAAGAGAAGAAGAAAAGTCTGACTTGGCTGTGGTTCTGTAATGCAGCAGGCAGTGTACTAGGAGCCTCCAGGGTCTCACTTACTGCTGTTAAACCCAGGAAGATGAAACTGACAAACATGAAGACCTGAATGAGGTTATAGTGCAAGAAAGGCTCTGGGATGGCAACTTGCCACCAAGAATATTAGGAATGATTAAAAATGTAGAATTGAGTTGGCCCGGTGGCTCACGTTTGTAATCCCAGCACTTTGGAAAGCCGAGGCGGGCGGATTACCTGAGGTCAGGCATTTGAAACCAGGCTAGCCAACATGGTGAAACCCTGTCTCTACTGAAAACTCAAAAAGTAGCAGGGCATGGTGGTGCACCACCTGTAATCCCAGCTACTCGGGAGGCTGAGGCAGGAGAATCCCTTGAATCCGGGAGGCAGAAGTTGCAGTGAGCCGAGATCACACCACTGCACTCCAGCCTGGGCAACAGAGTGAAATTCCGTTTAGTTTTTGTTTTTGTTTTTGGTTTTTTTAAATGAAGTAGAATTATTTTATAAGTATCAGAATTTAATAAAGTCTTTATTATTTATTTATTTATTTATTTTTGAGACCGAGTCTTGCTCTGTCACCCAGGATGGAGTGCAGTAGTGCAATCTTGGCTCATTGCAACGCCCACCTCCCAGGTTCAAGTGGTTCTCCTGCTTCAGCCTCCCGAGTAGCTGGGACTACAAGCGTGCGTCACCATGCCTGGCTAATTTTTATTATATTTTTTGTAGATACAGGGTTTCACCATGTTGGCCAAGCTGGTCTCGAATTCCTGACCTCAAGTGATCCACCCGCCTTGGGGCCTCCCACAGTGCTGGGATTACAGTCACGAGCCACTGCGCCCAACCAGTCATTATACTTTATTGTTAAACTCTGCTTTAGAAATGTTTTGAAGTCCCAGAGAGTTATAACCATTTAAAGAATCTGGTAACATAACTAGAAAATCCGAAAGAAATCCAAGCTGTGGGAAATGAAAGGGAGGTCTCTGACAACAATTTAGTTTAGTATAAAAATTTATTAAAATCATAGGAGCCTCCCCAGTGATTATTTCTAGAAGTCTGAAGAAGTCATCTTCCTACTTTCTTTTTCTTGCTTCTTTAATTCTGTCACATATTTTGCTGGAGCTTTACAACTTTTCAAAGCGTTTTCAGAGATTTCTAGTAATTTATTCAACGAATCAATGTTTATAGAAAGCATGGTGAATGTTAATGATTATTCTTGGGGCTTGATATAAGTGGAAATACACAGTAGAAGAAAGGCAATGATCGTAGAGGGAAATAATTCCTTCTCCAGCCTTGAAGGTGGCTCTGGGTGCACGTTGTTGATATCTTTTCTCAGCATGAGGTTTTAAGGTTTACAAGTTGCATCATATCTCCACCTTCAGTTTATTACACTCCTTTAGTCTTCCGGAATGTCTTAGTTTTAGTCACATGAAGCGGACCCCAAGAGAAGGATCCAAAAGGAAGAAGTTGATTTTAGAGGTGATTTCAGGAAACATAGAAGGGAAACTGAGAGGTCGACGCTGGAAATAAAAGGAACGTAAAAAATGGGTTTGTTATAATCATACCTGTTATCGCAGTGGGTGACAGGGGCTTTAATCCTGTTAGGGAACTTGAAAGTCAGTGTAAAACAGGCACTTCAGAGTTATCCCTGTCCCAGGAGTGGGAAGAGATTCATTCTTAGAGAAGTGCAGCCTGGAAGGGTCAAATCACCAGCCCCTCTGGCCTGCCATATGAGTAAGAAAGTGGGGTGCAGAAACCAGAAAACCTCTCAGGAAAAGAAATGCAAGTGTTGGCAATGAGAGCTCAGGCTGGTAGACACTGGCATGGAAGGGGTGAGGGATATGGGCAGCACCCGTCCTTCTGCAGCACTCACCCACTCTCCTGAGGCCACTCATGCACCATGTTAAGGTCCTTCCACCCTGTCATCAGTTCCTCAAAGGGGTGGTCGGTCACATATGAGAACGAAAGAAATAAATGAGAAAAGAAAACCTTTAGCAGGAAATTTAATGGGACAAGCTACAGTTCCTGTTGCAGGCCTTGGAACTCCCGGCTGTAGAACCCCACCATGTCCAGAATTCCAGCAGTTCTAAGTCACTTGCGGATATGCCTGGCTAAGCTGAGAACATGAATGTGTATGTAATGCTGTCTGTTCCAAGTGAATGGAAATTGCTTCTGATTTTCCTTCCTGGTAGAGATTAAAAAGAACACATTTGCCGGATTAATACCTACATTCAGAGTATGAGAGGGCATGTGGATTCAGTCAAGTAATGAGGGAACATCCAGCTAGCAGTTGCTATTGGAGCTACCACTTCAAGTTTACGGTTACTTGCTGGGATCTGGTACCATAGACCCATCTTGTGTCAACAGGGACCAGACCAGTGAATTAATAGGGATAGGATCATGGCCACCATTTCTGAGCTCTGTAAGTCTTTGTATGTCTCTGTCATTCTATTTAGAATACAGGACTGATTCTGATTTACTAAATTGGTCAGGACTGGAGCAGGGGACAGGTACAGTTTTAGGGGCTTCTTTTTGTACTATTCTATTATTATGTTACAGGTAAAGAAGCCAATGTGACTGAGGGCTTGACCAATGTAAGTATATTCATCTTGATCATAGATGATCATAATTTCAGCCTAGTAATCAAGGCTGAAATTTACATCTTGCAGGATTGGTTCTGTAGGCCCACTGAAAGATCTATGACACGGACAAGGCCCCAACTCTATTTATTGCCTGGTTCCCATAGCCTGCACTATAACCAGAGGCCATGAAGCAATTGTGAGTCTCCTGGTATAAGGAGACTTCAGACCCTGCATCTAACAGTCTAGATAACTCCTGTACTCTAGTAAATAGCTTCAGGAAAAAAATGGATGAATTACTATTGCTTACGTTTAGTGTGCCCCTGCATTGCAAGGCTTGAAAGCAGCTGTTTCCTCCTTTCATTGATAAACTCTGAGTCTGAGAATTGTCTCAGGTCTGAAAACTCATTGAAGAATAATACTTTTTCTAAGGGGTGACATTAGCTACCAGCCCATCTGCTGTTCAATATTTTTTGCTGCATAGATCAAGTAGCATCTATTTGTCTTTCTACACTGCTTCTAGTCTCCCCAGGGTCCATCAGACATCATCACAGATTGTGGGGTCAGGGGTCTGTGGTTACCGTTCTAGCCTCATTGCTCATTTCACAATTATGCCCACCTTGCTTTTGATGCTTGAGTGCAGCCACCAGCTCCATCACCACCTTCAACACAAGAAGCCCATTTGCACAGGGATACCTCTTACCATCCAGCCTGGTCCACAAAGGAGAGACACCACTGAGCTTCTCAATGATGCCAGTGCCTCCTCACTAGGCTTTTCTTACTGCTTTAGTAAAGGGACTGTTTTATGGTCCCTTCCAGGACATATGATTACCTGGCGGGTTCTCATATTTTATCCAGTAAATCAATTCTAGAATGCCTGCTCCTTGAACCCATTTCATTCCTTCCACAATACTCTCAAGAAAACACCGGCCGGGCACGGTGCCTCATGCCTGTAATCCCAGCAATTTGGGAGGCCGAGGCGGGCGGATCACGAGGTCAGGAGATCGAGAGCATCCTGGCTAACACGGTGAAACCACGTCTCTACTAAAAATACAAAAAAAAAAAAAAAAAAAAAATTAGCCGGGCGTGGTGGCGGGCGCCTGTAGTACCAGCTACTCGGGAGGCTGAGGCAGGAGAATGGTGTGAACCCGGGAGGCGGAGCTTGCATTGAGCCGAGATCGCGCCACTGCCCTCCTCCAGCCTGGGTGACAGAGCAAGACTCTGTCTCAAAAAAAAAAAAAAAAAAAAAAAAGAAGAAGAAAACGCCAGGATCTCCCCATCACATTTCCAAGCTTCAAGGAGCACTTCCTGCTGCACATTAAGATCAGTTTAAGCATCCTTACCAGGAATTAAATAAGAGGTGTACTGGAATAAATGTGTCTCTCCAAACTTCATATGTTAAAATCCTAATCCTTAAAGTGATATATTAAGAAGTGGTTAGGTCATGAAGGTGGAGCCCTGATCAATGGTATTAGTGCCCTTATAAAAGAGATCCCAGAGAGCTCTCTCTGTCTTATGGGGACGTGGTGAGAAGATGGAAGAGAATCCTCATCAGAATTCAATTTTGCTGGCTGGCACCCTGATCTCAGACATTTAGCTTCCAGAACTGTGAGAAATCGCATTTCTGTTGCTTATCAGCTTTATATCCTCCCCTTTCTTAATCTTGGGCACAAAACATCCATTCCAGGAATCCTTTTCCAGTTCTTGACCGCGTGTCATAGTGAAATGTGACACGATAATTGTGGAAAATCCCTTTCTCTGAACCTGGGATAAAGCTTCCCTCTGAGCTGCTGAGCCTCTGAACCAGTGACTGGTCTAGAGCAGTGAGGAGGTGGGAAGGGGCAGTAGGAAGCTGGGGGCAGATATAGGAAACAGAAACATCATCTCATGAGGCAGCTGTCTCAGCAGAGGCCTTTCAATATCCTACACGTGGAAGTTGCTGTGCTCTCACAAGTGGTAGAGAACCACTTCTAAACCGGAGAGTTCATGGGAATCAGGGTGTTCAAGGTTCTTAAGCCAATACACCCAGATGTCTCCACTCGGTGTCTCAGGGTTCCACTGCTTCCCTATCAGGACACCAACCTCAGTGTAGGAGGCTTGCTGGGCTTCAGAATGCTGCCTTCTTTTTAATCATGTTACCTGCACAGTGAAGCCCTGGGGCTGTTTTTCCAGCAGGCTCTGCCCTCTGGTAACAGGAGATGAAGGTGTTTAAATTTTCCCATTACTCTATGCCTGAAAGATAGGTAGATTGAGTCTGTAATTGTATTTTTTCAATGTAACCACACATTTCTCCATGGTCTTCCGCAATGCCATGGTCTCCATATATCTTGAAAGCTAGAGATCCTGCGTAAACCAGTGAATTCCATCCCAACTCACCACAGTTGTGTTTCTTATTAGTTGTGGTGGTGAAGCATGCTAGTGTGTATCACTACTCCCTTTTAACACCAGTAAAGGGGTCCTTGTTGCCATCTTGCAAGCAAGCAGTCTAATTTTTAAATCTCATTCTGAATATCTACTTCCTGTAGCTTTTTCTGCCACCAACTGTCTGAGATTAGTTACCACTAGAACAGAACCTGATCCGGGGACTCCAGTGCAAACAGTTTATTCTGAGAGTGATTCCAAGAAGCTTCAGTAGGGGAGTGGGAAAGTGAGAGAGTGGGGAAAAAGCATTTAATAAATTTTACTATCAAGCACTTTGCAATTGAGGGTAATAAGAGCCTGATCCCACTGAAGAAGTCTTGGGTGTTAGAGTCAAACTGCATCGCAGAATTATCCCATCTAAGGGGCAAAGAGAATAAAACATGCACATCAATTCCAACTGGTCTTTTGTTAAAGGCTGCTTTTGAGGGACATAGATTCCCTGGTACTTCAGGCATGAACTTGGTCTTCAGACACAAGAGAAAGCAAGCAGGTAAAGAGAAGGAGGTGCTGGCATTTGGAAGCTGAGCTGACGTGCATGGAAGTAGTAAGATCAAGGGAATCTGGGTAGGACACTGCCTTTTGGCTACGCTTGGATAAAAGGCAACCTAAAAAGTAAAAATAGCATGTTCTAAAATTATAACCTTATAGCCTTTTTATTCAAGCCTGCAATGCTAACATATATTTATCCATTCTATTCTTAGCGCTACTAAAATTTCATTTCAATAGACCCTTCTTATCATTAATAGTTACAAACTAGTTTTATATATACTATTTCCATTTCACTTGTCTTGTTATGAAAAGTCCTATAATTTAGAAAATTTCTGCAATCTATTGGAAGAATAATATAAAATATAAACATAACATCAAAAATAATAAAACTTCTTGCTAAATAGGAAGATGTAACCAGATTGAGAAACTTATGACGCTAGATAGAAAAGTAACAATTTAAGAGGTAAGACAAGCAATTTGCATATACGAATATGACTGGCTGAAAACACACATATGCATACACACATGGACATACGTGGGTCTAGGTGTGTGTGCATATATATAAATATAGGTAACATTTCCGTGAAAAACTTAACTTTATCTTTGTTGGAAAAGAGAAAGAGAATATCACTTTAAGTTGGTGGTACTGATAAGGGAGATTTATACCATATAATGGTTATAAACACACACACACACAGACACACACCACCCACACACACCCACTCAGGCATAAATATACATAATTGTCCTCAAAATAAGAAGGGTTGAATATTCAGTCCAACTGAGAAGTCGTTCTCTGTTGTTGAGATGCATTCTTAAAAATATATTTGCATATCTGTTTATCAAAAATCAGTAAAATCAGACATATTATTTGCAAGGAATGGCATGTTCCTGAAATTTTATTTATCTGTATATTCACTTACATAAATGAAATATAAATAATTACATATAGCTATATATAGTTATATGTATAGATTCCTATTTAACTATATAACTCTCTACATATAGTTACAAAGTTTCCTGCTGGGGTTACATTTTAGCTTTAGAATTCCACTGAAAAAAATTGAAAAGACTTGGAAATCCTAGGGCTGCATTTAGCTGACAGTACAGAGACCATTACTAGCATTACTGGTCCTACTGTCCAAAAGACTTACAAATTCGATTGAGGCATCTCCACTTTCTATCCTGAAAACCACCCACCCTATACACAACACTGTGGCAGCTCTTTGCCTAAGTGAAGGTGATTATCAGGTAATATCACATGCAGTAGCTTGAAATCATTGGTGATGGATTTACATTTTAAAAGGCTGAATCAGATATAGAAAGCAATTTATCATGGTCAATACAAAGTATATGTACATTGTCTTGTTTAATATGAAATTTTAATATAGTGTGGTGGCAGAATCTGTGCTGTTAGGTGATATTATTTGGCTAACAAGAGCTGAGAGGGGAATTGCAGAAGCATAAAATGTCAGCTGGAGGAGAGATCATAAAAAGCTCATGAAGGAATCGCCTTTGGATAAAAGAAAGGTCCAGAAGTGTGGAGAGTGTGCTCAGAATACTGGTCTCTAAGACATATTTTCTGGAGTTTTTCAACAAATACTTCATGCATGGCTACTCAGTAGCATGCACAGTGCCAATCCATTCTAATTCTCTATGAATATCAACAAGAGTTTTACAAGACAGTGTCAAAGTAGGTTAGTTGAGAGTCATTATTCATTAAATAGCAATGAAGTCACCTAACTGAAACTTAAGGCAGATATCAGCAAGAGAAAACACCAGAAGAATACACATAAAAATACATCAGATCAAGGGTAAAAACAAAGAAATATCCAAGATGTAGGTCAGGCTTTGCCCTTTCAAGGTAACAAACTGAGCACATACTGCAACCTCTTGCCCCTGGTAAAACAGCATAACAAGTTTAAATACAGAAATAAAACCATAATTGAGTTGTAAGTGTTGGGAAGAAGAAATTATCATCTCTGAGGCAGCATCAGCATGGATAGCACATTCCATGCTCAGTAGATGTGAGAGTCTAATGACTGTAGCACTAGGTGGTCTTAGGTATTAGAGAGGTCTATGAAGCATAGAGATCAAGCCGAAATCTACCTGTCATTGGCCAATGACAATAATATGAAAACAATGAAAGAAAAGTCCAACGAAATAGAAGATAGGTCCAGATGTTCCACACCTCATCTAACATAGTAGTTCTCAACCAGAGGTGATTTGCCACTGGGCATTTGGCAGTGCCTAGAAACATACTTCATTGTCACAACTGAATAGAATAGTGGAAGTAGCTGCTGGCATTTAACAGGTAAAGACAAGAAATGCTGCTAAATATCTTACAATGCACTGGGTGGCCCTCAATCCAAATAATTATTTGACCCAAAATGTCAGTAGTGTCAATTTTTTTTTTAATGCTAGAAATTCTGGAAGAAAAAAAGGTGCAATGAGTGGTAAGTGTACTATAGAAAATTATTAGATAATGTTATAGTCAACCTCCAAATTTAAGTTGTGTGACAAAAGAGAAACATACTTTTACTCAAATAACCATTCAATGCAGGTGATCTTGGGCAGTGAATAAGAGGCTTTTCTCCCTGGGTTGATTCAGGCATTCAGTCTCCTTCCATTTTGTAGCTCTTTTTTTTTTTTTTTTTTTTAATCAGGAATGGCCCAAGAATCCTGTGTCTGTAGTGTGACGAGGGGAAAGAGTAAGTGAATGTGGCATATCAGCTTCTTAAATACCCACACATCACTTCTGACAGGTACTGATGTGGATACTTCTAGTTGCAAGAGGCTTAGGATAGTTAGTTTCTGGATAAACAGCTATGTTGCAATGAAACTCCCATACTATAGAAAGAGCATGGATTTTGGGAACAACTAGCTCATTCAAGACTCCATCTGCCCCTCTTACAAGAAAATAACTGCATGAGTTACTTTTTACTTGTACAGAGAACATTTTCCATCCTTTCCAAGGAAGACAAAGCAAAGTCCCATCCAGTGTCTGTATCCAGATCAGCCTTGAGGAGGATGAGACGAATCATCAGCTTCCTCATCTGTTCTACATGAAAGTTAGATGACACATCAGTCTCCCCATTGTTCCCACCACCAAAATCAAATTATAGAGTGATGGAGCCTCAGGTAATACTGCATAATACCCGAGAGTCACTAGGCCATATGAAATGTGCTATGCAGGCAGGGGGAGGGCCCCCTGCCCTTGCAATGAAGGAAGTTCCCTGACAAGTCTCTGAATCTGCTCTCTGTAAGGAAGTCTCATTGATTGAAAGATTCTTCCACTATACATCCTGTCTTCTGTTTCCAAATGCTGGGAACTTCCTCCTTGTTCAGTTTCTTCCTAGACCACATCTGAAAGAATGCCATCTTGGAGAAGAGAATGCCATCTTGGAGAAGAGAATGCCATCTTGGAGAATGCCATCTTGGAGAATGGCAGTTTCCTAGCCTGATTTTGGGTTTTTCACCATCATAGGATTACTTGGGCCAGACTCAAGGTATCCTTGGGAATATAATCCCCACAAATGCCATTGGCCTTTTGAGCTATTTCCTTCTGTTTTCAGTAACCCCAGGTAAAGTCATTGTCTCTGTGTAAATCTCAAGTTGGCCAATTTCTTCCGCCTATGTTTTCTCTCTTGTAAACCTAAAGGAGACCACTTTGAAACCATTTAAAACAATTTGGTGATTAAGATTAAGATTAAAACAGATTAAGGAAACCATTAATCTGATCTTTGCCACAGGGCTTAGCTTCCCTGTTTAAGTGATGATTCTTCCCCGACCTTGTTGTTCAAAGTTTTTACTTTCAGCCTTATTCATTTCACTCTGGTATTCAGCCAGGTTCCAGTTTTACAATGTGCCACATCTCTGCATTCTCTCTTTGGCCTTTACTTCTTATCTCAAACAAATTGACTTTTGCTCAATTTTATCTCTTGTTGCATCAAGAAACTACCATCACGTGCAACTAATAGTTATCTAACCTCGTATCTTGAAGCTATGGGCTTGGCCAGCGTGTGTTCTGATTTCCAAGTTATCACAGCTGGCAGCTATTGTAATGGGTCACCACACACATATTGTGACCAATCTTTATCTTCTCAGACTCTGGTATGTTTCCTGACTGTTCATCACTTGATTATTGAAGCAGTACTGCATGTTTTCTTTTCTTTGTGTATTTGCACTCTGAGACCTATGGAGTATTAGGTAAGAAATAATAGTCACACTTAGATACATTACAGTACAATTCAGAATTTTGAAAATTAAAAAATGCTAAAAGTTTTACAGAGAAAGAACAATAACAGCTCACAGTTATTCAGCCTTTTCTATTTGAAGGCCTAAGTATCTCTTTTAACTACATAATTTAACCATTACAATGATCTGAGGAGGTAACTAATATTATTATCATTACGTTACGGGCATGAAAACTAGGGCACAAATTATTTAAATAGCTTCCTCACATAACATGTATATATAGTAAGTGGTATATCCAAAATTCAAAATCTTAACTTTTAATCCTAGTCTATGCTAATTTTTCTAGTACCTTCGAAGGAATAAGAATCAGATATATAACATATGCTTCATTATCTCCAGTGAATGCAGCAGACAGTTAAGAAATATTGTTAAAGTATCAAGGCATGATAAATTTTATCCTGTGTTTTATACACAGCTAAAGGAAAATTCATGTTTGAGAAAATATATTACTATTTCAGATATGTAAGTGATTCAAAAACATACCACAAAGATTGGTTTACATATCAGTAAATATAGATGTAATCAAAGATATACAATTATGCACTGCAAGGCAATTACATTTGACCTAAAAGCGTAGCTAACAACAATATGGTACAGTGTGAAGTAAGAAACTGAGAACAGGATATGTTATAGGTATTTAGTGTCTCTATATGGTTAGAAAAATATAAAACTTAAACATGAAATATAAAAATGTGTTACTATTGAAAGAAGAAAAATCACATCTATAAAAATTCTTGGAACTGAGTGGGTGCTAAATAACTAAGTTAGGTGAATTATTTAATAAAATAGATGCAAATGAGACAAAAACAGATGGACCTTAATAAAGTTTGAAAGTCAGACTGTGTGGTGATCAGATGGTTGAGTATCCTGACAGCCCCACACATACAGGGTGTGTGCATTGCATTCACTTACAAATTCTTGCCCACAGCTCTTCACTGAATGTTAAAAAGAAATATTGGTGGCAGAAGAAGAGAAGTAGGAGTGACTTCCTGTGAGGAAAATCTGAGGGCAGGACAGATAAACTGTAAAAACCCCTCCAGACACTCCACGTTTTACAGTGAAAACGTGTAGTGGCCACTTGCTGCTTTGGCGAAAGGTGACCATGCCAAGAAACACAAGGGCAAGCCCATTGGGCCTCCTGGAGTGCCGGAGAATGGAGACACCCTTTGGGGCACTAAAGCCCAAGCTCTGCTAAGGGAAGGCCCTGATACTTGCCTCAAATGAGTTGAGTTGAATTCAAGCTGCACTAAACTTAAATCAACAACAAAGCCCCAGTCTATCTCAATTATAGACAATGGCTCAAATCAGCAAACCAGAGGCCTGATAAAAGACAAGCCATGGAATTTTCCAGACAATGTTATTTATTTAACTTCCTGCTGTTCTTGTAAACATTTAATCAACCATTACATGATTCCTAAAGAAGCAAGAAAATATAACTCACACTTAAAATTTCAACAGAACTAGTCACACAGATGATCGAGATATTGTAATTATCAGAGAAAAACTTTAAAATAATGATGTTACATATTTGAAAGGATTTAGTGAAAAAGATGGGTAATAGGTATGAATGTAGGGGCAAATTTAAGGAAACTTCTTTAACCATGCTTGACACAGTAAGCACTTCATAATTATTTGTTGATTACATTGAAAATAAAGATTAAATTTGTTACCCTTCATGATAATCCTCTGAGCAATGGAATAAAATTCATATAATTATATCAGCAGTTCCCAACCTGTTTGACACCGGGAGCTGGTTTCATGGAAGACAATTTTTCTACCAACTGGGGTGAGGAGGGGATGGTTTCAGGGTGATTCAAGTGCATTAAATTTATTATGCACTTTATTTCTATTATTATTACATTGTCATGTACAATGAAATAATTATACAATTCACCATAATGTAGATTCAGTGGGAACCCTGAGCTTGTTTTCCTGAAACTAGATGGTCCCATCTGGGGGTGATGGAAAACAGTGACAGATCATCAGGCATTAGATTCTCATAAGAAGAATGCACCTAGATCCCTCACATGTGCAGTTCACCGTAGGGTTCAGGGTCCTGTGAGAATCTAATGCCATGGCTGATGTGACAGGAGGTGGAGCTCAGGCGGTATTAGTATTACAAAGGGCAATTAAGAGTGGTTTTGTAACTTTTGAATTTCCATTTAAAACTCTACATTACATTACCTTCTGTGAAATTTTTAAATCCCTTGACTTGATCTCTGTGAACTTTTCAAACTAAACAGTTTCCTTGATTTAAAATAATGAATTTTTATTGTTTTTATTTTATTATTTTATTTTTATTTTTTATTTTATTATTTTATTATTTTTATTATAATAGAGGCAAAGTATAGGAAGGAAAGCCACTGATTTTTTGCCTTCTCACTATCCATTCAGTCTTTCTCAAAGTCAGATAGAATTAGTCATTACCTTTTTAAGAAAGTTTAATGTTTTTGCTTTTTGACTGTTATTTTTTCCTACCATATATAATTTTATTTCATTTTTTATATAAGGTGTATGGTAACCATAAGTTTCGTGCATACATATAAGACTAGTTAAGACCAAACTTAGCAATGACAGGCACTAATGTGTTGAAAATAGTTTTGTTTAATATGTAATAAAGATTCTGTAGTTTAGACATGCAGTGTATTAATGAAATTAACTTAAATCCATCTCAAAGCATGTGTTCTCAAGTATGGATGACCAAGACACATTGATCTAGATGAGAAACACTTATTATTCGTAGGTTCTCCTTTCCTAGTTCTACGAAATGTTAAATTTGTCTTCTCTGTCACCCTGGAGCCAAATATTATTCAGACAGATCCTACAAGGATGATGTATTAGTCATTTCTCACACTGCTAATAAAGACATACCCAAGACTGGGTAATGTATAAAGGAAAGATGTTTAATTGACTCACAGTTCAGCATGGCCTGGGAGGCCTCAGGAAACTTACAGTCATGGCAGAAAGGGAAACAAACATGTCCCTCTTCACACAGTGGCAGCAAGGAGAAGCGCTGAGCAAAAGGGGCAAAAGCCCTTTATAAAACCATCAGATCTCATAAGAACTCACTCACTATCACAAGAACAGCAGCATGGGGGTCACCACACCCATGATTCACTTACCTCCCACCAGGTCCCTCCCATGACATGTGGGGATTATGGGGACTACAATTTAAGATGAGATTTGGGTGGAGACACAGCCAAACCATATCAGATAACATGATATTAATGTTAAGTCATCCAAAGACAATAAAGAAATTTAATATTGTGAAATAAGACTCTATCTGAGATACTACTATGGTTATGAGAATAATTTGATTGAATGTGTGCATATGTGAGCATGAGTGTGTGTGAGTGTGTGTGTGTGCATAATTTACTTTAAAGGGAATTTTAAAAAGAAAGTTTCAGGTAAGTTTGGGTATTAATTAACTTAATTATTGTCATAAATTTAGAGAATTCCAAGGTGATGACTACTCGGCTAGTACTTCATAGTAGAAAGAGCACAAACTTTAGTGACTAACTTACATGGAATCCAATGCTTGTTGCACGGTACACCAGTTGTTTGACTTTGGACATATGACATAACCCTCTCATGCCTCAAATTCCACATTTAGAGCATGAGAAAAATAGTGAGTATAACATAATGTCTGGCATAGAGAAGAAGGCTCTTGGTAAGTGTTAGGTCATTTCCTCCCCCACTTTCACTCTTCACGGAATAGGCAAGTCCTAGTAGTTTGGTTAAAACTCTTGGTTTCATTCATTATTTTCACTTTATAAAAATACTCAGATTCTCCTTAGTGCCTAAATTACTCAGTGAATTAAAAGAAAGTGTCATTGAAACCTATGTTACATTTATGGATCTTTTAAGCATATAAGCACTGCAGTTATCTTATTTACAAAGATGCTATTATTCACCTACTATAAATCAAGCTTACAATGGCTCATTCTCAACTGTACAATGTAAAAGATAATAGAAGACATTATTAATCTTTACTTACATTGAGAGTAAAAAGGTCATATGTTCGTTTGAGCTTACGTAGAGGGTATTGTGGTATATTGGAGTAGAATTCGGCTACCTTGCAGGTTAGTCCAAATGCATCTACCTGCCACAGGACCTACTGAGGCTTCCTGGTCCTCTTCTCTAATTTGGGGCCACCATAGTTATGGTATAGGCTAAAGATAAGCCTCTATTTATAAAAAAAAATAGAACCTTAGCTTTACAGAGATAGGAGAAACTTGGATAATAAGAACACATCTGAATTTATACATGAAGGTCTGGAGTCATAAATAAGTAAAATGATTTGCTCGAGGTCACATGGCAGAGTCAGGTAGGAAACTCCTGTATGCTAGTAACTCCTCTTTTCTCCACCATATCATACAGGAGAGTTTTCATTCTTTTTGTGTTCTTATGATTCCATGCACTGGAGCATATAACAGCACTATTGAATCTTCTCAGACTATAGAAAATTTGAAGCCTTAACTTTATTTTAATCTATGGTTTAGCTATATATTCAGAAGTCATTATGGGCACTGTAACTCCCTCTTTTACTCTATAAAATATTTTACATGGTGCATATTTTATACAAAAACACAAAATAGGTGATCAGTAAAAATTGAATGGTCATTTAATTTTGAAATAGATTGCAGATGATATTCTCTTATAATAATGAAATACTTTCAAAATACCCCCAAATTATTGTTATGCACTGAAAGTTAGTTGTATTGACTATAGCTCATAGCAAAAGTGCCACTGGCAAGAATTTGGAAATCTTTGTTATATAGGGGGTGTTTTAATATGTGTTTTAATGGTATTTGCACACAGCAATGCACTTGTAGAATATTACTAGCTTTAGGCTTTCTCTAACCCTGAACAAACTCAATTCCCAAGCTCCCAGAGCAATTTTTAAGCAGAAAGGGAGAAGGCAGATCTGAAGACAAACATATAGTAGTGATCCCATACTAGGTGAAAATCAGAATTGAAAATGGTAGGGTCAAACACTATTTAATAGTTGTGGCACAATATTCTGACCACTATTACTTTGACATGCTGGGGTGGAGGGTAAGCAAGACCATCTCAGTGGAAAAGAGTACTGTCATTATGATGTGCTCCAGATTTCGAGGCAAAAACTTACATCATAGCAATATTAATAGTAAGGATACGCAATATTTATTAATCACTTACTAGGTGCTTTTGCTGAAAAAGTGTTCTTTAGTTCTGAGATATGTTTAATCTTTGGAAGAAGTCTGTTTGATATACTATAAATTTTTCTATTTTTGTCCAGAATAATACATCTATTAATGGATACATCAGGGACTAAAATACAATTATTTATAAATCCATAGTAATCAAATAATATAATATAGCATCTTTCCATATGAAGTCCTAGTAATCATTTTTGCCAATCTAAATATAAGAAAGAAAATAAAAAATATGAATAATAAAAGCCATAAAAATATTACTTAATATTAGTGATTTGAGACATGAGCGTGTTTCTGGACTCTTGATGTTACATATGTCATAATTGCCCTGTTTTCTTGGGAAATAAAACTCTGAGGAAACTCATAAAAAGATTTGTTTTATAGAAATATTTTGAGAATAAGAAAAATTTTGTTTATTATTATATACAGTCTAAGATATCAGAAATGTTTAAAATCATTTTAATTGTCTATATTTTCTATGTATTAGTCTACATTTCCTGAAAAGTTCATTTTATTCCATTTTTAAAAGCTTATAGATGAAAAATTTTAAGAGAGACACATTTAGTTGAGTATTGAATTCTAGAAGTAGATAATCCACAGGGAAAGCATGGACTAGTTCCACTGACATTTTATGGGTCCTATTGGATCTCAGTTACATAGTTCTTTTTTCAATCTTTAAGGGTTTTAATGGATTTAGCAGATTAATAAAATTTGTTTTCCTCTAAATCTTTTAACCTTTCACTTTTTATTACATGGTGCAGCACACACTGTTTTCACATAGAGGGCAGCTTTGTCCCTCTGAATTGCAGACTCTCTGCCATTTGTACAGCCTTCTCCAGACAGACAAAACTGAGCAGAGTCCAAAACATTATAATAACATTTGTCTCCGATGTTGATGAGGGCCAACACATATTAATTTGTCATTTGCTGCATATTTATCCACCAGATTGCAGACTATTTCCAGACTGAGGCAGTTAAAAGCCTTTATTAAAAATGATGCTTTTGAAATCTAATTTATGTCAGCATGCATATATTTTTGTCTAATTTTTTTATGTTTTACAAGCTAATAATATTTCAAAAGTGACAAACAGGAATGTTAGATTTATGAATCTATTTTTTAATTAATTTCTCTTATTACAAAGTCATTTTATTTCTCTTTTTGCTATTCCAGCCTTAAATATTTTAGAGGGTACCATTACAGTGGTAGCTGGTAGTTACCATGACAATCATAATTTTAAGCAACTCTGCCTCAGACCTTTATAGTGAGATATTATCAAACAAATAGGATGCATAAAGGAATCAGGGTAAGTAATGCAATAAATATTTGAACAGAGTTTTTCTAATCCCACATATAGAAGCAAAGGGTAAGTGTGAAGTTTGTGTTTACATATGCGGCTATGCTAATATCTATAACAATGTTAATTTCCAAGTTATTAAAAACATATAAAGTTTTTTATAAGGATAAGTGTGAATTGCAAAACAGTGCAGACTCAATCTATACATACAACTTAAAATGTCTTCACAGAAACATTTTTGCTATAAAAGGGAAAGTAAGAAAATAAAAGGAAAAAGAAATCACATTTTAAACATTGAAGAAATACATGTTTGACAAATATTTTTACAAGCAAACTACATGAAACCATCTGATATGTTGCTACATACTTGTATTGCGACATGAATAACCTATGACATTGATTTTCGATTAATAACCTATGGCATTGGTTGTCAATATATGTTATTCACCCGGCTAATGTGACATTTTAAGGTCTGATTGTTGACTTCTTCTGGACTTTAGGCTTTGGTCCATATGCTATAAGTGATATAAAGATTTAGAAATATGGTCTTTGCCTACTACAAGCTTAAAATATAATAAGGAAAATAGAAAAATAAATAAGTATGGTATAATAAACATTCCAAATTTATGGTACAAATAATAAGCAATATAGAAATCAGATGAAATTATCAAACTAGAATCTTTATTGTACAGGTCTGAGAAAATACTAAATGTCAGCTGGTGGCATCCCAAAAACTGAGCTTGATGCCTGATGCTGCTACTTATTTTCACGTGTCATTTACAAAGTTTCTTTTTCTCTCTAAGCTTCATGCATTCATCGGATAGCAACCCTGTGTTGGTTTGGTCACGCAGTTATAACAGAGCACCACACACTGGAAGGTTTAAACAGGAGATATTTAGTTTCTTAAAATCCTGGAAAGCAGAAATCTGATATCACTGTGTTAGCAGGGTTGGTTTCTTCTTTTTTTTAATTTAATTTAATTTAATTTTTTGAGACGGAGTCTGGCTCTGTCGCCCAGGCTGGAGTGCAGTGGCGCGATCTCGGCTCACTGCAAGCTCCGCCTCCCGGGTTCACGCCATTCTCCTGCCTCAGCCTCCGGAGTAGCTGGGACTACAGGCGCCCGCAACCACGCCCGGCTAATTTTTCTATTTTTAGTAGAGACAGGGTTTCACCGTGTTAGCCAGAATGGTCTCGATCTCCTGACCTTGTGATTCACCCGCCTCGGCCTCCCAAAGTGCTGGGATTACAGGCGTGAGCCACCGCGCCCGGCCCAGGGTTGGTTTCTTCTGAGGCCTCTCTCCTTGGCTTGCAGATGGCTATCTTCTCCATGTCTTCATGTGGTCTTCCCGTGTGGTGCGTCTGTGTCTAAACCTCTTCTTGTAAGGACACCAGTCATAGTAAGTTCAAGTCCATCCTAGCTGCCTCATTGTAACTTAATTACCTCTTTAAGGACCCATCTGCAAATACGGTCACATTCTGAGGAACTGGGGTTTAGCACTTTGATATATAAATTTGGGGGTAAAACCGCAGCTTATAAGAATCACTAATAGTACTCATGTCATGTGAATGTTGTTAAAATAGGCTATTACTTGTGAAAACACATTGTAAACTTAAAATGGGTAATCAAGGTTAAATGGTGCTTTAGGCAGGGTAGGCATCAACTGCTATCAAACACACAAAAATAATAATTCTCAGGGACTTAAGACAATAAAAATATGATACAAACCCATGAAAAATCCAATGTAGATGTTCCCAGTAAGCACACGGTGAATTGAAGATGTAGGCTAGTTCCATCATGTTGTAAGGTCTTGGTGTCCTTTCCTGAATTCTGTGCTTCCAGGCAAGAGGTGGAAAAAGATAGTATAGGAAATGTGTAGGGAGGACGTGTGAGAGGATCAGGCCCAGAAGTGGCAACCACCCTCCCACACACATTCCACATTCCATGAACAACAGTCCCGTGGTCCCAACCAGATATGAGGAGCCTGGGAAATATGGTCTAGTAGTGAACAAAGAAAGGGATAAAGAATATAGGTCTTCTTAATTGTGGTGAAAAATTAGTAAGAAATTTTCCAAAAAAAATTAGCCAATCCTTGCCATAAAAATTATCTGTACATTTATTTTAATTGGACTTTGAAACATAAGTAGGCGTCCAAAGATGAAAATGGGGCAGTGATTACATTCTAAAGAAAATGATATGACCAATAGATAAAAAATGTATGATTCTTTAAATCAAGGAAATACAATGTAGAGGTGAAAAGTCTGTAGCTAGGGCCTGGGGGTTATATTCCTGCTTCTTCCATATTTTTAGCCGAGAAGCAATCCATTGTTAAATTCTCTAAGCTTCAGTTCCTTCCAAAGTCAATTACCCACAGTATTACCTTATTGCTACTATAATATAACATCTCATAGGTATTTTTGTTAGAATTAACATGGAGAATATGAATTGAGTAATTTGCACATCTCATGGTGTATTGTGAGCACTTAATTAAGACTCAATAATATTGTGATGTTCCATGGCAACAGCGGACAAAGATCTACTGCCTAAACCAGTGTATTTTTTCATCTCTATTTCCTAATTTGGTCGAAGTTAATATCTTATTAACTGAAGAAGTTATAATGAAAACTGTGAAGATGAAGGCAGAACACATAGCTTGGAGGATCATGTTAGATGCTCACACTGAAGACCCAATCAAGTACTATTGCCGCTACTTGCTTGGCAATAGTACGTGATTGGGTCTTCAGTTTTTAAAAATTTTAGTAGTTTATGGTTCAAGAGTTCTAGGGAAATTCCACAAAGATATTTTTCAAAATGGTGTCCAAAACTACATGTATTCATTCTGAGAGGAAACTTACCCACCTCATCTCACCCAGAACCCATTTCAATGAAAAGATTGACTTGCTTAATTAGACTCACACAGAGTTTTGGTTCTGCTCCTCCGGTTGAATCTTTGACAAAATTCAAGCTAAAGAAATTTTGGAATTTCACTATGAATACTTCTTGGCATTAGTGATAACTGTTGGAGACTAGACCTTTGTCCATAGACTGGCTAAAAAGTGAGTTAACTTCAAAAATAGCCCCTGAGAACATTCATTTGCTTGGGCACTTACCAGAGAAGCACTCAGGACTTGGACATGATTATAAACCAAAATGTCAACACTATGAATTACATGTAGAAATAAAGAGGCAGCCAGAGTGGGCTCTAGAGCACAGCTGGTGGAGGCGCCACAAATCCGATGACCTTAAGCGTATGGCAACTGTTGTCTTCCAGCTGGGACTTCTGGGTGTCACTCAGTGCTATTATCCCAAAGCAGATTACCAGAATTAGCTCTCAAATCATTTAAGGCTCAAACTTCAGAAAATCTAAATAAGCAAATGAGCATGTACCTAGAGACCATATATTTAACGAAACACATGTTCGGCAATATTTCAAAACAGATCTATATAAATTTCCCAAACTTTGTATTGTAATGTAAAATATCATAACTTAGATCATTTCTACCTACCTAAATATTCCTAAGAGAATTCAAATTGTTAACTGAGTTTGGGGTGATTTCTGTATCTCATAACTGTAACTGTGAATTTGAATATATATATGTATACATATATTTTATTTTTCCAATACTAGCAGTAGTAGGGATCAGTCAAATTAGCTAAACCAGATTGAGGAGTCAAAAACATTATAATTATAAAAAACTCAGTGGCTTTCAGGTTGCAAATGTTAAGTTTACTCTCTAATTATCTATTATATGTTGTAAAGTTATACATATATTTAGTAACATTTACCTTGTAAGAAATATCAAAAGACAATAATAAACATAATAATAAAAAATCTCTCTTTTGGATAGTAAATGTTGCATTTATCCTCTGATTATCTATTAGATACTTAAAAGGTATATATAAATTTAGTAACATTTACCTAGTAAGAAATATCAGAAGACAAAAAAATAGTTAAGCGTATTATGATAATAAAAAAACTCAATTAGTTTCTTCTAGATAGTAAATGTTAAATTTACTTTCTGATTAGCTATTATATATTTAAAATATATATTTAAATTGAGTAACATTTACCTAGTAAGAAATATCAAAAGACAAAAAAACGTAGTTCACGCATGTGGAACCATATAAAATGAAGCATTTAACATTGTATACATCTATCAAAATAGTCAAAACATATATATTTTTAAAGTCTATTTTTGTCTTGTGTTGTGGGAAATGGTGGAAAATACATTCCAAATTTAAAGCTTATTAAGCAAAGCCAAATAGCATTGGCAGATGGATACGTTATCCTGAAAGCCTAGATAGCTGCCTTTTCTGGCTCAGGAGAAACTATCTTTTAGGCCAAAAAGTATATATGCTTCAAATTTGTTCATTTAGGAAATACTTATTGAGTGTCTAGTGCATGTTTGAGTTTTGTCAAGCCATTAGGAATATAAAAGTAAACAAAGCTCCTTAGTGAGCCTACCTTCTAACAGTGGCACAGTGAAAATAGGTAGATAATTTTCTTTACAACTTCAGTATAATATGTTATGATAAGCAAGCTTCCACCAAAATCTGTCCTCCTATTTCAAATGTACATGGGGTGTGGCCCTTTCTCTCACGCTGCAAGGTGGGCAAAAGCCATGTGTGCCCACTTCTCAAAGCTTATAATGTAGCTCCCTCCTCTGTCCTCTCTTCAGCTGCTACCAAGGCAAGATTTGGAAAAAAAAAAGAAAAGAAAAGAAAAAAAACTGCAAATGAAATAAACCTCTCATCCTGAGTCCCCATGAAAAGAACAACCACCCAGTGACCAGGAATATTCACTTCGACCAAAAAGGTGAGAATAACAAACTTATTAGACTCGAACCGTTATACATCAGGTGGTCTATTTATATTTCAGTTGAACTTAGTTAACTATTACACATGGGGAAAATATGACAGCATAAGGGGAAAAGGCATGCCTAGGCTGTTGGAGTGGGGAGGAATTTAACTTGGTCAGATAAGCCCTTCTCATAAAATGACGTTGATGAATAATAGAAGATGGTCTAGGAGCCTTACCCTCCACTCACGCACCAGGTGTCCCTTGTTCTCCACTCCCACCCCAAGGACAATGCCCCATCCCTTCCCCTCTCACTCTCCTTTTCATACGTCTCCAGTGTACCCTTGTCACTGACACACTCCGATATTATTATATCACTCACTTAAAAATTCCATTTATTCCCTCATTTTTTTTCCTGCAGGTACTGTCTTTATGTCTACAACCGAAGTGCTAGAAAAGTCTGTCCATGTTTATTGCCTCTCCTTCCATTCTTCTACAGATGCTCTCTATTAAGTTTCTGTCAAGTATACCGAAGACTACATAGTCTTATGACCACTTCTTGATCCTCACCCTATAAAACCTGTCTGAGGCATCTGACAATTTTCTTCCTTGAAATGTTGACTTCAGTTAGTTTTCAGGATGCCACACTAACCTGGTTTTTGTTCTATTTTTCTTCCGATTTCTTCTCTTCTATTTGGCTTGTTACTTCTTATCTCCTTGTCCTTCTAATGTTGCACTACTCCAGTGCTCAGATCTTGAAAATCTTTTCTATCCTTCCTCATTCCCTAGTTTATTGCATTCTGTCTCATGAGTAGATATGCGCTCTATCCTCTGATAATTATTCAATTGGAATTTCACACTTAGGTCTTTCACAGGGGTGCTAGATAGTAGCCATTTCCTACTCTGTTCAAAACTGAGTCCCCAAGTTCCCTCTATCTGATTATGTTGTAATTCTTCCATTCTTAGTTGTATTCATTCACCTTCCTGACATTCTTAAGGCCCAGAAATTTGATGTTGCCAGAGACTTCTCAATTTCATTGCCCTCAGTCTTTTACTCTATTCCAATTTGTCAGTAAATCCTGGCAGCTTCAATATGTAGAATTCAGGCACATTTCACCCTCCCAACTCACTATCGTCTCTTACCAAAATGCTATAATACCTCAGTCGTTTCCAACCTGAGCTCATTTCCACCATTTCACCTTGCAGTATCTTCTCAAAAATCAGCCACAGCAGTTCAACTAAAATGCCATTCCTCACTCAAATGTTTATAATGCCTTCTCAGCTCACTCAGAGTAAAATACAAAATCTCACGACTCTAAACCCTACATGACTTAGTGTCACTTTGCCTCTTCTAGTTCCTATTTTTTCCTGCCATCCCTCTTGGGCACCAGGGCACTCTGGCACCTTGGAAGAGCCTCAGATTTAATTAAGGTTCCCCCAGGATTCACTTCTCATGGAAACGACAGATGTCAACATGGTGAGGGTTCTCACTTTCAGCAGGTGTATTCAAATCTCATCGTCCCAGTGAAGCTATCCTTGGCCACTCTATCTAAAACAGTAACTCTCGACTATGGCAGTTCATACTCTGCCTCCCTGCTTTATTGATTCTTTAGTCCTTACTTTATTTATTTATTCCTGCCCTTTTTTATTTAGTCCTTACTGTCTACAATGTAAGATCTTTGTACATAGACACAAGCTTGTTTATTGTTTCTGCTTGTTTATACACTGTGTGAAGGTAGAGTTGTCTGTTTTTTCACTTTTGTATTCCCAGTGTCTAGAACACAATGTCGTACATAGAAGATGCACAATAAATATTCATGGAATGATTGGCTGAAATAATTAGAAAATATTATAAATTGTGCATTCTATCATTGTAAATAGTATATTTATATATCCAGAGATAACATCGTCATCTTTTTTCTATCTTGCTAAGTTATGAAATACTAAAATACTTTTAAAATGTATGAATGTATAGTTTTAGTCCATTGTGTTGAAGTTTGTATATCAAAATATCATAAAAATAGAACAAACATTTAAAATGAATTCTTCCATTTTCTGTAAACCATTTTCCACCTATTACAGGCAATAATGCTAGTATGTCAGTGCCAAAATGCTAGATTCCAAGCTTTTTCCAAAGGAGCTTTAAAAAGATGAGTGTCTGAAGATATTCTTTTTTCTATGGGCTCCACTTCAGAAACAGAATTTAATCAAAATTGGCTTCTATAGTCCTGACATGATTGTATGCCATTTCCTAACCAACCTGACACCATACGGGGTTCAAAATCATTCTGGGATTGGAGGATTCACTTTTCTACTCATCAATTATAATTTCTAATAATAATGCTCCTGCCTTTGTAATTTACAATGGTTCTTTAATTTAAAAAATCGCAAAATTTCTGAAATAATCAGGTTACCTTCTGGAGTTGCAGGGTTTTTTTAAGTGAACACTAAACATTCTGCTATATATGACATTTTCTAAATATATGTTTAGAGATAAAGGCATTTGTTATCTTTGTTCTATACATGTCTTTTCTTTTTATGTCTAAAAATGAAAACACACAAGTAAAATGCTTGTTAGTAAATTTATTACTGCCAAATTCATAAATTAAATAAAAAACTCACATTATTTGGAAATGTCATTCATAGGTTATTTCACAGTAGCAAGTACAAAGGTATAAATGTCTGGCATTTAACAAGCTTCTATTCTTTCTTTAATTCCTTTTGATGTTGAGGTCTCTATAAAGATGAGAAAACCAACCTAAATGGATTTCACTTGAAAATCAAAATGAGTTGTGTCTGAAATTTTCTTGTATCTGTGACAGTTTAAATCCCTCCTGAATATTCTATACTTCTCTGGTTTTATCAAAAGAAACATGGCAAAGAGGTTAGAGTATTTTCACTCAATCAGATGATGGTAGTGAAATGGAAAGAGAGTAAGGATACTGTGTCCAGAAGTGGCTGTGTTTTATTGCTTTGTGGGCCCTGCAGCCACTTTATGAAGGCGGAGGGAGGGAGTTTCAGAGTGCAGGTGGCTACCGGCTCGCCTTCAGTACCGACCTAAGCTCTTACTCTGAAAAAGAGGCCAGGTGGCCCCCAAGGAATTATAGAAGGAAACCATGTAAAAGTTGAAATAAGAAAAGCCTAGGGAATAAATAAAAAAACATGTGTTCACAAGGGCGAGCACTCCAAGGAATGCCACCTCAGCAGAAATCTGGTAACTAGGCCAGGCGGAGAACGTTCTTCCTAGGTTAAATTATTCTTGCAAAAATCTTTCCTATCTCTTCCTTAACCTTCAATTCTGCTATATTTTTTAATGTTCAGAAAAACATTAAGTATAAATTTTAGAAACAGACTCAAATTCAGCAAATTTGATGTTACATATTTATAAAGCCATTGACTGCAATTCCTCCAACTGGTTAATATGTAATCCTCCTGATGAAATTGACAGGTAATTGATGTTTTTATTTTCAGTTTGAGCATTCATCTTAGTATCAGTGTAATTTAGACTACGCAATAATATAACTGCATTAATGAATAGTTTTTTAATTATATTTTAACATTTCATATTCAAATTTTACAAGAATTCTTGATGAAATAGTCTCTTTTAATTTGCTAAGATTTATGGACATGATATTATGTGTCAGTTGAGGGAAAACAGCTCACCAAGCTTGACCTATGCTTATGGCCTTGTGCTAATTAATCAAGAATAGGCTGCAGCTCCTCTTGCTAATGACCTCATCAACAATGGGTATAGTTTCAGGATAGAAAAAACAAAAGGTGAATCCTAATTATTATTTTTTTCAGTTTGGTTTTCTCCTTGAATAGTGTGGGGAGGCTCTGGAGGCAGACTGGCTGAGTTCATAGTCTAAAAATAATAACTCATATTTACTGTGCCTTTGTCAATGACAGGCATATGTGAAATACTTTGTAAATGAATCATCTAATTAAATTATCACAGCAGTGCTAAGTGATAGAAACTATTACTATCCTCATTTTTTAGACAGACCAAATCTTAGCATGGCTAATTTACTTGTTCAAAGTGATATATCTAGTAGATGGCAAGGTCAGGATATAAACCCAGGCATTCTGGTTCTGGACCCAGTACTCTGAATCTGAGTACAGTAGATCATTGATACATGTTAGTTTCTTTCTAGCTATACAATTTTCAAAACCCTTTTCAAAGCATATTTTTTATTCAAAGAATATTTTTTATTACATAAAATGTTATATATACAGTTGGGCTTTTATTTGTTGTCTACCTGGACCTTTCTGTTCTTCAATACACCAAAGGTAAGATTATGTTAAATGTGGTGCATTTCTTTCCAGGCCCAGTCGTCATTTGGTTATAAATGTATATGACCATCCATAGTACATTAAGAAATGTAAACATTCTTCAACTTGGTTTTGTTATCATTATGTCTTAAAATTTACTTTAGTTATCTATGTTAAATTATATAAATATGTCAAAGTTTACCCATTCCACTATTAATATAAAATCAGATTGTTCCTACATTTTACTAAAGTAACTGATTCTGTAATGAGCCTACTTGTCACTTTGATTTTTGCATATGCAAATTGTAGGCAAAAGTTGCTCACAGTTAATCTATTTTTCCTGCAGGAACATTTCCTTGTGTAGAAACATGACAAATAAGTCTGTTAAGTCATGGGGCATGTGTAGTCTTCTGCTAACTGGGAAAAGCCTGATAGTTCTCCCTAGTCTCAAGAGTAAAGAGCCTTTTTGGACTTGCTTTCTGCCATATCATCACCATCAGTTTATATATCAGATTTCTTGTTTTTTAAAAATATTTTCTGCCATTATAAAGGTTACAAAATAGTGTTCATTAGTGATTTATTATATCTCTCCCTGATGACTGTGTAAGTTGAGAATCTTTTCTATTAGTTATTCAGGATTTCTTTTCCATAAACTCATTCATTCACTTATTTATTTAAGATCTGAAGGGAGTTAAGAGGAAATGTGAAATGAACACGAGAACATAATGGTAGTGATTTCAGGGGTGAAGTTGAAATCATAGAAATTAGTGTGGGAATCATCAGCATAAACATGGCACTTAGTGTTATATAAATGATATCACACCAAGAATGAGTAGGGAGAGAGGAGAAAAGCTTCAAGGCTTGAGCCTCAATGCTTGAATATTACGAAGTCTCAGAAAAAGGAGGGATAGCCACTAGAGAGAGTGAGACAAACCAAAAAGAAGAAAAAATGAAGACAATTTGATGTTTAGGAAGGCAAGAGAATGCTCCCAGAATGAGGGAGAAATCATCTGGATAAACATAGCTGAGAAGACAAGAAAGAGGAGGACCAACATTTGATCATTTGAGTTGACATTTTGAAGACTGTGGATAAGAGCAGCTTTGGTGGAGTGGGGAAATTCAATAAGTACGGACACTTTTTTCATTCAGTTTTTCCTTTATTTTCCAGCTTTATTGTTATAATTGAGAAATAAAAACTATACATTTACTGTGTACAACATGATCATTTTATATACATGTATACATACACATTATGAAATGATTACTGAAACCAAGCTAATTAACGCATCCATCACCTCATATAGTTATGTGCATGTGTCAGAACACTTAAGACCTACTCTCTTAGCAAATTTCTAGTATGTGGTGCAGTATTACTAACTAGAATCACCATGCCACACATTAGAGCTCCAGAACTTATTCATCTTATAAATGAAAGTTTGTAGCCTTTGACCAACATCTCCCTATCCCCTACCCATACCAAGCCCTAGCCCCTGGCAACTACCATTTTACTATCTGCTTCTACAGGTTTGACTTTTTAGATTCTGCATATAAGTGAGATCATATAGTATTTGCCCTTTGGTGTCGGGCTTATTTCACTTAGAATAACATTCTCCAGGTTATATGAAGCACACTTTTTTTTTTCCAATTCATCCATCAGTGGACACGTAGATAATTTCCATAGCCTGGTCATTGTGAATAACGTTGCAATAAGCTTGGGAATGCAGGTATCTGTTGAAGACACTGATTTCCATTTCATTTGGATGTATATACCCAGAAGTGGGATTACTGAATCATCTTGTTATTCTGTTTTGAATTTTTTGAGGAAACTCTTTACTGCTTTCCAAAATGGTTGCACTAATTTAGGTTCCCATCAGCAGTGCACAAGGCTTTCCTTTTCTCCACATTCTTACCAACAACTTGTAATCCGTTGTCTTTTTGATAACATGTTCTATACATGTGTTTTATTTTTATAACACACTCACATCCTGACGTGTGTGAGGAGATCTTTCATTGTGTGTGTGTGTTTTTTTTTTACGTAAATAAGGTGTTATAATGAAAGGGACAATTTCAGGAAGGCATCATTAATGTGTGTATATTTCTTTTTTATTATTATTATACTTTAAGTTCTGGGATACATGTGCAGAATGTGCAGGTTTGTTACACAGGTATACACGTACCATGGTGGTTTGCTGCACTCATCAACCCGTCATCTACATAAGGTATTTCTCCTAACGCTATCCCTCCCCTAGCCTGCCACCCCTGACAGGCCCCTGTGTGTGATGTTCCCCTCCCTGTATCCATGTGTTCTCATTGTTCAACTCCCACTTATAAGTGAGAACATGCAGTGTTTGGTTTTCTGTTCTTGTGTTAGTTTGCTGAGAATGATGCTTTCTAGCTTCATCCAAGTCCCTGCAAAGGACAGGAAATCATCTTTTTTATGGCTGCCTAATATTCCATGGTGTATATGTGGACATTGTCTTTATCCAATCTATCACTGATGGGCATTTGGGTTGGTTCCAAGCCTTTGCTATGGTGAACAGTGCTGCAATAAACATACGTGTGCATGTGCTTTTATAGTAGAATGATTTATAATCCTTTAGGTATATACCCAGTAATGGGATTCCTGGGTCAAACGGTAGTTCTGGTTCTAGATCCTTGAGGAATCGCCACTCTGTCTTCCCCAACAGTTGAACTAATTTACACTCCCACCAACAGTGTAAAAGTGTTCCTATTTCTCCACATCCTCTCCAGCATCTGTTGTTTCCTGACTTGTTGCTGATCGCCATTCTAACTGGCTTGAGATGGTATCTCATTGTGGTTTTGATTTGCATTTCTCTAATGACCAGTGATGATGAGCTTTTTTTCATATGTTTGTTGGTCACATAAATGTCTTCTTTTGAGAAGTCTCTGTTCATATCCTTCACCCACTTTTTGATGGGGATGTTTGTTTTTTTCTTGTAAATTTGTTTAAGTGCCTTGTAGATTCTGGATATTAGCCCTATGTCAGATGGATAGATTGCAAACATTTTCTCCCATTCTGTAGGTTGCCTGTTCACTCTGATGATAGTTTCTTTTGCAGTGCAGAAGTTCTTTAGTTTAATTAGATCCCATTTGTCAATTTTGGCTTTTCCTGACATTGCTTTTGGTGTTTTAGTCATGAAGTCTTTGCCAGTGCCTATGTCCTGAATGGTATTGCCTAGGTTTTCTTCTAGGGTTTTTACAGTTTTAGGTCTTACATTTAAGTCTTTAATCCACCTTGAGTTAATTTTTGTATAAGGTATAAGGAAAGGGTCCAGTTTCAGTTTTCTGCTTATGGCTAGCAATTTTCCCAACACCGTTTATTAAATAGGGACTCCTTTCCCCATTGCTTGTTTTTGTCAGGTTTTTCAAATATCAGATGGTTGTAGAAACATTATTTCTGAGGCCTCTGTTCTGCTCTATTGGTCTATATCTGTTTTTGTACCAGTACCATGCTGTTTTGGTTACTGTAGCCTTGTAGTATAGTTTGAATTCAGGTAGTGTGATGCCTCCAGCTTTGTTCTTTTTCCTTAGGATTGTCTTGGCTATACAGGCTCTTTTTTGGTTCCATATGAAATTTAAAATAGTTTTTTAAATTATTCTAAGAAAGTCAGTGGTAGCTTGATGGGCATAGCGTTGAATCTATAAATTACTTTGGGCAGTATGGTCATTTTCACGATGTTGATTCTTCCTATCAATGAGCATGGAATTTTTTTTTTATTTGTTTGTGTCCTCTCTTATTTCCTTGAGCAGTGGCTTGTAGTTCTCCTTGAAGAGGTCCTTCACATCCTTTGTAAGTTGTATTCCTAGGTATTTTATTCTGTTTGTAGCAATTGTGAATGGGAGTTCACTTATGATTTGACTCTCTGTTTGTCTATTATTGGTGTATAGGAATGCTTGCGACTTTTGCACATTGATTTTGTATGCTGATACTTTGCTGAAGTTCCTTATCAGCTTAAGGATATTTTGGGCTGAGACGATAGGGTTTTCTAAATACGCACTCATGTCATCTGCAAACAGAGACAATTTGACTTCCTCTCTTCCTGTTTGAATATCCTTTATTTCTTTCTCTTGCCTAATTGCCTTGGCCAGAACTTCCAATACTATTTTGAATAGAAGTGGTGAGAGAGGGCATCCTTGTCTTGTGCTGGTTTTCAAAGGGAATGCTTCCAGCTTTTGTCCATTCAGTATGATATTCCTGTGGGTTTGTCATAAAAAGTTCTTATTATTTTGAGATACGTTCCATCAATGCCTAGTTTATTGAGAGTTTTTAGCATGAAGAGGTGTTGAATTTTATTGAAAGCCTTTTCTGCATCTATTGAGATAATTACGTGTTTTTTTCCACTGGTTCTGTTTATGTGATAGATTACATTTATTGATTTGCATATGTTGAACCAGCCTTGCATCCTAGAGATGAAGCCAAGTTGATTGTGGTGGACAAGCTTTTTGAGGTGCTGCTGGATTCGGTTTGTCAGTATTTTATTGAGGATTTTCACATCAATGTTCATCAGGGATATTGGCCTGAAATTTTCTTTTTTCGTTGTGTCTCTGCCAGGTTTTGGTATCAGGATGATGCCAGCATCATAAAATGAGTTAGGGAGAAGTCCCTCTTTTTCTATTGTTTGGAATAATTTCAGAAGGAATAGTACCAGCTCCTCTTTGTACCTGTGGTAGAATTCAGCTGTGAACCCATCTGGTCCTGGGCTTTTTTTGGTTGGTATGCTATTAATTACTGCCTTAATTTCAGAACTTGTTATTGGTCTATTCAAGGATTCTACTTCTTCCTGGTTTAGTCTTTAGAGGGTGTACGTGTCCAGGAATTTATCCATTTCTTCTAGGTTTTCTAGGCTATTTGCATAGAGGGGTTTATATTTTTCTCGATGGTAGTTTGTATTTCTGTGGGATCAGTGATCTTCTCTTTATAATGTTTTTGTGTCTGTTTGATTCTTCTCTCTTTTCTTTTTTATTAGTCTGGCTAGCGGTCTATCTATTTTGTTAATCTTTTCAAAAAACCAGCTCCTGGATTCATTGATTTTTTTGAAGGGTTTTTTGTGTCTCCATCTCCTTCAGTTCTGCTCTGATCTTATTTATTTCTTGTCTTCTGCCAGCTTTTGAATTTGTTTGCTCTTGCTTCTCTAGTTCTCTCAATTGTGATATCAGGGTGTCGATTTTAGATCTTTCCTGCTTTCTCCTGTGGGCATTTAGTGCTATAAATTTCCCTGTAAACACTGCTTTAGCTGTGTCCCAGAGATTCTTGTACATTGTGTCTTTGTTCTCATTGGTTTCAAATAACTTATTTATTTCTGCCTTAATTTCAAGAGACGTGGAGTCAGGGTATTTTTAAAAACTTGTTGGTTTTCATAGTGGAAGAAGGTATAACATATCTGTGGGCTCATGGGATGATACAGTAGATACATAAGAAAGTTTATTTGCAGAAGCAACATTCTTGTGTAGGTGAGAAAGCATGGGAGCCACTGAAAAAACAAATGGTTAGCCTTAGAAAGCAGTAGAGATAGTCATCCATGGAGACGGAAATGAGGTCAGAGTATGTGAGTATACAACTGGAAGGTGGGTAGGGTTGGGGATTATGTGGAAGTTATTTTCTGATTTTTCCACATTCACATTTAAGAGACTTAATATTGCAAAATGAAACTGTTTACCTCAGATCCCTGTTATCCGTGTGTAGTGTGGTAGCAATATCCTTTCCAAGAGAAAGTTTATGAACAGAAGCTGTGACCATTTTCCAGGTATAAGATAAAAGCATTGGAAAACCTTCTTAGATAAAAATCTGCCTTTTTCCTAATATTTTTAGTGGGCAATACAGCTGTTTTCCTTAATATGAACCTATCTGTGCTTCACTGGTAAGTAAGTGAGGAATTGAACACTGATGCTATTCCATAATAATGGTGTATATTGAAACAGATTGATAGAGCTTAAAATTGAAAACAGAATTTTAAAAATCTTTGTGTCATTATTTTTTAATTTTCTTCAGGAAACATAACTATGTTCCCTAAGCTAATGGAACACCTTTGAATTTTCATACTTATGCAAAATTAATAATTACATATTTGATATGGTTTGGCTCTGTGTCCCTACCCAAATCTCATGTGGAATTGTAAATCCCCATGGGTCAAGGGAGTGACCTGGTGGTAGGTGGTTGGATCATGTGGGTGGATTTCCCCCATGTCATTCTTGTGATAGTGAGTGAGTTCTCATGGGATATGATGGTTTAAACACGTGGCACTTCCCCCCTCACTCACTCTCTCCTGCCGCCTTGTGATGAAGTTGCTTGCTTCCACTTTACCTTCCCCCATGACTGTAATCTTCCTGAAGCCTCCCCAACCATGTGGAACTGTGAGTCAGTTAAACCTCTTTCTTTATAAATTACCCAGTCTCAGGTAGTTCTTTACAGCAGTGTGAAAATGGACTAATTTCTTTCTGAAAGAAAATCCTCATTTTTGTAATGTGGAGAGATTATTTTTAATTCATAAATTGTTTATTAAACTACTAAAAATAATTATTTTTAAAGTAATTTTTCTGGCATATTATTTTTTAAATGAACATATCAGTGCCAATAGGTAGTCTGAGGAAAGGATACAGAAATCCAGAGGTACTGATAATTATGTTGAGCTGCTCCTGGGTATATTGGAGTCTTCATTTCTCTATGCCAACCACACTGACATAACCTTGCTTAATAAATGGCTACAGACACAAAGACACTATATTCTTGCAGCATCAGCCCTCTGCTGACATACCTTATCACTGCAATTTGTCTCACCTTTCGTTGTGTGTACTATCTTTCTGAAGTTTTATCTAGTCAACTGCCATAAACTGCTGTTCTAAAACACATTTTTCACATCTAATGAGAAAGGTGATTTTGCAAAAGAAAGTTAATGGCCTCTGTGCTATTGCCTTCTCTCCCTCAAACCTGCACAGCAGTAGCATCAAATGTCTTGAGATAGATAGAGTTGATATCATGTTTGCTTTGGATACCTTCAGAGCTACAAAGTGTGACACAGCCTTGGAGAGGAAGGGAAAAAATGTAAGTATTATTTGGAACTCTGGGGAGGATGAAGAACTGAACTCACAACTGGAAATATGTAATAATCTACACTTGGCTACTAAATGTGGAGAGTGGTGATTTTCTTTCTTCTTTTTTCTTTCTCTTTCTCCCCTCCCTCCCTCCCTCTCTCTTTCTTTCTTTCTTGCTTGCTTGCTTGCTTGCTTTCTTGCTTTCTTGCTCTTGCTCTCTCACCCAGGCTAGAGTGCAGTGGCACAATCATAGCTCACTGCAGCCTCCACCTCCTGGGTTCAAGTGATTCTCCTGCCTCAGCCTCCGGAGTAGCTGGGATTACAGGCATTCACCACACCTGGACAACTTTTGAATTTTTAGTAGAGAAGGTGTTTCACTATATTTGCCAGGCTGGTCTTGAACTACTGACCTCAAGTGATCCACTCACCTTGGCCTCCCAAATTGTTGGGATTATAGCATGAGCCACCACACCTGGCCGAGAGTGGTGATCTTTAATGTCCACTTGGTGGAAGAAAGAAAATGGAAGCAAGAACTGAGTGGGAGGAAACGAAACCGTTAAACCTCTTGCTTTAGCTCCTTGAGAGACAAGATGGACAGGCAGAGATGTTGTAGTGGACTCACCGCTACTTCCTGAGTGTGGAAACAGAAAAGAACACAGCCTAAGTGAAGGACATCCTTCCCCTCTCATACTGCATCTTTGGTGAGTGGTCTCTGAGGTTTGGCCACAGGACTCTTTCCTTACTTTTAGAGGCAATCCCATCATCAAGTTCTTTTCACCTCTGATGCTTTTATGGTTCATGTTCACTTTCTCAGGCAAGGTTAAGGAGGAAACGTGGTCACTTGTTCAGAAAGCTTTTTTGTTCTTTTTTTCTCTGTGGATATGCCAGAACCATTGTGACAGGATTCAGCAATGGCAGCTGACGATGCCCGGCTGCCCCCTGCTCTTTTTTGCATCCCTACCTTTCTACCTGCTGATGCTGCTGGAGCCAACTTGGCTGTGAGGTCCTCAGGAAACGCCCATGGGAATCCCTGCAGGGGCCCCGTCTGTTCACCCGCCTCTTGGGAAGACCCAGCCGCACACCCCTTCGTCTCAACACCATCTGCAATCCACGGGCATAGCACAGGGTCCAGGCTCACTTTGCTCTTGCTCTGAGAATTCCTCGGTGACATGTTGCACTGTAGCCTTCGCCTTACATGCTTTATCTTAATGCCTTGATTCTCTCTCTGTCACTTATCTTTAATATTCTGACTAATTTAGAAAAAATCATGGCTTTATTTGGCCTTTAGAGTGTCCCCAAGGATTATTCAAACAGTGAACGACTCCTCTCACGAGCCAGGAAAGTAGATATTGGAGTGTGGATTATATTCTGGAAGCACATCATTTCCCGGAGAACTTGACATCACTGTTTTTCAGATTTGAGTGTTTGTCTACCAGGTTTAATTTTTTAAAAGAAATTCTACTTGGGAGAGCATGCTTGACCTTAAAGCATGACTTTACTTGTTATGAGAAGAATAGGGGATTTTTTTTCTAAGTTTCATTAAATGATAGAATCTTGAATGGATATCTGTGTGAATCCAGTGGGACAATTTAAGGAGGGTTTTCAATACTTGAAAAATTGTAATAGACTGCGTGAGTAAATCTGGCCAATTGCTGTACCAATGGGCTCCCTCTAAAAGGCTCTGTGAAAGACATTCTTCTCTCAGGCTCAGGGAGAGTCATTGGCTACCTGCGTTTTCACCCATTTTGCCATCACTCAACAGCAAAGATTTCTGCCTATAGAAAGTAAGGATCCAAGTATTTAGTCAGAAGATAAAAAAGGAATACAAACATATGTTAAATAAAATCTCATAAGATATTTGGGAACATTTAGGGTAAAGGTAGATAAAATAATTAAAAAAATACTTCAATGTTTTGGAAATGACTATAATTTTAAACATGTATAACTATTGGGTACTGGGTTTAATACCTGGGTGATGAAATAATTTGTACAACAAACACCCATGACACATGTTTACCTATGTAACAGACTTTCACATGTACCCTTGAACCTAAAATAAAAGTTAAAAATGTGATGTAACAAAATATAGTGTAAACTACAGAGCATTTTACTTCAAGGCATTTCTCTTCCTCCAAAGATGAAAGTTACCCGAACGGGGCAAAGGCCCGGTGATTCTCTTAGGGTGGTACCTGCTATCCCCTGACCTGCTTTTCTAGGCTATTGTTAATGTTCTTTCAACTTAAGCTTCTTGGCTGTCTCGGGTTGGTGAGTTTGCTTCCATCCTTTCGTATTCATTGAGATCGCGCATTACATTAGTGATTTGGTGGCTCCACATATGAAGGTCAGAGAGTAATTAATCAGAAATTGCTTACTTCTTGGGAAACTGCATCCTGCTTCCCAAATGCCTACTACATATTCCGTTTGAGTGTCATGCAGATGTCACAAGCTCACTCTGCTTCTAGAGGAAAAAAGTAGTCTTCAGTTTCTTACATAACATTTGTCAATAATTTCTATGATTCTGAGTTGTTCTGTAGCTCAGGAAGCACCATGGTTCAACCTCGATATTTTGGAACTTTGAAGTTTCTGTTAGTCGTGTTTGTTTCATGTTTGGCTACCTAGTTTTCATGTATTTTGCCATCGCCAGGCAGTACTTGCATAATGTGGAGAGCTAGTGTGGAGTTAGCCAGGAATCATCCCGGGGCTAGGTGGGGGTTAGGCAGGGGTTAGATAGGGGGCTTGTTGGAGGCCTAACTTTTGCTGCATGTTTTACCATTGAGAGGTGAAGCCAGCTGGGCTTCTGGGTTGGGTGGAGACTTGGATAACTTTTCTGTCTAGCTAAAGGATTGTAAACACACCAATCAGTGCTCTGTGTCTAGCTAAAAGTTTGTAAATGCACCATTCAACACTGTAAAAACGGACCAATCAGCACTCTGTAAAATGGACCAATCAGCAGGATGTGGGCGGGGCAGTGTAAGGGAATAAAAGCTGGCCAACTGAGCCAGCAGCGGCAACCGACTCTGGTCCACTTTAAGCTTTGTTCTCTGGCTCTTCACCGTAAATCTTGCTGCTGCTCACTGTTTGGGTCTGCAGTACCTTTAAGAGCTGTAACACTCACTGCCAAGGTCTGCAGCTTCATTCCTGAAGTCAAGCGAGATCATGAACGCACCAGAAGGAAGAAACTCCGGACACATATGAACATCTGAAGGAACAAACTCAGGACACACCATCTTTAAGAAGAGTAACACTCACCGCAAGGGTCTGTGGCTTTATTCTTGAAGTCAGTGAGACCAAGAACCCACCGGACGGAACCAATTCCGAACACACCATGATGTGATGCAGAGTTGGGAGCAGCGGTTTTGGAGTGAACCAGCCCTGGGTTCAAGTTATGTTCTAGCAATTTCTTAGGTCTGATTCCTTAGAAGTAGGCCCTGTCTTGACAACTCATGAGCAAGTGATTTTGAGGAATTCCTTCTAGAAAAACCACTAAGGGAGTCAGTGGAAAGGGAGGGGGAAAGAAGGCAATTTCTGTTGTGAGCTCAGGTGAATTCCCAGCCCCACCTTACTCCACAGAGAGTTCTGAAGTACAACTTATACCTCAGAGTTTGCCTCACCTTAAAACAAGGGGCAGTGATTATCTTGTTTCACTTAAGATACGTTCTGGAGAAGGTGTAATTTTCTGGGTACCTTCATTTTCTGTAAATGTAGGTGGCTCCTATCAAACACACCCATGGAAGAAAGTGCCAGGTGCCAGCTATCAAAAGCAAGGCACCCAAAAGAAGGGGGAAGAATGGGCATGTAAGTGCGCATGGCATGCATACACACACCATGCAAACACACATGCACAAACATACAGAGACATGCACACATGTACAGATACCACACGCATGCACATATGTACATGCACACACAGAGACATGCATACATGCACACCTTGCACACCCACAGCTATGCACACAAGCATGCCATGCACACTATGCACATGCACACACACACATGCAGATCACACAAACACGTGCATACGATGCACATGTGTACACACTGATGTCCAATGATACAAAGGATCTGAGGGCATCTGGCCAGAGCATTGTAGTGTCTACTACAACCAGTTAGTAGCTGTCATATTGGGGCATAGTTATTTAATTCATTCAGATTGCAATTCAAATCAAATATAAAAGCACATATCACTGTGCCTGGCACAGAGTTGCAATTCAGTAAATGATAGCTTTTATTAATACTGTTACCAAAAAAAGCCTTATTTCTGTCTTTTCCTTCTGCCTTCCTTGTTATATTCTTTCCCTCATTACTTCCTCCCCAGGCTTTCTTTAATTTTTTTTTTTTTTCGGATCCATCCATTCCTTCGTATTTCCACAGGCTCATTCCAAGGTACATTCTTGAAATCCTACCAGGAGCCTCCAGGACCTTCCTAACTCATCTCCATGCGCCTAATACATGCTTTTCTAATCCATGTTGTACAATGCCTCGTGGCTAATTTGTATGCCTGTAATCACCCATCCCTGTAATCAATCCCTGCATTAATTTTCCAGGTCACACAGTCCTCCTACATCCCTTGGTCTTGGAAATCAAGTATTTCTCTAGCATTAAAAATGGCCGAATTGAGTATTTCAACATTTCAGCCCCAATTTTCTCTGATGCTAAATTGGTTTTGATCTTTTGAAGAGACCCCGTGATTGTTGGTGTCCAAGACTAAATGCCTCCTTTGGCTTCCCCTCTATTCTTTTACCTCCCAACCCTCCATTTTTAGTCTAGGGGCCTGTTTCGAAAAACCAGGTCCATATCTGGAGGCCCTGCATCCTGCAGAATGGTTCTACTGAGTCACCTCTGCAGTGGCAGTGTGAATGTGGGATCCCATTAAAGGAACATCCCGGGGGATGTCAGCAATTTTCAGTCGTGATTTATGCACTGCTCTGCTTCATCCAGTAACGCCATTCCTCACCCAAATTCTTCAACTTCCTGTACCAGCCTCACAGCTCCTTCCTCTGGATCTGATTGCCTTGCCAATTTGGCTTAAGTCACATTTTCTTCACTTACTTATCAATAAATTCAGTGTGTTTTCAGACTGTTGTAGCTGAAATGCATGTGTGTGATTGGTGAGTACTCATGATCTTCTTAAATGGAGGACCCTCCAGCTGGCCTACAGGACCTTAACAGGCAGGGCCAAGAAGTGAAATGATTACCGCATCCTGCTTGCCTCTGTATACACAATACCCACCATCCTCCCTGTGCTTAGGACAGTTTGAAAATGCCTTTGAAAATTAAAACTGCAATTTAGTGTGAAAAAATGAGCATAACTCTATTTCTCTTTACCAATCCACAGTCCTTCTTGCCTGCCAGGATAGACCAATGTTGTGTCCCCAGTTTTTAGCACAGAGCCCAGATGGCACATGTTGGGATCTCAGTACATGTTTATCCTTGAATGGATGAGTTTTTTTTTTTTTTTCCCCACAGCCTAATCGCTTAACTTTACAGAATGCTAGGCCATCTACCTCTTTTTTTTTTTTTAATTATACTTTAAGTTTTAGGGTACATGTGCACAATGTGCAGGTTAGTTACATATGTATACATGTGCCATGCTGGTGTGCTGCACCCATTAACTCGTCATTTAGCATTAGGTATATCTCCTAAGGCTATCCTGCCCCCTCCCCCCACCCCACAACAGTCCCCAGAGTGTGATGTTCCCCTTCCTGTGTCCATGAGTTCTCATTGTTCAATTCCCACCTATGAGTGAGAACATGCGGTGTTTGGTTTTTTGTCCTTGTGATAGTTTACTGAGAATGATGATTTCCAATTTCATCCATGTCCCTACAAAGGACATGAACTCATCATTTTTTATGGCTGCATAGTATTCCATGGTGTATGTGTGCCACAGTTTCTTAATCCAGTCTATCATTGTTGGACATTTGGGTTGGTTCCAAGTCTTTGCTATTGTGAATAGTGCCACAATAAACATACGGGTGCATGTGTCTTTATAGCAGAATGATTTTTAGTCCTTTGGGTATATACCCAGTAATGGGATGGCTGGGTCAAATGGTATTTCTAGTTCGAGATCCCTGAGGAATCGCCACACTGACTTCCACAATGGTTGAACTAATTTTCGGTCCCACCAACAGTGTAAAAGTGTTCCTATTTCTCCACATCCTCTCCAGCACCTGTTGTTTCCTAACTTTTTAATGATTGCCATTCTAACTGGTGTCAGATGGTATCTCATTGTGGTTTTGATTTGCATTTCACTGATGGCCAGTGATGGTGAGCATTTTTTCATGTGTTTTTTGGCTGCATAAATGTCTTCTTTTGAGAAGTGTCTGTTCATGTCCTTTGCCCACTTTTTGATGGGGTTGTTTGTTTTTTTCTTGTAAATTTGTTTGAGTTCATTGTAGATTCTGGATATTAGCCCTTTGTCAGTTGAGTAGGTTGTGAAAATTTTCTCCCATTTTGTAGGTTGCCTGTTCACTCTGATGGTAGTTTCTTTTGCTGTGCAGAAGCTCTTTGGTTTAATTAGATCCCATTTGTCAATTTTGGTTTTTGTTGCCATTGCTTTTGATGTTTTAGACATGAAGTCCTTGCCCATGCCTATGTCCCTGAATGGTAATGCCTAGGTTTTCTTCTAGGGTTTTTATGGTTTTAAGTCTAACATTTAAGTCTTTAATCCATCTCGAATTAATTTTTGTATAAGGTGTAAGGAAGGGATCCAGTTTCAGCTTTCTACATATGGCTAGCCAGTTTTCCCAGCACCATTTCTTAAATATGGAATCCTTTCCCCATTGCTTGTTTTTCTCAGGTTTGTCAAAGATCAGATAGTTGCAGATAAGTGGCGTTATTTCTGAGGGCTCTGTTCTGTTCCATTGATCTATATCTCTGTTTTGGTACCAGTACCATGCTGTTTTGGTTACTGTAGCCTTGTAGTATAGTTTGAAGTCAGGTAGCGTGATGCCTCCAGCTTTGTTCTTTTGGCTTAGGATTGATTTGGCGATGCGGGCTCTTTTTTGGTTCCATATGAACTTTAAAGTAGTTTTTTCCAATTCTGTGAAGAAAGTCATTGGTAGCTTGATGGGGATGGCATTGAATCTATAAATTACCTTGGGCAGTATGGCCATTTTCACGATATTGATTCTTCCTACCCATGAGCATGGAATGTTCTTCCATTTGTTTGTATCCTCTTTTATTTCATTGAGCAGTGGTTTGTAATTCTCCTTGAAGAGTTCCTTCATGTCCCTTGTAAGTTGGATTCCTAGGTATTTTATTCTCTTTGAAGCACTTGTGAATGGGAGTTCACTCATGATTTGGCTCTCTGTTTGTCTGTTATTGGTGTATAAGAATGCTTGTGATTTTTGTACATTGATTTTGTATCCTGAGACTTCGCCAAAGTCGCTTATCAGCTTAAGGAGATTTTGGGATGAGACAATGGGGTTTTCTAGATATACAATCATGTCATCTGCAAACGGGGACAATTTGAATTCCTCTTTTCCTAATTGAATACCCTTTATTCCCTTCTCCTGCCTAATTGCCCTGGCCAGAACTTCCAACACTATGTTGAATAGGAGTGGTGAGAGAGGGCATCCCTGTCTTGTGCCAGTTTTCAAAGGGAATGCTTCCAGTTTTTGCCCATTCAGTATGATATTGGCTCTGGGTTTGTCATAGATAGCTCTTATTATTTTGAGATGCGTCCCATCAATACCTAATTTATTGAGAGTTTTTAGCATGAAGCGTTGTTGAATTTTTTCAAAGGCCTTTTCTGCATCTATTGAGATAATCATGTGGTTTTTGTCTTTGGTTCTGTTTATATGCTGGATTACATTTATTGATTTGCGTATATTGAACCAGCCTTGCATCCCAGGGATGAAGCCCACTTGATCATGGTAGATAAGCTTTTTGATGTGTTGCTGGATTCGGTTTGCCAGTATTTTATTGAAGATTTTTGCATCAATGTTCATCAAGGTTACTGGTCTAAAATTCTCTTTTTTGGTTGTGTCTCTGCCCAGCTTTGGTATCAGGATGATGCTGGCCTTATAAAATGAGTTAGGGAGGATTCCCTCTTTTTCTATTGATTGGAATAGTTTCAGAAGGAATCGTACCAGTTCCTCCTTGTACCTCTGGTAGAATTCGGCTGTGAATCCATCTGGTCCTGAACCCTTTTTGATTGGTAAGCTATTGATTATTGCCACAATTTCAGAGCCTGTTATTGGTCTATTCAGAGATTCAACTTCTTCCTGTTTTAGTCTTGGGAGGGTGTATGTGTTGAGGAATTTATCCATTTCTTCTAGATTTTCTAGTTTATTTTCATAGAGGTGTTTGTAGTATTCTCTGATGGTAGTTTGTATTTCTGTGGGATCGGCGGTGATATCCCCTTTATCATTTTTTATTGCGTCTATTTGATTCTTCTCTCTTTTCTTCATTAGTCTTGCTAGCGGTCTATCAATTTTGTTGATCCTTTCAAAAAACCACCTCCTGGATTCATTAATTTTTTGAAGGGTTTTTTGTGTTGTTCTATTTCCTTCAGTTCTGCTCTGATTTTAGTTATTTCTTGCCTTCTGCTAGCTTTTGAATGTGTTTGCTCTTGTTTTTCTAGTTCTTTTAATTGTGATGTTAGGTTGTCAATTTTGGATCTTTCCTCCTTTCTCTTGTGGGCATTTAGTGCTATAAATTTCCCTCTACACACTGCTTTGAATGTGTCCCAGAGATTCTTGTATGTTGTGTCTTTGTTCTTGTTGGTTTCAAAGAACATCGTTATTTCTGCCTTCATTTCGTTATGTACCCAGTAGTCATTCAGGAGCAGGTTGTTCAGTTTCCATGTAGTTGAGCGGTTTTGAGTGAGTTTCTTAATCCTGAGTTCTAGTTTGATTGCACTGTGGTCTGAGAGACATTTTGTTATAATTTCTTTTCTTTTACATTTGCTGAGGAGAGCTTTACTTCCAACTCTGTGGTCAATTTTGGAATATGTGTGGTGTGGTGCTGAAAAAAATGTATATTCTGTTGATTTGGAGTGGAGAGTTCTGTAGATGCCTATTAGGTCCGCTTGGTGCAGAGCTGAGTTCCATTCCTGTGTCTCCTTGTTAACTTTCTGTCCATTGATCTGTCTAATGTTGACAATGGGGTGTTAAAGTCTCCCATTATTATTGTGTGGGAGTCTAAGTCTCTTTGTAGGTCACTCAGGACTTGCTTTATGAATCTGGGTGCTCCTGTAGTGGGTGCATATATATTTAGGATGGTTAGCTCTTCTTGTTGAATTGATCCCTTTCCCATTATGTAATGGCCTTCTTTGTCTCTTTTGATCTTGTTGGTTTAAAGTCTGTTTTATCAGAGACTAGGATTGCAACCCCTGCCTTTTCTTGTTTTCCATTTGCTTGGTAGATCTTCCTCCATCCTTTTATTTTGAGCCTATATGTGTCTCTGCACGTGAGATGGGTTTCCTGAATACAGCACACTGATGGGTCTTGACTCTTTATCCAATTTGCCAGTCTGTGTCTTTTAATTGGAGTATTTCGTCCATTTACATTTAAAGTTAATATTGTTATGTGTGAATTTGATCCCGTCATTGTGATGTTAGCTGGTTATTTTGCTCGTTAGTTGATGCAGTTTCTTCCTAGCCTCGATGGTCTTTACAATTTGGCATGATTTTGCAGTGGCTGGTACCGGTTGTTCCTTTCCATGTTTAGTGCTTCCTTCAGGAGCTCTTTTAGGGCAGGCCTGGTGGTGACAAAATCTCTCAGCATTTGCTTGTCTGTAAAGGATTTTATTTCTCCTTCACTTATGAAGCTTAGTTTGGCTGGATATGAAATTCTGGGTTGAAAATTCTTTTCTTTAAGAATGTTGAGTATTGGCCCCCACTCTCTTCTGGCTTGTAGGGTTTCTGCCGAGAGATCCGCTGTTAGTCTGATGGGCTTCCCTTTGTGGGTAACCCGACCTTTCACTCTGGCTGCCCTTAACATTTTTTCCTTCATTTCAACTCTGTTGAATCTGACAATTATGTGTCTTGGAGTTGCTCTTCTCAAGGAGTATCTTTGTGGCATTATCTGTATTTCCTGAATCTGAATGTTTGCCTGCCTTGCTAGATTGAGGAAGTTGTCCTGGATAATATCCTGCAGAGTGTTTTCCAACTTGGTTCCATTCTCCCCGTCACTTTCAGGTACACCAATCAGACGTAGATTTGGTCTTTTCACATAGTCCCATATTTCTTGGAGGCTTTGTTCGTTTCTTTTTATGCTTTTTTCTCTAAACTTCCCTTCTCGCTTCATTTCATTCATTTCATCTTCCATCACTGATACCCTTTCTTCCAGTTGATTGCATTGGCTCCTGAGGCTTCTGCATTCTTCACGTAGTTCTCGAGCCTTGGCTTTCAGCTCCATCAGCTCTTTTAAGCACTTCTCTATATTGGTTATTCTAGTTATACATTCGTCTAAATTTTTTTCAAAGTTTTTAACTTCTTTGCCTTTGGTTTGAATTTCCTCCTGTAGCTCGGAGTAGTTTGATCGCCTGAAGCCTTCTTCTCTCAACTCGTCAAAGTCATTCTCCGTCCAGCTTTGTTCTGTTGCTGGTGAGGAACTGCATTCCTTTGGAGGGGGAGAGGCGCTCTGCTTTTTAGAGTTTCCAGTTTTTCTGCTCTGTTTTTTCCCCATCTTTGTGGTTTTATATACTTTTGGTCTTTGATGATGCTGATGTACAGTTGGGTTTTTGGTGTGGATGTCCTTTCTGTTTGTTAGTTTTCCTTCTAACAGACAGGACCCTCAGCTGCAGGTCTGTTGGAGTTTGCTAGAGGTCCACTCCAGACCCTGTTTGCCTGGTTATCAGCAGCAGTGGCTGCAGAACAGCAGATTTTTGTGAACCTTGAATGCTGCTGTCTGATCGTTCCTCTGGAAGTTTTGTCTCAGAGGAGTACCCGGCCATGTGAGGTGTCAGTCTGCCCCTACTGGGGGTTGCCTCCCAGTTAGGCTGCTCGGGGGTCAGGGGTCAGGGACCCACTTGAGGAGGCAGTCTGCCCGTTCTCAGATCTCCAGCTGCGTGCTGGGAGAATCACTGCTCTCTTCAAAGCTGTCAGAGAGGGACATTTAAGTCTGCAGAGGTTACTGCTGTCTTTTTGTTTGTCTGTGCCCTGTCCCCAGAGGTAGGGCCTACAGAGGCAGGCAGGCCTCCTTGAGCTGTGGTGGGCTCCACCCAGTTTGAGCTTCCTGGCTGCTTTGTTTACCTAAGCAAGCCTGGGCAATGGCAGGCACCCCGCCCCCAGCCTCGCTGCTGCCTTGCAGTTTGATCTCAGACTGCTGTGCTAGCAATCAGTGAGATTCCATTGGCGTAGGACCCTCCGAGCCAGGTGCAGGATATAATCTCCTGGTGTGCTGTTCTTTAAGCCCATCGGAAAAGTGCAGTATTAGGGTAGGAGTGACCCGATTTTCCAGGTGCTGTCTGTTACCCCTTTCTTTGACTAGGAAAGGGAACTCCCTGACCCCTTGCACTTCCCGAGTGAGGCAATGCCTCGCCCCGCTTCGGCTCATGCACGGTGCGCTGCACCCACTGTCCTGCGCCCGCTGTCTGGCACTCCCTAGTGAGATGAACCCGGAACCTCAGGTGGAAATGCAGAAATCACCCGTCTTCTGTGTCGCTCACACTGGGAGCTGTATACTGGAGCTGTTCCTATTCGGCCTTCTTGGCTCTCTCCCCGGCCACCTACATCTTAATTCTTCTGCTGAAAATCACTTAGCTCAGCCACCATTTAACTGGACTGCTCTGTTTCGGTTACTAGAGTATTTTCAGAACATATCTTGTGTACTTGAGATAAGCATCTTCCTTAGCTGAAATTTACCTTTGGGTCAGCTTTTAGGGGTCTTAGGTTTTAATGAACTCTTGACCTCATAAAGTCAGTAAGATTCTGGAAACTGGCCCCGTTTGATGTGTTTACAGATCACAACAGCCCTCTGAACCCAGTCGCTCTTAGTTTTATTTTGCACGTGCTTTCTGCTTTGTTAGTCACTTTTACTCACCAAACTTCACTGTAGCCAAATGTCTTTAAACACAACTACTTATACATGCTGCATACTTCCACCTCCACAGTAGACCTTGTACTTTATTAATATATAAGGTTTTTATGTTCCCAGTACAGATAAAGCACTTCACATTTTTTTCCAAGGGTCATATAACATTTTGTTTTCTCTGTGAAACAGTCCCTCACCCCTGAAGTTGAAGTACAATGATATTTTCTTCCTCTACCCTGCAATTTTACCTTGTTTAACAGCATTAAATTTTACCCTGTGTAGTTCTTCTTTCTTCGTTGATTCTTATCATTTTCTTTCTTGAGAGCAGGAACCGTGAAGTTTTTTGTTTCTTTGTTGGATCACTCACTTGCTTTGGTGAGTGCTGGTAAATATCAGTGAGTTAATGAATAAATTAATGAATGATCCTCCAAGTAGTCTAGATATACAAAATATGAGAAAGATATGAAATTTTTAATAGTAGAGCTAATAATAAAGTTCTTGAATTAAGGGGAAAGTAGTTTTGAAATAAAAATTGTAAAGATAAATAGACCATTATCCATTTTGGTTACCTTATGTTGCAGATTTTAAAATTTTGGCTGGATCACCAAGAATGATGAATTTACATAGTGAGGTGTGTCATGATATCAGATGGCTTAGCTGGCAAAGCAGATTCAGGACAGGGAGATCAATACCATTATTGGTGTAAATGAAATAGGTTTATATTCTTCACTTAAGATTCTCCCACCTGTATGATTTTGCCCTTTTTTGGCTTCTTTGTAGAATTCAGCCTGGTTAAAATGGACTACTGAGTTTTATTCTATTCTTTGCCTAACAAATCCAATAGCCATTGTGCTTATTTCAGGACAAACTTAAATTGTCAATTTATGAGCAATAGTAGAGATATAGGTTTCAATCTCAGTAGAGCATACAGAACTCAGACAAGACAAGGCTGCTGCTGGTGTTCTTGACACACTGATGATCTGCAGGGTTTTGTTTTGTTTTTTTAAAAGTCTGGTTTCTTGACGTATACAACAGCTCACTACACTAATTTGAGATTTAGTTAAATATTATTACTTCAAATCTTCCTATTTTTATCTATGCTATCCTAATTTTATAATTTTCTTTTTTGCTTAATTATTGCATGGTTTAATTATTTAAACATCTTTGTGAATTTTGGTCTCATTTTAGATTTACAAAATCTTTCTTACTCATTGCTTCAAATATCAATTAGCTATTTCCGCAATAATACTGTATAGCATCTATCCCACTCTGAATGACTTAAGGCAACCAAAACTTATCCTATGATCACGAGTCTGCAGGTTGACTATGGTTCAGTTGATCATGTCTGTGATCTGCTGAATGGCTCCACTGCAGGTTACAGGTCAAATGCACATGACACCTGTTTACTACCTTTGATGAGCTTATTTACATAAAATAAAAAAGGTAGTGTGCAGTATGCTGGCCTTTAATTCCAATCATTAAAGAGAGAAAACAACCATGATAATATTAGCTTGTTTCCAGTGTCAAGAGCAAGAGATGTGTTGACATAAATGTAAATACTGCACCAGAAGAAATCTGGACCCTCTGATGCCACTTTTAAATGACATTACCCTTAATGCCTGTTTCAAAATGGCACTTTGGATCCAGTGTCCAAGATGTTATAAGCAGAATACTTCCCACTGGGTACACTGGAATGTATTTGCTTGTTTATTTCAATGATTCAAATTTATTAAAGAAATAAACACACTGTTTCTTTCAGTAGCAAACCTAAATGCCTTTGGAAGTGCATCATAATCATACAGTTGAATGATTTGTTGCCTGGAAAATGGATTATCCTAATGTTACTAACTTCAACTTTCTTCTAGACCATTTACCCAATACAGTACTGACTCTTATGCAACTTGTGAATAATCTATGCTTCCAAGTACCACAATTCCATCTCTACAGTATTTTTGACAGATGCCAACTGATTGACTCATTAGGTATTGATCAAATGTAGCAACTTCTCCATATATTCCTCATTTTGGAAATGTCTTATAATATATACAGCTTAGCTATAAAATATATTCCAGAGAATGTCAGTTTAAAACACATATTGTAACAGAAGTGGCTATTGCTTACCCACGTAGCACTACTTCAGGCATAGTTAAATCTATTAACCTATGGATCATTAGTTAGCTTTCGCACCATTTATATGGCCTACATAATAGAATCCTTGTTTAGCAGGAGAGCCAATGAAACCGAAGGTTGTATGAGCATTCTTCCTAAGACCAAACATCCTGAGCTAAGATGCAGAGCTCTGCAATCTCAGTCAACCTTAAACTACATTGCGTATACTTTTTTTTTTTAGAGAAAGAGTTCTTATACTTTAACTCTATCACAATCTTTCTCCAACAATGTCTTCTAATTTTCCCAGTGTTAAGACTTCACCACAATCACCTAGGATATTCTTTCCTTGCTTTCTAGATGCTCCATTTACTGTGACTAACCAAATATTATTTCTTTTCAATTTTATGTGAAATTCATACTAATCTTCCAGGTTTCCTCTGTTCACATTAGTCCTCAATGACAGCTGTTCCTTTACCAACTGTTGGCAACATCTTTCTCTCTTTCCTTTCTATTTCTTTACTGTGTTTTGTTGTTGTTGTTTTTGTTTTTTGTTTTCCTTACTCCTAGGTCAAAGGTTTCATGCAATGTTATATCTGTATGTATATGCATGTGTGTGTTTTCATCACAGAATGTAACACATTTGTTATTTTTGATTATTTATTAAACTATTCCAGAATGAATGTTTTCACCCAGACTCTAAAAGTGGTAATGACACAATTTTCTGGAAAACATTTTTGTGTGGCAGAATGAGAAGATGATATTTTTCTTTTCTTGAAATATCTTTCTAAATATACAAGGGTAACTGTAGTTCCATATTTGCAGAAAATTATTTTTTCCTCAAATTATAATCTCTGTTGACAAATATTTACTAGTTGTTACAAAAAAAAAAAAAAAACCTCAGGTGTAATTAAGTTTGTTCAATTCCAGTATCCAAATCTTCTTCAGTTCTTTTCCTCCTCTCCTTTCCTGCTACCCACACTGACTCAGGCCCTGACCTGTTTTGAGGCTATCTTAAAATCTTCTCAAATAAGGCGTTAGCCTCCTGCACCCCTTAGTTTTAGAACATTTCCCACCAGCCATCATAGTTTTTCTATAAATGAAATATAAACATATGTATCACCAGCTTTTGTGTCCAGATTAATATGATCTTATTTCTATTATATCTTGTTTTCATTTGTTGGTGTATTAGATGGTTCTCATGCTGCTAATAAAGACATACCTGAGACTGAGTAATTTATAAAGACAAAGAGGTGTGATGGACTCATAGTTCCAGCTGGCTGGAGAGAGCCACAATCGTGGCGGAAGGCAAAGGAGGAGTGAAGTCATGTCTTACATGGTGGCAGGCAAGAGAGTGTGTGCAGGGGAACTGCCCTTTATAAAACCATCAGATTTTCTGAGACGTATTCACTATCATGAGAACAGCATGGGAACACCCATCCCCATGATTCAATTCCCTCCCACCGGGTCCCTCTCATGACATGTGGGGATTATGGGAGCTACAATTCAGGATGAGATTTGGGTGGGGCTCAGCCAAACCATATCACTTGGCAAACCAATTTGGTACCTGTATTAGCTTGCCAAGGCTGCCATAAAAAATACCACAAAACTGGTGGCTTAAACAACAGAAATTTATTTTCTCATAGCTCTGTAGGCTGGAAGTCCAAGATCAAGGTGCCAGCATGTTTGGTGTCTTCTGAGACTTCTCTTTGGTTTGCAGATGGCTGCCTTTTCACTGTGTCCTTCTGTGTGCATGTTCTCCTGGGGTCTCTTCCTGCTACTGTAAGGACACTGGTCATATTGGATTAGGGCCTGCGACAATGGTCTTATTTTAATTTAACTGCTTATTTAAAATCTCTATCTTCAGATATACTCATACTGTGACGCACTAGGGTTTGGGGATATTGGTTTTGAGGAGACACAGTTTAGGCCCTTCTATTACCATGTACTGAGAGTTTTTTAAAGTTTGCTACCTGAAACTCAGTAATTCCATTTTAAGGACTCTTGAAAGGAGTAATTCAAAATAGAGAGGAAAATGAAACGCTCCTTACAGAGTTATACTTAATGCATCATTATTATACCTGAGATAAAATTCAACATTACAATATACTCGTGTCTCTAGATTCTCCCCTGTAATCTACCACTCTATGTTCAACCACATGGGTCTTCTTCGAGTTCCTGGGATGACCTCACATTTAATCCACAAGGGCTTCACATTTGCCCTTTGCTCCTTCTGGCTTATTTCCTGTCACTTTTTTTTCCAACAGGATCTTATCTTATACTTAAGACCCCTTCTTCAACAAAATACTCCCTGATGGTCTCAATATATATTAATTTCTTCATTACTTCACTCCATAGTACCCTTCACCTTTATACCATTGAACTCACGGCAATTAGTAATTACAAAAGTAGTTGTACCATTATTTGTGTCAAGTTTGTTTCCTGCACTAGATTAGTAGATCCAGAGGGAAAAGGCTGCATCTTCTTTCTTCAACTCTACGTCATAGGACCTAGCATATGTGAGGTACGAAACAGATATTTGCAGAGTGCATAAAAGCATGGCACCCACCCCACCCCACCCTGGCCCCATTTCTACTTGCTGAATCAATAAATAATCTCCAAGTTTTAGGTCAAATAATTCTGCATGATGTAATTTCTTTTTTGGCAAGGCAAATTAGATTCATCCTCCTCAATTCCTTAATAACTTGCACACAGATCCTCCTTACACATCAGCTGTTTGGAAAAGAAAAGCTTTCTAAAGAGATAGGAGAACCATGACCAGGCAAACCAGAACTTTAATTTTTACATTTATTCTTACACTTTGTAAGAATGAATACCAATTTCTTAGATATAAGACATGATCAATTTTCTTGCCTTGATTTTAATACCTCTCTTGAGAAGAAGTAATAAAAATAGTCTCACTAGGTCATTTTTCCTGAATTTGTGCCTGATCATCTAGAAAAGAAGCAGTAATAAAAGACAAATTGAAAGTAAAGATAATGCTTTATTCAATTTCCATGGTGCAATGAACACTCCAAATATTCATTGCAGCCAGGGTGGTGAATTGGGAAGTAACACTGAGTGGCTTCTTTGGGTTGGCAAAAGCTATGCATTTAGGACCCACCAAATTGCCTACTGGTGTCCTTGGTAGAGAATGAATGACTTTGGCGTTTTTCTGTGCAAGTCACACAGTGGACACTGGCAGCAGTAGTAGCAGTGGGATCTTTGACAGTCATAAGGGCCATGATGGTCATTTCTGACTTTGAGAGTGACTAAAGACATCATGAGCTAGTTAGTAGAGGATAATGATGAGCATCCGAAGAGTAGATGGGGAATTTTCCCTTCTGCTCCCCATCCCTGGCCATCCCATCCCATCCCATCAGATGGCATCTCATTCCATCTTATTTCACCCATCTTATTCTCATACCATTTCATCTTATCCCATCTCATCCCATCCCATCCCATTCCATCCCATCCCATCTCATCCCATCCCCTCCCCTCTCTTCCCATCCCATCCCATTCCTATCCCATTCCATCCCATCCCATTCCATACCCTCCCCTCCCCTCCTCTCCCTTCCCCCCCTCCACTCTCTTCCCAGCCCATCCCACTCCATCCCATCCCATCCCATGGCATCTCATTCCATCTTATCTTGCCCATCTCATTCTCATAACATTTCATCTTATCACATCCCATCCCATCCCATCCCTCCCCTCCCCTCCCATCCTATCCCATCCCATGGCAGCTCATTCCATCTTATCTCACCCATCTCATTCTCATACCATTTCATCTTATCCCATCCCATCCCATTCCATGGGATCTCATTCCATCTTATCACATCCATCCCATTCTCATACTATTCCATCTTTTCCCATCCCACCTCACCCTGTTTCATCTCATCTCTTTCTAACCCATCCCATTCCACACCCTATACAGAGCTATATGGGAAGGATTTATTGAGACTGAACTTGCAGCAAATTTAGTGGATATGAAACAAAAAAAAATCTGGTAGGAGTTTTTGTTATTTTCTTATCTCTACCAACAAGATTATATGGCTTAGAAAACACAAGTTATAAAGGAATATCTCTGTTACAGGTATTACAGATGTAACACAGATGTAAGCAACATCTAGAATTATTGCAAAACTGGGTTTGACATAAGTAATTCTCATTTAGAATGAGAATTCTAGATATTTCTAAAGGTATTTGTTTAAAACCTGAAGAAATATCACTATAACCTGCATTCCAAATATTATAGCAATTCTGGTTGTACTTGTGCATGCAAGAAAATCTCTGATACGTTGAGAAATCTGACATATTTCCTGGCCATTCTTGGCCCTGAATTTCTTGAGCTGAACTAATAATATCTGTTAATAACTAATCTACCTTTTCTCTATAGTATTGACCTGCACAAAATGTTTTCTCAATATCTTCCCTCTACAAAGCTCTGTATAAGATAGAGGGAAATTGGAGAGAGTTGTGATTGCACTGTAAGACCTGTTAACACTCAGAATTAGCTATTCTTGTTCTGGCAAGCCTGTTGATTATTACCAGAAAATTTTCACTTGTTCTGTTTCTCCCTGGTGTTCTCTCTCCTCTGTCTCCTCTTTCAAACATTCTCCATAAGTGGACAGAGGCCATAATGAGATTTCTTCTCCAATATTTATAGTGGATGCCAGGCCACCTGAAGGGAAGGAGGAGCTACTACACTAAATAATATTTTGTCTTCACCGCCATTAAATAGCAAATGTCCCCTTATTTTCTGCACTATTGACATGATTAGACATTTTGGGGTGAAAGGAAATAATTTTTTGGGCAATTTTTTTAAACTATCCTCATATATCATTGCTTAGCTTTCATTTTGTTTTATCTTTTCTTTGATTTTTTTTTACACTTGAGCTAATAAAACATTAAAATTAGCTCTCAGCTGCATTAAAATAGTGTTGGTTTTTTAAGATGCTGAGAGTGGTGGGGAAGGGAGTGAGGGAGAGAGAGTCCCCTCCTTGAGGACACGCAGGCTTGCATGAGCTTTCCGTCCAGGAATCCCGCTGGGTTCTGTGGTAAAGAGCAAGAAAAGGTCCTCTTAGGGATCTGACATGAAAGGGAAAAATCTACCTTTGAGAAATACGCCCCGAGCATTCTCCCAAAGGACACGTCTGCAGATAAAGCAACTTTACCAGAGCCTTCTCTCTGCTGGAGAAGGGTACTACCTCTTCTACTCTCCACAATCCAGCCCCCTCTAGCCTTCTTATCTCACTTTAGAGGGGAAGGAAGCAGGGGCAATGACCCCAAAAAAGATAAACTGTGTCCATCTTACTAAGGAATTGCCCAAGGTGAGAGCAATTACAATAACTATAGTTAGACCCATGTCTAACTATATTTCCCTGGTGGAAGTAATATTTCCCTGGTTGAAGTAATTACTACATTTGAGCCCAACATCTTTAAGAGATACAAATATACCACTGTGTCAGTCAGGGTTCTCTAGAGGGAAGGGACTAATGGGACAGAGGTATATGTGAAAAGGAATTTATTACAAGATCACAAGGTGAAGCTCCACAATAGGCCATCTGCAAGCTGAGGAGCCAGGAAGCCAGTCCCAGTCCCAAAACCTCAAAAGTAGAGAAGCCGACAGTGCAACCTTCAGTCAGTGGCCAAAGGCCCAAGAGCCCCTGGCAAATCACTGGTGTAGGTCCAAGCTGAAGAACCTGGATTCCGCTGTTCAAGGGCAGGAAGCATCCAGCATGGGAGAAAGATGGAGGCCAGAAGACTTAGCCAGGCCAGCCCTTCCACATTCCCCCGCCTGCTTTTATCCTAACTGCACTGGCAGCTGATTAGATGGCACCCACCCATATTGCTAGTGGGTCTGCCTCTCCCAGTCCACTGACTCTAATGTGAATCTCTTTTGGCAACACCTTCACAGAACAATACTTTGCCTCCTTCAGTCTAATCAAGTTGACACTCAATATTAACCATCCCAACCACAAAACATAGAATATCTTCATTTGCCCTCCAAAATGATAGGATTTTAAAAGAGGTTTTCATTTTTTTTCCCCAAAAATCAGTGTGTATGGCTTTTTGAGAAACAGAGGGGGTGTAGAGAGAGAGAGTGGAAGAGAGAGAGAGAGAGAGAGACAGAGAAAGAGAAAGTGAGAGTGAGACTGAGAACTGAAGGAGTTGTGTTTCTTGTCTACATCTCAAAATTCGTGGAGATATTTGCAGTGAATGTTTTCTCTAGAGAAGAATATGTAAATCTCTGGGAAAGTCAACACATTCTAATATTAGGCCTAGTGGGTGGTTTTCATGTCTGCATAGTGTGAGCATTTTACATTTGTTTATGTTGATGATGGCTTGCCTAGCTAAAAGCATCAATATTGAAATACCAAGCCTTATTCTATGAGGCTCTGCAGGGGAAAGAAAAGGGAACACTAATTCAGTAATGAAAAGAACAGCCTCCTTTTTTTGGACCTTGCCATGTACTCGTCCCTTATGTTGAGTATTGTGCACGTTCCATGCAAGGTTTTATAGAAACGTCAACAGGAATGTATGAGGCATGTACAATTTTTATCTCCAGTTCACAGATAAGAAAAGTGAGATGACTTATACTGATTGTACAGGGATATCCAGTTACTAGGAGAAAAAGCCTAGGCTCAACCCAGATGTTCTGACTGTCACACGTGCTAAATTTTATCAAGTGACACAAAATAACATGATGCAGAAGAGAGGCTAGACAGGTCGATGGACTGAATGATGCGTGGTGGAAATGGCATACATATAAATTTGGATTTGCTTGCTGAATAGAATTTGTGCAAATATATAAGTAGAGACGTTTTTAGGTCTAGGATGTTTATCCCTAGTTTCCTAAAATTTGTATTTACTGCTTGTATAAATTAGAAGTTGTTTCATGATCACCGAAAGGAACGTACAGGTGCATTTTAATTACATGAAACCACTAATATTGGGATTTAATGGACTAGTGGACTGAAGATAAAATAATCAGGACATTTCGATTTTTTCATCATAATTTAACTGAATATAGTAGCAAAAAATGGTCCTTCCTGCACTTCCAGGGAATTAAGCTATGGTGGTTTACAACTCATATGAAGGTTTTAGAAAACACAAATAGAATAACATCCATCCAGGAAAAAAGTTGAGCACTTACCTGTGCATGTGTCTGTGTGTGGAGACATTCTTAGTTTCAGTTTATAGTGTGAAGAAGACATAGCTTTTCCTGTCTTAGCAGGAAAGTTAGTCTACCTCTAAACATCTAATATCAATATGTTTAAACACAACAGGAGCTCACACTAAAATATATTTTAAATATGTATTATGTTTTGAGTGACTAGAATTAATAGGACTCTTGTAGTTTTAAGAAAAACTGGCGCCGGGCGTGGTGGCTCATGCCTGTAAATCCAGCACTTTGGGAGGCCGAGGCGGATGGATCACGAGGTCAGGAGATCGAGACCATCCTGGCTAACACAGTGAAACCCCGTCTCTACTAAAAATACAAAAAATTAGCCGGGCATGATGGCGGGCGCCTGTAGTCCCAGCTACTCGGGAGGCTGAGGCAGGAGAATGGCGTGAACCCGGGAGGCGGAGCTTGCAGTGAGCCGAGATCGCGCCACTGCACTCCATCCTGGGTGATAGAGGGAGACTCCCTCTCAAAAAAAAAACAAAAACAAAAACAAAAAAAAAAAACAAAACAAAAAAAAACTGGCTAGATCTTAAGATTTGTGCATTTTTTTTTAAAAAGAGATACTTTGCCCTTTGTACTAAATATTATATTTGCAAAACCCATACAAATTATTTTCCATTTGGGATAAATTTTTTAAATATTTCATTAAAATAAAATGTCAATTCTATGTCTAAAACAATAAACAAAAATAAAATTCGCTGTTGCCTTTTAAAAGATCACAGGCTCATAAAAAAGTTTATTTAAATTAAACAGAAATCTTCTTCCCTCCTCTATCCTTTCATCCTTCACTCCCTTCAGCAAAGCAGAAAGTAAAACATGACCCCGGCCTCACAATACCTCTCTACAGCACGGTATCACTGGCTTTTATGTTTACCCCCATTTCCACTTGCTACATGCCTATGCTTTATTTTCTTCTTTGTAGGAGTAAATCTCTGCCTCTTTCAACAAAATCAATCAATTTGGTTTTAGCTGCTTTTATTTCCAGCCTTCCACCCCTCAACCCCAGCTGTGCCAGTCGGCACAGTAAGAGCCTGAATAAAACTGGCAAAATAAGATTATCTTTGATGGGGAGTGAAGGAAGAGAGGCTATGAAACTCAGATGTTAATGTTTTTCCTGTCACACTAGATTTCATTTTTCAAGTCTTTGTAACACGGCCTTCTTAAATTGCCAAGTTGGTATCTGTCTGCCTCCCGTGCCAAAATACTGAGCCCTGAGAAGTCAGGGCCTTACCTCATGCAAAAACACCGTGTTGCATTCCTGCGTTTCTCCGTGGCAGGATTTAGGAAAGGAGCCTTCCTTTGAAAGATCAACTTAACTCAGACTTTTCCTGAAATCTTTATTTGGTTGTGATCCAGGTATGCAAGTAGAAAATGCCCCTTGTGATCTCTGAGAAAGTGAGGATGTGTGTGCATATTTGTGAAATATCCAAATGTGTGTATCAGGCTTTAAGGAATCTATGACAGTTGCTGCTTTTTATCACTCAAGTGCTTAGAGATGGCTACAAAAATGCCAGCAGGAAGCAAAACCCACATGTCATGTTTTGTCCCTCTAACAACTTGTATCCTTCTGTGTGCTGCTAACTGGACTGCATTTTCACACGCTCAGTTTCTTGAGTTATATGGCTTAAAGTACAGGTAAATGTTTATAATTGAGTGGTAAGTGAATAATTACTGTAATACGGTGGGAATTGATAACCATTTGCTCGAAATTTCTCTATGACTCACAACAGTCTATGACATCTGTTCAATGATGTATATTAAATTACTCTTCAGATGCAACTGAATTAAATTACCAATTTGTGTTTTATAACACAACTTGCCGGCTAGAGTTTGTTCCTTCAAAAGTCATCTTTCTTTTTGTTTTCATTAACATTGACATTTATATAAATATGAAGAAAGATGGTGCATATTTTTCTTAAAGTAAAGCAGATTGGGTCTAAAACGGACGGTTCTCCTGTTAATTGCTGTTTTATTCTATCTGTGCAATCCCTTGGCTATTGTGGCTATCACAGAGCGGCTTTAAGCACAGACATATGGATCCACTTACGAGGCTTCACACTAAATTTGTTCAGTGCTTGATCTTCCATCTCTCTAATGGCACTTTTTTTTTGTCACCAACACATTCATGGCCTGCAGTTGACTGCTTTTATTGCTTTTAATTAAAGTCTGAAATAGAAAGTGTCTATTAATCAGCGTGTGAAGCCAATCATGAGTAAGGATTTTATAAACTCTTTACAAGATGGATAATAGTTACATCAATTGTCCCACCTTTGTCATCTTGGCAGAAAGACAATCATTTAAGTCATTAAGGGAACACCTGTAATCTGGAAATTTGGAAGGCAGCAACTATTTTGACAGGCCAGCTACATTTTTTTTTTTTTAGGAGCAAGAGATGTATTTAAAAATTCATCATGTTATGGTTGTTGTATTCATTTTTGCGGCACAGTCGAGGAGAAAACGGTGGGGGACTATTGTGTGTGTTCCTCTTAAATAAGAGTAGAGTCAACTAATCACTGAAAATGAATTGCAGGCTTTGAATATTCTGTCCTCCCTTTCTCTCTCTCTCTCTCTCTCTCTCTCTATATATATATATATACACACACACACACACACACACACACACATTTTAGTTTTTAATTTTTATGGGTACATACAAGTTGTATATATTTATGGGGTACATGAGATGTTTTAGTACAAGCATACATTTTGGGTCTGTTATACATGGCTTTTATGTTGAGGTATGTCCCTTCTCTACCCAGTTCTTCTTAAAGGTTTTTATCATGAAGCAATGTTGAATTCTATCAAATGGATTTTCAGTATCAATTGAAATGATCATATGGTTTTTGTCCTTTATTTTGTTGATATGACGTATCACATTGATTGATTTGCATATGATGAGCCATCCTTGCAACCTAGGGATAAATCTCACTTGGTCATGATTAAGGCTTTTTCTAATGTATTGTTGAATCTTATTTGCTAGTATTTTGTTGGGGATTTTTGCATTAATTTTCATCAGAGATAGTGTCCTGTAGTTTTCTTTTTTAGATTTGTCTTTGGTTTTGGTACTAGGGTAATATTGGCTTCATAGAATGATTTTGGAAGTACTCCCTCCTCATCTATTATTCAGAATAGCTTGAGTAGGATTAGCATTAATTCTTCTTTAAATGTTTGGTAGAATTCAGCAATAAAGCCATTGGATGCTGGGCTTTTTCTTACTGGAAGATTTTTTATTATGACTTCAATCTCACTACTTATCATTGGCATGCTCCGGTTTTCCATTTCTTCATGGTTTGATATTGGTTGGTCATATGTGTCTAGGAATTTGTCCATTTCTTCTAGATTTTCCAGTTTATTGTCATATAGTTGCTAACAGTAGCCACTAATGGCCTTTTGACTTTCTGTGGTATCAGTTTTAATGTCTCTTTTTTCATTTCTGATTTTATTTATTTAGTTCTTCTCTCTTTTTTTTTCTTAGTTTGGCTTAAGGGTTTGTCAATTTTGTTTAACTTCTCAAAAAAACAACTTTTTGTTTCATTGATCTCTTGTATTTTTTTCATTTCAATTTCATCTCTGATTTACACTATTTCCTTTTTTTCTCCTAATTTTGGCTTTGCTTTGCTCTTGCTTTTCTAGTTCTTTAAGAGGCATTGCTAGGTTGTTTCTTTGAAATTCCTCTTCTTTTTTGATGCAGGCAGTTATAGCTATAAACTTTCCTCTTAGTACTGCTTCTGCTGTATTCCCATATGTTTTGGTATGTTGTGTTTCCATTATCATTTGTTTCAAATAAATTTTCAATTTCCTTCTTAATGTCTTCATTGACCTACTGGTCATTCCATAGCATATTGTTTAATTTCCATGTAATTATATATTATCCAAAATTCCTTTCATTATTGATTTCTAGTTTTATTCCATTGTGGTCAGAGAAGATAATTGATACTGTCTCATTTTTTGAATGTTTTAAGACTTGTTTTCTGACCTAACATATGGTCTATCCTTGAGAATGATCCATGTACTGAGAAGAAGAATTTGTATTCTGCAGCTGTTGGATGAAATATCTGTAAATACCTATTAAGTTCATTTTGTCTATAGTGCAGTTTAAATCTGATGTTTCTTTTTGATTATCCCTCTAGAAGATCTGTCCTTTGCTGAGAGTGGGGTGTTGATGTCTCCAACTATTATTGTATTGAGGTCTAACTCTCTCTTTAGCTCGAATAATATTTGCTTTATGTATCTAGTGTTGCATGCACGTATATTTAAAATCGTTGGATTCTCTTGCTAAATTGACCTCTTTATGATTACATAGTGACCTTCTTTGTCTCTTCTTACAGTTTTTGTTGTCTTGGATTCTATTTTGTGTAAATGGAGTTACTCCTGCTCTTTTTTGGTTTCCATAGGTAAGAAATATGTTTTTCTATCCCCTTATTTTCAGCCTATGTGTTTTTATAGGTGAGGTGATTTTCATGTAGACAGCATATTACTGGATCTTATTTTCTTTTAGTACATTCAGCCACATTATGTCTTTTGATTGAGAGCTTAGTCCATTTACATTCAACGTTGTTATTGATAAGGAAGAACTTACTCCTGTCATTTTTTATTTGTATTTTTGTTGTTTTGTAGTCATCTTTTCTTTCTTTCTTTCCTTCCCGTCTTCCTTTTAGTGAAGGTGATTTTTTTCTGGTGATATGATTTAGTTTCTTGCTTTTTATTTTTTGTGTATCTGTTGTATGGTTTTTGGTTTGAGGTTACCATGAGGCTTACACACACTGTCTTATAACCCAGTATTTTAAGCTGATAACAACACTGTTTACAGAAACAAACAAACAGAGAAACAAAAAGGAACCTAAAATAACTCTACATCTTAACTTCATCCCCCCTGCTTTTTAATGTTTTGTTTTTACCTATATCTTATTGTATTGCCTGTCTTGAAAAGTTGTTGTAGTGATTATTTTTACTGGCTCATTATTTTTACTGGCTTTCTTACACACCACATTCTATTCTTCTGTGTACTTACTTACTATTACCAGTGAGTTTTGTATCATAATAATGAGTATTTCTTATTACTCATTAACATCATTTTCTTTCTGATTGAAGTAATCCCTTCAAGATTTCTTGTAGGACAGGTCTAGTGTTGATAAAATTCCTCAGTTTTCTTTTTTTTTTTGTCTGGGAAAGTCTTTATCTCTCCTTTATGTTTGAAGGATAATTTAACTGGATATACTATTCTAAGATAAAAGATTTTTTCCTTCAGTCCTTAAAATACGTCATGCTACTATCTCCTGTCCTATAAGCTTTCCACTGAAAAGTCTGCTGCCTGACATAATGGAGCTCCAATGTGTTAGTTGTTTCTATTATCTTGCTGCTTTTAGAATCTTTCTTTATTCTTGATCTTTGAGAGTTTGATTATTAAATACCTTGAGGCAGTCTTATTTGGGTTAAATCTTCTTGGTGTTCTATTACCTTCTTGTACTTGGATGTTGTTATCTTTCTCTAGGTTTGGGGAGTTCTCTGTTATTATCTCTTTGAGTATAATTTCTAACTATCTCTTTATCTCCTCTTTAAGGCTAATAACTCTTAGATTTGCCCTTTTGAAGCTATTTTTTAGATTCTATAGGCACACTTCATTTTTTTAATTCTTTTTTCTTTTGTCTCTTCGCAGTGTGTATTTTCAAATAGCCTTTGAGCTCACTAATTCTTTCTTCTGCTTGACCAGTCCTGCTACTAAAAGACTCTGATTCATTCTTTAGTATATCAATTGCATTTTTCAGCTCCAGAATTTCTGCTTGATTCTTTGTAGTTATTTCAATTTCTGTGTTAAACTTATCTCATAGAATTGTGAATTCCTTCCCTGTGTTATCTTGAATTTCTTCGAATTTTCTCAGTGCATCTATTTTGAATTCTCTGTCTGAAAGGTCACATATTTCTGTTTCTCCAGGATTGGTTCATGGTGCCTTATTAAGTTATTTTGGTACAGTCATATTTTCCTGGATGGTCTTAATATTTGTAGATGATCATCTGGGTCTGGACATTTACTGGTCTTTGCATTCTGGGTTTGTTTGTATCCATCCTACATGGAAAGGTTTTCCAAATATTTCAAAGGATGTGGGTCTTGTGATATAAGCTCCATCTGATTTAGGGGGCACACCAAGCCCAGTAAAGTAATGCTGTGATCCTTGAAGACTTGTAGAGATACTGCCTTGATGGTTTTGGACAAGATCTCCAAGAATTCTTGGGATTACAAGTCAAGAGACTTTTTTTTTTTCTACTCTTAGTTTCTCTCAAACAAGCAGTATTTCTGGGTCTGTTCTGAGCCACCTGGAGCTGGAGGAGGAGTGACACAAGCCCTTCTATGGCCAGGACCACAGGGATTGTGCTGGGTCAGACCTGAAGCCAGCATAGCACTGTGTCTCACCCAAAGCCTGATGTAACCACTCCCTGGCTACCACCTGTGTTCACTCAAGGTCCTGGGGCTCTACAATCATTCATCAGCTGACAAAGCCAACCAGGCCTGTGTTCTTCTCTTTGGAGCCACAAGTTCCCCAGGCCTTGAGTGCTTCTAGAGGTGCTGTCTGGGAGTCAAGGACTAGAGTCAAAACCTTTGAAGTCTACCTGGTGTTCTAGTGTACTGCAGCTGAGCTTACAATCAAACCACAGGATACAGTTCTCCCCAGTCTTCCCTCCCCTTTCCAAAAGCAGAGGAGTCTCACTCCATTGCCATCACCACCCCAGGCCACAAGGAGTACTGCCAGCCTACAAACAATGTTCCCTTAAGGCCCAAGGGCTCTTCAGTCATCTTGTGGTAAATACCACCTGGACTTTGACTCATCCTTCAGGGTAGTGAGATCCCCTCTGGCCCAGAGCAGATCCAGAAATGCCACCCAAAAGCCAAGTCCTGGAATTAGGGGCCCCAAAATTCTGCTTGGTGCTCCACCACCACATCATGGGCAAACTGGTTACTAAGATGGAAGACAATGTCCCCTTTACATTTTCCTCCACTTTTCTCAAGGAGATGGAGTCTTGTCCCATAGCTACCACAGCTTGTTATGTGCTGAGTCCCTGTTGAAGCTCACAAGTCTTAGAGTCTTACTCTAGGGCCAGGATGTCCTGCCTGGGTATTGCTTCTGGCTATTCAGGGCCCAGGGGCTCTTCAGTTAGCAGGTGTTTTATCCTGCCAGGGCTGGATCTTTCTCTTCAAGGCAGTAAGTTCCCTTCTGGCTCAAGGTGTGTCTAGACATTTTTTCTGGGATCTAAGGCCAGGAAAGAGAACCTTACAATTCTGACCAGTGCCCTATCCTGCTGTGGCTGAGCTGGTATCTAAGATGCAAGACCAAGTCCTCCCCACTCTTTCCTCTCCTCTCCTCAAGCAGAAAGAATGGGTCTCTTTCAGAGCTCTGATCTATGCAGCCTGGGGTTAAGGGAGGGGTGATGCCAGCACTCCCTTAGCCCATCTCAGTAGGTTGCATGATCCCCCACTGCACTGGCTCTGGGCCCAGTTCAAGCATTAGGTCTTGCATAGGAGTTGCAATCTTCGTGGCCTAGACTGCCTTTCAAATTTATTTAAGACACCAGAGCACTTTAGCCCACGGCCGTTAGACTTCTGGAAACTGAAGTCCCAATCACTGAGATCTGCTATTTCCCTTTAGCTAGGGCTGGTTTAAACGTTTCCTCCATGGGTAGGCATCAGCTGCATTTGGGTTGATTTGCTTTCTGCTATAACAGGGCAACACTGAGTTTAATGCCTCACAACTGCTGCACTCTCCCTTTCCCCAGCACACAGAATCATTCTCTGCACCATGCTACTGCCAGGGGTTGGGGGAAGGGTGGTGCCAATGATTCACAACTGTTTTTGTTGTTGTTGTTGTTTTCCTCTTCAGCGCCTCTTTCACTGATTTCAAGTTTAAACCCAGTACTGTGAGTGCTCACCTGACTTTTTTATTCTTATGAAGATTCTTATTTGAGTGTAGGTAGTTGTTAGACTGGTGTCCTTGCAGGTGAGGGGGAATTATCAGTGAAGTCTTCTGTTCCACCATCTTGCTCTGCTCCTCCTCTTAGTGTATTTTAAATGGTTTGATTTATCACATTTCTCAACTGAGACTTATAGAATATAAACTTCTGATAGTTAAATACTCAGTGATCTATTTCCTTAAGTTTCTAAGAGAGAGAGAAATGAAGCATTGTCCCTTGTCTTTCTTTTCATGTGCTGGAAAGTCTTTTAAAATTCAAATTACATTTGATTCAGAGAAGAGATATCGCAGCTTACTATGGTGATGATAAGTGTGTCCAACCCAACCCATATGCAGAGTTGTGTGGATTGAAATAAAATTATTAAATTACAATTTAGTGAAATCGATCTGAGGCCCTTAAGAGGTTCCACAGAGCTCAACTTGCTTTCAGTTGTACAGGTAAAATGGCGGGATTTGGGTGGATGGTGAATTCGTTTTCCAAAAACTTTATTTCCAATAATAGCCTAAGGAAATGCATCTCATAGAAAGAAGTGTATATTATTATTTAATGAGAAAGTCACCATTATTTAGAAATGCAGAAAGGAAGACTCCCTGGTAATATTCTATGGGCTGGAATTGGCAAGGAGAGGGTTGCTTCTTGGCCAAAGGAACACAGGAGTCCAGAATTTTTTAACTATCAAAACTTGAAACTATTACCACCTGTAAAACCTTGTGTCTGTGCCTTTTATCCCTGTTTCTTGATTTCCCCATCTTATACATGAAAGCGTTGAAATAAATTATTCCAAATTCCTTTCTGCCTTTAAAATATACTGACAATTCTGATTATTGTTCTTACTACCTCCTTCTTACTCTTTCTTTTCTTCTTTTCCTTGCCATGGTATTCCTAGAAGTCAAAAGTTGGAGAAAATGGGTATCCCAAGATAAAGTGGGAAAACCATGTATGAGAAACAACGTCTATGAGCACTCTATGAGCATTGTATGAGTTTTACATACTATGAGCATTGTGTGAGTTTTACAATGAGAGGCCAGGTAGCAGCTGCAGGGTTACTGTTCACTACTTTACACACCCTCTGCTCTCATTGCAGTATCTATCCTTGTTCTTGCCCAGCCACATCCTATCTCCCCTGTAGTTAGAATGTACTTCCCTGTCCACTATCAGATATGGTCACATAACCTGTTTTGGTCAGTAGAATGTGACACATGTCAGATCTATGCAAAGACTTTCATGTGGTTTGTTGGTTTAGACCATCTGAGTTAATGCCCGGGATGGAGGCTGCTCCTCCAAGCTTGGTCAAAGAAAAAGAAGGTACATGGAACAGAACCACATTCTGAAGCAGAGCCGTGGTCCATGAACAGCTTACACATAGGGCAATCTTATGTGAAACCCTTATGTGAAATCTTAATTGAAATTCAATAAAATTGCAATGACCTACCATAAGCCTGCCTCTCTTCTAGGTATTTCCCATGCATAGAAAAGGATGAGGACACCCCAGAGCCTTTCTTCCAGGAGGAAAGGAAAATACATAAAAGTAGGATGTAAGTGGTGCTGACTCAGCTCCTTGCTACCTGGGGTTTCTCTCTGTGCACAGTCATGGAGGGCAGGACAGATGGGATGAAGGAAATCTACAGGACACCTACCTGTTTTACACTCACTGAATATTCATCAACATATTCAACCCACGTGCTTACTTGAAACGTTTCCAAGTATGCATCCTCAGTGTACACATAAGCCATTTCCAGCAATGCAGGCCCATTCCGCCTTCCCTTGTTGTCAATTTTTATTCCTATGCAAACCTCTCCCAAAACCCTCCTGTTACTCTTACAAGGAGGATCTACCACTTACTTAGACAACCAGTAACATCATCAACCAGTCACTTCTTCTTTTATATTATTGATCTCATTTGTGATGCTTCTGTATTTAAATATCATTATAATTATGACAAGGACCCCTTATCCACAAGGAGTGGGACAGATGCATTTTAGTTTCAGCTGTATGCTCTGATGTGTTTGGGCAAATCTAGCTGTGTATTTGGCTCACCTGCAGGCCTGGTGTTACACAAATGCAGATAATTTTTAGTCTCCAGTGTTCTTTACCTGGTTCCTCCCATCCTGATGACTGGTAAAAGTTTTTCTGAATCTCCTCATTTCACATATTCCTATTTTATTCAAACAGGGAAATTGGTGAGAAGTGTAATTCTGCTCTACTTTTATTTTCCAAGCCAATAGATTATCCTTTTTAATCAATATTAGCCCCAAGCTCCGAACAACAATATATCTTTCAAAATATATTCTCTTTTACAGAGGAAAGCCCACAATTTAGGAATGAAATTGTTTTCTGGCTCTTATCTTAGGGAAGAGGAAGAGAAAAAAGGAACTATCTTTGACTTTATCCAATAAGGTAGGTCATCACCTAGCAAGGCCCTGAGAAAATGAAGCACGATATAGTCTAGGGGAAAAGATATGAAACAGTGTCAGGAGAACGATAAGTTTATGGTGGGGCAAAGAGTGATAACTGATGATTATCAGTGTCTCCTAGTAATGAGGTCAGAATGAACCTAGAATGAACAGGCATAGATATTAGATTTTTCACAGAACAATTTTTTTATTTAATTGAAGCCCATTGGAGAGAATTATTCACTTTTTACTGTGTCGGGATATAGAGACAGTTACAGAGATTTGGGGATATAGATGTAATAGTGCTTTTTTTTTTTTCCTTCTTTTGCTGCAGAGGAGTAAAAATTTTTCATAAAAAATGTGTAGACTAGTGTTTGGGAAATTCTTGGGCAGAATACTCTGAATGGCAGATAAAAAGGTAAGGATCCAAATGTAAATCACGAGACAAAGATCTAAATAAAACTTCCAGTTTGTTAATAAAGGAACTCAACGCATTCAGCAGAAATTATTTCTAAATTGGGTCCTGCTTATATAAATCCCTCTTGAAAGAAGCACTCAACTCAGTCATTTCTAAGGCCTTTAGGTAGGTCTGTTGAATGAGTAAATTAAGCACAATCTAGTCAAACCAGAATATCCATAAAAATATTCCACTTTTACTAGATAAATGCAGACCATGTGCCTCAAATCAAAGCTGCACCCTTGTCAAACAATGGCAGACCAGAGTTGTTCTTAAATTAACAAAATATATTTGATTAATTGTAGGGTCATTCATTTGTCAGTAAGTCCACAATTCTTGATAGTGGTCCTTCTAACCAAATAATTTGGATGTGTGTGTCTACTATGTATAATGTCAGCCTTTGTTATTTGACAACATGTTCCGTTTCTAAATATCTTTTGTTTTCTTCAATAGATCTTAGAATTTTTCCAGGGGAAATTGATGCCTTAGTAAATAAATAGGTAAAACAAGAATTATGACTGTTAGAATCCACATAATGAATGAGTCCAATGTACCATTACATAAGGGGAATCCTAAGCATGGCTATGTTAGTTATCCGTCCATTCATTAAACAGTCAACAAAATGTACTGTGAACCTGCTATGTGTGCAGTCACTGTCTTAGGTGCTGGGAATATTACAGTGAACAACATATATACAAAACCCCTGCCTTCATGTTACTTGTGTAAGCTATCATGTCCTCAAAGGATCAATATTTAGGGTATTCCTACTTTGCTTAGCAGTCCTAAGAGAGTGTATGTATATATACTACATCAATATTTTTGCCTTTTTTAAAGAATCACAGTGTGTCAAACACAGTGCTAACTGCTGGAGATAGAAGGAGGAACATATTATGCTCTGATTCTTAATGGGGCTCATAATCTATTAGGTTTAATAAAATAATCACACTCCAATGCAATGAGGACAACAATCAATTCCAGAGACAGCATAAGCAGAGACGAAAGGAAGAGTATGTTAAAGGCAAGGGTCTGTGTCAGTGAGGGCATCTCAGAAACTGACTTTCTTAGATTTTAAGAATTGTTCTCTTTAAAAGTGTTTTAAATATGTAAAATATCTTCATGGTAAAGCCAAGGTAAATAAAGTCAATTCACAGAAATATAAATTTCATTTCTGTCCTGTCACCCACCCACATGTAGAACTTGTGAAAGTTGTCAGAGTCAAAATGGAGCCACTTGTGTTAAAGACTGTGCCAAGTGGCATCGAGGATGGCCGTGAACGGAGGGTTCTTATGCACAAATGCCTGACGGCAACGACTATCACAAAAGACTCCGCAAAAACCACAACCTTGTGAAAGAAAGGCCCACCACAACCTTACTACACACAAAAAAACTTCTGCAAGGACATCTGCACAGCAACTTCCTGTCTAACCTTGGACCGGCACCACCCTTGTTATGGATCCTTATAGCTAACAATAATTATCACAAAACAATTTTATAATCTTCTTCATTTTTCCTTTAAAAATATTTGTCTTCCTTTACCTACCTGAGCTGAGCATGCATGTAGTTTGCTATGGTATGTATATTGCTGTTACAATGCCCATTTTTGAATAAATATCCTTTTCTTTCAGAGAGCCTCTCTCTGTTTTCTAATGTGACAAACTCAATTCTTAAGCTAAAGCTTAAGGAAGTATTTTACAGCTTCCTCAAACAGTCATCGGTTCTGTTAAATATTCTGACTTCCAGGTCCAGTGCAGACATGCTGAAGGGGTGTTAGATTCTACTATACCTAAGAATAAGACACTTGTTGAAAATGCAATTTTTGGGACCTTATATTCAAACACCGCTTGTCCACAGATTTTGGTGAGTTGGTTTAGACAGAGAAGTAATGTAGCAGTGATGGGGCAGGTGGCTTAAAAGAGAGGCACTCCCTGGGCCCTCTGCAGAGGTTAGGAATTGAACAAGAAAACAGGCTTGGGAAGGCATTAAAGGGCATTTAAGCAGGAGAATAAGGTAGATTTGTATGTAAGCATTTTAGAAAGACAAATCTGGACTCTTTATGGAGCACAAATGAAATGATTCTTTAAGTTTGAAAGAAAGGGGACCAGAAAAGGAGCAGGCTCTGTGATCCAGGGAAAAGAGGTGAAGTTCTGAGCCAGGGCAAAGAAAAAGAAGTGTTTCCCAGCTCAGCATCCCCTCCTCTTATCAGACACAAAAGTTTTCTTCAACCTAAAATTGCCATTGACAAATCCAGCAATGACTTACAATTTTGACATTCAGGCTCCTCTTGCAAATCGTCTCTTCATGTGTTGTTCAAAAGCTTAACTTGTTATTTTAAATGGTATGTTCAATAGCTAGAAAATGAATTATTCAATCAATTAATGTAAAATGAACTTTTTCTTGGAAATAAGCAAATAGCACATAGTTTCCTTTCACCTGATATTTCTTCTACCTGGTATATAAATATGCTGTGATTGTAATTAGGTGCCTAGAGCATGTATTTAGTAATTATTATATACAAATATATACTCTAATAATTTCATTTTTTAAAATACGGTATTTGTATATTTCAAGCTCTTTGGGCATCAGCACACATCCAATTCTAAATTATACAGGCCAATTGATATATTATTTTTCACATCTATAAAATAAAGATTATATATGTATATGTAAGTTTAGCAGAATACCTAAATATGAGCAAGTATTGACCAAGACAGCCTTAATGTTCCCCTCAGGTTAACTAATCTTTAGACAGGTTTCTTTCTGACTATTGGACCGTGACCTCCTTTATCTTAGAGCATTTACTTAATAAAAAAAAACTTGCAGTTGTAAATTTTTTTCTTTGCTCCTTTGGGATGTAAATCTTCTACAACTGAAGGATGTCTTTTGCAAGGACCTGGGAGCCATCCTATGAAATGTAATCATCAAAAAAGGCAAGCATCCCTATCAACCAGTAGCTAGGGGTGGAGAGGAGCCTAAGTTCAAGAAGAGGCAACTAGCAAACACGGATGGCTAATTGCATTGACCAATTTTCTCCCTAATATCTTCCAGCATTTTTCCCAGCAGTTCACCCCAGTGCTTAAAAACCCTACCATCTTTTGTTTCCATGTAGTTGAGTTAAATCTTTCTCCTGTTACAATGGTCTTGAATACATTTCCCTCGCCTCTTTAGCTCGTTCAGAGCAATTTTTCTTTTATAGTTCATTCGTGAACATGTCACAAGATACCCTCATTGTATACATATACTCTAGCTATACATACACACACATCTTATATGAAAACACTTTTTTATTTCATCTATTTTAGAAAAGAAAATAAGTAGTGTTTAATAATATTGTTTATGTCATTCTAAATCACAATACATCTATCATTTATTCAACAAACATTTATAAGGAATAAAGTCAGAGGGAGCTCACTATACTATGCATAAATCAAAGGCAGCAATAGGGAACTTTGTTCTGTTTAAGAGAGCCTCATCCTTCACCCCACTATACCATCTGAGTTGGGAAAAGCAGAACTCTTGTATTATTGTCCTTTTGCTGGTCTTGCTCTGAATGGAGAGGTAAAAGAGAAAACCAATTCTTTTAACATTTTGTCTTCTCTTTAAATACAGACATCTGGAACTATTTCTTAATTACCCATCATTTTATTTCTATGACTCGAGGTTTGCAAATATCATCTTTAACAGTAAACCAACAATAACAACAAACTCCATAAGAAGTTCTGATTTGCTTTTTTGGTAGTTGCCTTTATGGAATTGTTTTCCCTGTAAAAAGTATTAAGGATACGTGTTTTTCTTCTAAGCAATTTAGGACCTGTTCAAAACCAAGTACAAAATTGTGCACAGGCGCTGACATCCTCACCTTGAAGATGTTGACCCTAACGTAATCCAACCCCTGATAAAAGAGAGAATTTTTATTTTGCTTTCTAATTCTTCTTGAATTAAAAACAAGTCCAAGGTAGGTAGTTAAGCTGTAATCGCTTCTAATGACTGTGACATTTAAGAACAATGACCCTCTACAATGAAACTATTTGGTCATTCATAATTAGTTAACCTTTTGGAAGCTTAAAGCCTCAATTACTTCAAGGAGAGACAGAACTTCAGAATACAAACATGTCTGTGCCTTCAGTGATAAATGGAGCAGGATAATCTACCCAGTGACTTTCTGAAAGAAGAATATTTACTCAGGTGTGGAATGAATATCAGAATATCATATCAATAAACAATGAAAATGAGAATTGTTCATTAATTAACAATATTGAGTCTGAGTTAATTACTTACTTTTATGAAAGAATTTAAAAAATGAAAATCTCAAGGGAATTAACTTAAATGTATAAACAGATTGGTCTATCAAAAATGTCTCACAGATATTTACTTAAGGAAATAATTTTGTTTTCTGTATATGTTCTTCAGTAAAAGAGGAATTTCTACTTCCAGATAAATGTCTAGTGAATTTGACTTGAATGTGCATTAGCATAAACAAATACATTTTTGTGTAATATAGATGACATTTAATTTGTTTGTATTTCATAGACAGGTGCCTAAATTTTAGTGCTGTATATAAGAAAATTCATATTTAAGCATTTCTTGAATGTGTGTATGTGTATTATTTTTCTTAGAAATATGACTCTAGAATGTGATAATTTAAATATTTCAATCATTGAACATCTTTACCTTTTAAAATTTTTTTATGGGCTATCCATTACTTAAAAAGCATAAGATCATATTATTCTTAATATTCAGAGCAGATAGGCTTCAGAAAGGTGTATGAATGTCTAACATTATTACTAATATCTAAAACTTTCTGTACTGGTCACTGGTACAGTCTGTGTCTTCAATTGATGCCAAAGATTATTTGGTTTAATTTAATTTTGACATTTTATGCTATTAGTATATATCGTCTCTACACTATGTGGAGTGCTGTGCTTGACATAATACAGAAAAAAAGTCCTTAAGCTGCTCAAGATGTTTGTTTTTACTCTCAGCTGCTGCCTGCTAAGTGATTATGGCTATCACTGATTTCATTAGAAAAAATATTGATCATAGTAAACAAATCATGGCATTTCCTCCTTTTTCCCAACATAGGATTGATATTTACAATATTTATATGTGCATTTTCTTTTCAACTCTCATTATCATAACCCATTACCTTGCTAGATTTAGAAGACGTCTGTATTTATAGGTCTGCGCTAGATCAAGTTTTGCTTCTTTATGCCATCATAATGCTGTTTCTTGGCTGCTTTGTGAAAATCATTCATCAGATAGTGATTGTTTTATATAAGCAGAGCGGTATGTGTGGGATGAAAAGAGGTACCACCGGGAGTAGTCTCTGTATAATTGCTCAGAATATGCTACCTGAATTCCATTTGTCTTCCCGGGAGTTAGGTGATAAGAGAGATCCTTGTTTATGCATCACTCGCCTAGATCATATTGCAAGAACTAAGAATCATATTTGCAAGTACAATTTCAAAGTGCCTGGCAAGACTCACCATAGTTTTGGAATGAAAAGGATGTTTCCAGGATGCATGGATAATATGTGTCATACACATTTTGATACAATTTTGTCGAGTGTTTTGTAATACCTTTGATGTAGAAAATTGCTCCTCCTCTCCTTTGCCTCCTTTCTGTCTGCCTCTGTCAGAGCCTTGCTGGATTCTTTGAGAAGCCCATATAAGTTGCAGCTGGCAGAAATAGCAAACTTCCTTGTGGGCCTTTGAGAGAAAAGTACTGCAAATAAAGGACGTAAGATAGTTCCCAGAATGCTGTCTAGGTGGAATCGACATTAGCATCTCAATGCCACAATATTTTCACTATTTTATTGAAATCATATTAACCTTTTGCAAATTATAATGTAAAAAATAGAACTGTGTAATAGACATGATGTTTTAGGTTTCATTTTCTAAACAGAGTGGCCATCAAAATTAATAATGCCATGTGATGTAAAAGGCAAAAATACCCAGATAAATCTAGCATCATTATTGGACATCAAGCTATACATACGATTTCCAGGAGAATTTAAAAATATAAAGTATGTGATTTAGAACCCTAGCAATGCAGGACAACATAAAAGAAAGCTATTTTAGTTGCATTGTCAGAGACAAGTGAAACAAGAAGGTGCAGACAAGGAATCCTACTTAAAGAAACATAGGATTTTAGATGTAATCAAAAATGTTATCACAAGCCATTTAATTAATACCACACAATTTAAATGGATCAAGTTGGTGTAAATAACAAAAGGGAGGGGCAAAATAAGTTGATCTTACCAGAAACATGTAAGTTAGCCCTTTTATGCTTCCAGATGAAGAAAACTCACTGATTAACTGAAGCTGTAGGAAGAAGCATTAGAGACATACTTAATGAACAAATATAAAATAAATAAAATCAAAGGAGTTTGCCACTGTTTATACAGACTTCCTGCAGCTGGTTAAAATAAGAAGTGATATTGAAATATATTCATAATTAGCATGTATTAATATTTCTATAGTTTTTTTTCTATTTTAAGTGTCTTTTGAAATATGCTGGATTTAAAAATCTAAAATATGTGATATGTTTTAGTATGTTCATATTACCAGGAATTGAGTCACAGAAAGTTTACATGACTTGCCTTAATCTTGCTTACACATCCGTCACCTCAATCATCTTGTAAGAACTAGGGTTTGTATTTGTAGGTATACAATCTCCGTATCAAGAAATATCAGAAACAAGATAAATATCCAGGTAAACACTTTGAAAAAGGGAATAAAGTGTTTCCAGTTTGTTTAGTTAGAGGCAGTGGTTTTCACTGCAATTTTGAAATTTAAAAACTGGACTTTTAAAATGTTTTTTCAAACACAAGATTTTGACAGGTGTTAAAAGCACTAAGTTTCCTTACCCAAGTTTCTACATAAATTGAGTACCAGGTGCAAACCACAAATATCATTGACAGTAATTTATTTGAATTTCCCCAAACAGATACTATAAACAGCAACTGAAAAGAAGCAAGTGATCATAGGCACATTTTGCAAGATTTACCTACTTACTCCTTTCTCTCCCCTTCTCTCCTTTGCTCCTCCTTCTCCCCACTTTATTCCTCCAAGTGTGGGTGCTGCTGCTTAATTGCCAAGTAATATTGGCAAATTAACCTCTATGAGCCCCAGTTTTCTATGAAAAACAGATGAAAATACTATCTCTTAATAATGTCATTGGGGGATTAAATAAGTTAAAACACCTGTGACAAATGTTGTTCATTCAGATCGGGCCGCCCAGGGTCCTCCGCTGGTTTGCTTGGTTTGCATTGGTTTATGCTTTTTTTTCTGTATTGTGTTAAGCACAGTACTCCACATAGTGTAGAGACAAGCTGGTGCCTGAGGAGTCCCTTCCACGCACACCCTCCTGAGGCTTGCTCTAGGGGTGGTTGAATCTCCTCATAAGGAATGGTCTAGAAGTTTCCTCCAGGTCACACAAAACCATGTCCTTTGTATCAAGGCAAAAACAGCTCTGAGGAGCTCCTGCTGGGGTCTGGCTAAAAGCAGAACTGTGGCCAGGTGTGGTGGCTCAAGCCTGTAATCCCAGCACGTTGGGAGGCCGAGGCGGGCAGATCACCAGGCTGGGAGTCCTTTCTTTAGCTTGCTTTTCTCACTCATTATTGAGTCTTTCCTGAGGGCCTTCACTTTGTAAGGTGCATCATAAAAGCCCTGCTCCTAAGGAACCTGACCCAAGACACCGTGTACAACAGTGCAAACATTCCCTAGGACACTGTAAGTTCCTAATAAATGTTTATTACTATTGTCATTATGATTACAGGTTGAGTATCATTTATCCAACATGCTTGAAATCAGAAGTGATTTGGATTTTGGACTTTTTCTGATTTTTGTAATATTTGCATAACCATAATAGGATATCTTTGGGATGGGACCCAAGTCTAAACACAAAATGCATTTCTGTTTCATGTACACTGTACACAAATACACTGAAGGTAATTATATAGAATAGTTTTAATAATTTTGTGAATGAAATAAAGTTTTGACTGCATTTTTAAATGCAATCTGTCACATAAGGTCATGTGTGGAAATTTCAACTTGTGATGTCAGGTAGGTGGTCAAAAATTTCTGATTGTGAAGCATTTCAGATTTCCGATTTTTGGATTAGGGATGCTCAACCTGTAATTCCTTCATCAAGTGAAATCACTTGATGAACGCTACTATTTAATAAACACTGTGCATTGTGTGAGTCTCCTCCCTAGACATCAGTGACAAAGGGCAAGTCTTTGATGGGAACTCATAGTGGCTGCACTGCAGGCAGGAGTTGGAGATAAAATGAGGAATATCAGAAATTAGCAGCCTAAGGAAATACATTGGCCCATGCCTTTTGGGAAGATTGTTGTTAACTGAATTTTCATCTTATTTTTATAAAAACATCTGGTTAGGCATGAGATTATCCTTGATAAGCCAGTTTAATATTCATAATACACGTACTTCTGATTTTCATATTGTATTTGCCTATCAAAATCTTGGTATTCGTACTTCACTGATGCCTTATTTAACTGGCATTTTCAGATCAGCTTCTTAGCACAAATTGTGGCCTTGCTAAATGTCTTATCCAATTAACCAGTTGGCAGGATTAGTTTTTGCACTAATGGTTTCTTTTTGTTGTTGTTGTTTATGGTTTTGTCAACATGTCGTGTTTTCCAAAATGTTTCAAGATAAACTGTCTGAGAGGTTAACCTTCCCAGTTCAATGCTTGTCACCAGCTGTCTTCCCAAGGAAATACTCAGGACAAGGACATAAGAATCACATGTTTCTAGAAAGTATATCTATTTGCTTTATCAAGATTTCAAAGACGTAAATGGAGTCTACTTAAGCTCAATGCACTCAATGATTCCTTTTTAGTAGAGATGTTTGCATAATATGTATAGTAATCCCTCAGGCAGAGGGCAGGATAAAAATGCTTACTGAGCTGAGCTCTGGGAAAGTGCACAAGAATTTATCTGAAGGTCAATGAATATTATAAGTAATGTTGTTTGTAACTAAATATGGTTATGATAATGCAATTAAAAAATTATACCTAAAACTCAGATTTAGAAAAAAAAAAAGAATCTGTAACATCTGATTTTGATCTTGACTGCCTCATCTACTAGAAAACATGAAGGGGGCTGAGCACAATTGGCTGCAACTGTGCTTTCTTCAACAAGCGTTGATCCCCTCCTGCCATGGGCAACCTTCCTTGGAAGCTCTCTCTCAGCTACTGGACCCATGTTTTTCCTTATTGCTCTTATCATTGTTAAACAATTCTTTATATTAAAACTCCCTGTTCTATGTGATTCCTGTCTCCAGATTGGATACAGGCTTATCCAGTCTTTTCCTATCTTTTTACCTTAACCTACTTTTGCCTTGGTATTTAAAGTACTGCGTTACTTGTATGTGGCATATCATTTGGTCTTGCTTTTTTCTACAATTGACAAATTATGGGATGCTTAGATCAGATCTATTCAATTTGACTAGTGATTTGGTTAGGTTTTAATCTGCCATATCAATATATATTATCAGTCCATTTGTTCTTTGATTCCTTTTTTCTCATTAATAAATCGATTTTTTAAAAAATTATTTATTGGGTTGTTAACTGTAACTCTTTATTATTTTAATGGTTGTTTTAGGTTTAAGGGTATATTCATTTAAGTCATCACAGTCTATCTTAAATGATAGTTTCATGCATAGTACTAGAAGCTTAAAATAGTATTACGTCCTTTCCACAGGTTTGTGCTATTTTTCTGGTATAACTTATTTCTGTTATGTATGTTATAAACCTTTTGCTATATGGTTGTTAACATTTGCTTATCAGTTATCTTTCAAATATTTAAATAAATAAAAATAAATAAAATAAATAAATAAAATAAAAATAAAAATAAAAAATAAGAATATTATAAAAATAAAACATGTATCTCTTTGTACACTTAGGTACCATTGTCATTATTCTACATTCCTTTATCTAGGTCCAGATTTCCAACTGGTATCATTGTCTTTCTTCCTGAAGAACTTGTTTTGACACTTTTTATAGTGCAGATGTGCTAATGAAAAATTATCTGAGAATTTATATGTCTGGAAAATCTTTATTTGCCTTCAGCTATTGAAAAATTTTTCATTGAGTGTAGAATTCTAGAGTGTTGAGTTCAATGAGCATAGAATTTAAAGAGATTTTTGAACTGTATTATTTACCTTCTGGCAAAATCTAAAAAACAAAAACAACAAAAAAACCTGTTGTCAACTTATTTTATTTCTTTTTTTCTGTGGCTCCTTTTAAGATTTTCTCTTCATCTTTGGTGTCAAGCAATTCAATTATCATTAATCTTGGTGTCGTATTCCTCATGTATATAAAGGGCTCACTGTGCTTGGATTTGTGGGATTTAATAATTTTCATCAAAATTGTAAAATTAAGCCATTGTTTATTCAAATATGTTTTCTCTCCTCTCTTCCTTTTTGGGGAATCCAATTACCTGTCTATTAGGCTTCTTAAAGTTGGTCCCATAACTCACTGATGCTATGTTCATATGTAATTTCTTCTTTGTTATTCATTTTACATATTAAGTATTATTTACTTAGTACGTACATAGCACTTAAGTACAGTAAGTATTGTTGTGTCTTTAAATTCACTAGCCATGTTCTGCAATATCTAATCTGCCATTAATCTCATCCAGTATATTGTTTATCCTAGACATTGTAGTTTCTATCTCTGAAAGTCCAATTTGGGCTTTTTTTTTAATAACTTCCATTCTTCCAGTTTATTTTTAGAGCATGTAAGATGCAATTTTTATAACTGTCCTAATGTACTTGTCTGGTGATACTAGCAAGTTCTGGGTCAGATTTTTTGTTTCATTTTATTTTTAATTGACTGATGATTGTATATATCTATGGGGTACAGTGTGATGTTTTAATACTTGTATACATTGGGTATGATCAAATCAGGCTAATTAGCATATCACCTGAAATATTTATTATTTTGTGATGAGAACATTTAAACTTGTTTAACTATTTTGAAATATGCCATATATAAGTATTAACTAGAGTCACTGTGTTGTATAACAGAA